>NC_000016.10:58804924-59107954 GCF_000001405.40 Homo sapiens
AGCTAGAGGAGATATATATTTTTTAAGTTAATCCCAAATGTGATAGTATAAACTGCTTTTGTTTTTTTTTTTCTTTTTGAGACAGGGTCTTGCCCTATTGCCCAGGCTGGAGTGCAGTGGTGTGATCACGACTCACTGCAGCCTCTAACTCCTGGGCTCAAGCAATCCTCCCACCTCAGCCTCCTGAGTAGCTGGGACCACAGACATGTGCTAGCATGCCTGGCTAATTTTTTTGTACTTTTTTAGAGATAGGGTTTTGTCATGTTGCTTAGGCTGGTCTCAAACTTTTGGGCTCAAAGTGATCCACCCGCCTTGGCCTCCCAAAATTCTGGGATTACAGGTATGAGCCACCTCACCCGGGGAAGGAGATCTCTAATCGTCTAGGCTCAGCATGTGTTCTTGCCTCTTCCCCAGGAGTGGAGGTGTTTTGTTGTTTTTTTTCTGTTCCCTTCTCTCAGATTCAGTAGATTTTTTCATGTATGCTCTAGGGATGATAAAGCCTAATACTTTATGAGATAGAGATATGGTAATAACAATAGCAACTCTACAGGGATTTTTTTTTTTTTTTTTTTTTTGAGACAGAGTCTCACTCTGTTTTTCAGACTGGAATGCAGTGGCACAATCATAGTTCACTGCAGCCTTGAACTCTTCTATAGGGGTTTTTATGATAAAATAGTAAGATTTAAGTTTAAAGCAATTTATTCATATTTAATAGACAGTTGCATATTGCATTTCATTCAATAGTTTCTTTCCCCCACATCTTCACTTTATTTGCAAGGCTGAGCTCTTACCATTTACATCTCCATCTAAGTCATTACAAGTGCTGATTATTACAAGTCCTGAACATAATGACACACATGAACAGTTTTCAGAAAAACAAAAAATATCTTATAGAATATACCTATTTGATTTAAATTCTATTCAGTATTACTTGATTTGGGGTGAACATTCCGGCAAGCCCTTCTTCTTGGCAATTGGAATGTGGTACAATGCCCCTGAAACAATGTTGTTTCTGGTGGGATATTTGCACAAGGCAATGAAGATGGGGGAAAATCTACATTACAGTTTAGAGTTGAGGTCATTAATGGAAGGTGAATTGTAAGGCTGTAGGCTATTCAAGTTAAGACTCCAACCATAGGCAGTGTAGTAAGTGAGTAAGCCTAGTGTTATTTAAGAAAACTCCATGACTATTCACAATAGCAGAGACCTAGAATCAACCTAAATACCCATCAATGGTAGACTGGATAAAGAAAATGTGGTATATATACACCATGGAATATGATGCAGCCATAAAAAATAATGAGATCATGTCCTTTGCAGCAACATGGATGGAGCTGGAGGCCATTATCTTAAGTGAACTAACACAGGAACAGAAAACCAAATGCCACATATTCTCACTTATAAGTGGGAGCTAACCATCGAGCACACATGGAAACAAAGAAAGGAATGGTATATACCAGCTCCTAATTTAAGGTGGAGGGTGGGAGGAGAATGAGGATTGAAAAACTACCTATTGGATACTTTGTTAGTCCATTTTCATACTGCTGCTGATAAAGACATACCTGAGACTGGGCAATTTACAAAAGAAAGAGTTTTATTGGACTTACAGTTCCACATGGCTGGTGAAGACTCACAATTATGGTGGAAGGCAAGGAGGAGCAAGACACATCTTACATGGATGGCAGCAGGCAAAGAGAGAGCTTGTGCAGGGAAACTCCCGTTTATAAAACCATCAGATCTCGTGAGACACATTCACTGTCACGAGAACAGCACAGGAAAGATCCGCCCCCACGATTCAACTATCCCCGACTGGGTCCCTCCCACAACAGGTGGGAATTGTGGGAGCTACAAGATGATATTTGAGTGGGGACAGAGCCAAACCATATCAGGTACTATTCTGAATTCTGGGTGAGGAAATCTGTACACCAAACCCCAGTGACACACAATTTACCTGTATAACAAACCTACACATGTAGCCCTGAACCTAAAATAAAAATTTTTTTTAAAAGGCTGTGGACACTTTGAGGACCCCATGACCAGTTGAAGTGAAATACAGTTCAGGGAGTGATTGATATGAGAGAATGTAGGGGGAAGGGGACATTCTGATGGTGAAGTGAAAGGTACGGTTATCTACCATGTGCTTTGGCTTACAAAGTTCATGCCCCATCATTTCTACCTCCAGGATTTGAGCAAAAACCAAGACAAATATGTATTTATTTCTTCCCAATGTGCTAGACTGGTGTACAGAATGGGGGTAGAAAGAAAACTGGGGAAAAGTATGGTGCGTGTACAAGAAAGAACACTTATTTCTGACATCTGTGATACAGAGAAATATTAGGCAATGTACCTCTTGATTTCCTAATTCCCTGGTGAAAAGAAGATTAATCCCTTTTTAGGTAATTAATAGGAGCACTGAACCTTTTGTTCACCTGTATACAAATCATTAACAGAGCAAGGTACCAGCTGGAGGCAGGTAATTTTCCAGCTCCTCCAGAGAATTCTTTGGGGATGAATATTTTTCCTATTTTCAAGCTGCATTGTTATTAAAAAAGGGAAGTGCATTTGAACACCCATGTTTAGCTAGCTTTGTTATACCAGTGTCTTAGTAGAGTGCCCCAAGTGACCTATTCCATGGATTATATGAATTTACTCATTCTTGAGGCCCATTTTAATTCCTTATCAGCTGAATTCAGCCTTCAGTTTTTCCTCTCTACTGTCTCCTTTCTATTTCTCTCAAACACCATAGGCTGTGGCCAAGATTGATGGTCTAGCCCAGGTCCTTCACATTATCCCATATCAGACTCAATCCCCACAGGGACTGGGTCACCCTTTGGGAACAGGAGTGTCACTGACCCAAAATTTGGGCCCTCTTTAATTTTTCAAATGTTTCTGCTGATCTTCAGGTATGAAGACGGGTGAGCTTCTCTATGAAATTCTTGAGTGCTTTAGAAAAACCGACATTCAGTAGTCCCATGAATGAAAGCCAGCCTGTGTAAGGATATTGCTTTCTGTCCTTGCTTCCTCTTCATCAGCTTTGAGTATCCACTATTTGCTAAGTTCATAACCATTTGGTTTTAAGAGTGAAGACTCTTCTTTTTTTTTTTTAATGTGTAGATAATTTGCATTTATTTGCACTTTGAAATAGTCTCTTTTTTTTAATTATACTTTAAGTTTTAGGGTACATGTGCACATTGTGCAGGTTAGTTACATATGTATACATGTGCCATGCTGGTGCGCTGCACCCACTAACTCGTCATCTAGCATTAGGTGTATCTCCCAATGCTATCCCTCCCCCCTCCCCCCACCCCACCACAGTCCCCAGAGTGTGATATTCCCCTAAGAGTGAAGACTCTTTAAATTTAGTTAAGATTAAACGGAAAAGGATAGAAGAGCATCACAAGAATACAAAACCAGGCCTCATAAATGTCTGGAATGAATACACTGAAAAGCCAGTGGGAACCATGGCAGCTTTTCTACTCCTTATTCTCTCCTTCTCCCTTTCCTCCTCTTCTTCCCCCTCTTCAAAACATGTGCTAATCTCTAGTTTAAGACTCTATATGGAAATCAAGTGGTCAGGGGATGAATGTGGGAGGAAGCAACTGGTTATATTCTGGAGATATCACCTCCCCCTGCCCCCCCCTTTTTTTTTTTTTAAGACAAAAGTCTCACTCTGTTGCCCAGGGTGGAGTGCAGTGGCTTCATCACAGCTCACTGCAGCCTCAACCTCCTGGGCTTAAGTAATCCTCCCACCTCAGCCTCCCGAGTAGCTGGGGCTACAGGCATATACCAGTAGGCCGACTAATTAAAAAAAAATTATTTTGTAGAAACGGGTTTTGCCATATTGCCTAGGCTGGTCTTAAACTCCTGGCCTCAAGTGATCCTCCCGCCTCGGCCTCCCAAAGTGCTGGGATTATAGCTGTGAGCCACCATGCCTACCCTGAAAGGTGCTTTCTTTAGCTCCTCCTTCCTCTTGCCCCATCCCAAAGAGCTCTGTTTACAGGCTTGGATTCCTTTTCAGCAGTCCTTTAGACTCATAATAGAACAGAGATTTATTCTAACATTAATTCAACAAACGTTTCCTGAATGCCTAGGTTCTGATGAAACAGAGATAAATGAGAGAGTGCCTTCCCTTGAGGAGCTAAGAGTTAGTAGAAAAACTTCCAGTGAATTGACTTGGCGAGAGGTTTTTTGCTCAGATTCATGGAGGGAAACAACTCTCCCCTTTTTTGAAAATTCAAACTTTGTTTTTATAAGTGTTACAAAGGTCCTGCTTGAACCTAAAATGGCACAGCTGTTGGTAGGGTGTGTCATTGGCCAGGTGTGCTGAAATAGTCTGTCTTGGATGTTCCAAATACTCCTTAATTCAAGAAGACTGAACTCATCATTTACCACTTCCTTCCACCTCTTGACACACACTGGCAAGCAAACATGCAGAAAAAGGCATCACAATTCTCCCAGCTGTACAAGTTGGAAACATAGGAGATATTCTCAATGTATGCCTCATTGCCACACCCAGTTAATCTTGTTCATCTAGTTAGTCCTTTTTATTTTGCGAATACATCATCTCTTGTAGCTGCTTCCTCCTCTTTAACTCTTCCGGTATCACCTTCAGACACTCATTATCTCTCACTTAAATCACTGTCACTGTCGCTACCTAACTGGTCTCACAGCTTCCAATCAATCCTCCTTCCATCTGTTCTCCAGGCATAGTGTCTAACAAACAGTGGTTGTTGTTAAAGCTGGACAAAAAGAAACTTGGATGGTGAGTTTTAGTTACCTTGCCCCAGATTATTATCTGTGAAGACTCAGAGTCTCTGTTTTATTTTTTATTTGATCATCTCTAGATCCATTATCAGTGCTAATATACTGATAGTATTTATATTTTCCATTCATTGAGAACAAATTGTTGAGCTATTTTAAATGAATTTTTTAATTAAAACCTTATATATAGATATTACAAATGTGTACAAAACATTATTCCTTCAATCTATAGACTATGTCTTTTGGAAAATCAAACATCGTATGTTCTCACTCATAAGTGGGAGGATGCAAAGGCATAAGAATGACACAGTGGACTTTGAGGACTCGGGGGAAAGGGTGGGAAGGGGGTGAGGGATAAGACTACAAATAGGGTGCAGTGTATAGTGCTCAGGTGATGGGTGCAGCAAAATCTCACAAAAAATCTATGGACTATTATCTTTTGAATAGAAATTCACATACTATGTGTAATATCTAGATAGCTCCTAACATAAACTTGTGGACTAAATTATAGAAATCACTATTCCGGACAATGTCCCTTTCATGGTAAAACAAAATACAGCCTTTCTCTGGTAAATAATAAGGTGTAAATCTTCCTCCCACCGTGCCCTGCTAATTGCATTTGATGATAAGTGGATCCCCATGCATAAGATTCAATCATTTAATTGGTCTAAAACTCTCTTTCTAGCTTATTCTGTTACTCCCTGATAAACCCTCTAAATTCTCATTATACTGCATACTTTTATCATAGGGTGTGCGTAAACATTTCCTGACTCTGTATCTTTGCTTATGCTTCCTTTGACTGGTATAGCCACGTGCTGCAGGACAATGTTTCAGTCAATGATGGACCGCATATAAAACGGTGGTCCCCTAAGATTATAATGGAGTTGAAAAATTCCTATTGCCTAGTGATGTAGTGGCTGTCCTAATGTCGTAGCACAACACATTATCTTTTCTATGTTTAGATATGTTTAGAGACATGAATACTTACCATTGTGTTACAGTTGCCTACAGTATTCAGCACAGTACCATGCTGTACAGGTTTGCAGCCTAGGAGCAATGGCTCTACCACATAGCCAAGTATGTAGTAGGCTATACCATCTAGGTTTGTGTAAGTACACTCTATGATGTCCTAACAATAACAAAATCACCTAGCAACACATTTCTCAGAATGTATCCCCCATTGTTAAACAACACATGGTGGTCACGTACTCTTTCTTTTCTTTCTTGTATTTTTTTTTTTTTTTTTTTTGGAGACAAAGTCTCACTCTGTCACCCAGGCTGGAGTTCAGTGGCATGATCTTGGCTCACTGCAACCTCCGCCTCCTGGGTACAAGCTATTCTCCTGCCTCCCGAGTAGCTGGGACTACAGGTGCCCGCCACTATGCCTGGCTAATTTTTGTATTTTTAATAGAGACACGGTTTCACCATGTTGGCCAGGCTGGTCTTGAACTCCTGACCTCAGGTGATCCACCCGTCTCGGCCTCCCAAAGTGTTGGGATTACAGGTGTGAGCCACTGCACCAGGCCTCATGTACTCTTTTTTTCCACATTTTTTGTCTATTGAAATATTACCCACTTCAATTCAATGTATATATAAAACTTGTCTTAGTCTGTTTTGTGCTGCTATAACAGAATACCACAGACTAGGTAACTTATGAAGAACAGAAATTTATTTCTCACAGCTCTGGAGGTTGGGAAGTTCAAGATGAAGGCACTTGCAGGCATGGTGCCTTGTGAAGGCCCAGTCTCCACTCCCAAGATGGCGCCTTGACGGCTGCATCCTTTGGAGGTGGGAAACTGTTCCTCACATGGCAGAAGAGTGGAAGAGCTGAGACAAAAGGGACCAAACTCACACTTTTATGACAGCAGTAATTCCACCCATGGGGACAGAGCCCACATGGCCCAGTTACCTCTTAAAAGCCCCACCTCTCAACACTGTTACGATGGTAACTAAATTTCAATGTGAGTTTTGGAAGGGACAGACATTCAGACCATTACAAAACCTTTCCAAGATCCTTTTTCAGTGGATTGTATTCTCTTTCCATTGAAGCAACTGAGTTTTCTATTTTCTTCCATTCTTCTTCTGCCAGTACTTATGGGTAGAAGAGCCTACTATGTGCCATGGGGACTACAAACATGAGTTTCTTCCCTAAAGGATTCTACTGTCCTCTAGAGAAGACACACACATTACTCACATCCTTATAGTTAGAGTCACTTAATATTATCTTCTCTGGTAGACCACAGTGATCTTGATATTACAAATTATATTTTAACCACCTTTGTGTTCTTCTTCAGCACATACTACATCAATTATCAATTATAGTGAGTGCTTACAATATTTGATAAATGAAGGAATACAGTAGGTAATACTTATTTTATACTTACTAAGTGAAGGTTGCTAGGGTAGGTATAAAGTGGGGTGGCAAAAGAACAATAAGATGTGGCCTTTAGTGCTGGGTAACTCCTCTGTTTGTGTTGTTGCATATTCCTACAAATAAAACAAAAAAATTTTGTCTTCAAATACATAAAAAACAATAAGCCAACTCTGTACCATTCCCTAAATGCATGCTTGGGGTGGAGGTGCAGAGAGGTGGATTGTGCAACTTTGCTAGGTGACTATCTGCTCATTTAGATGTAAGTTCTGGTCTTTTTGTTGCATTTCCAGTGTGGCAGGACAAGACTTTAAAGTATTTGTGTGGTGCAGAATAGGGGTTAGTTGGGGCCAGTATTTATACAAGCAATGAATTTCCAGTAATTTAGGAAAGAATGCTAACTACAGCCTGAGAAACAAAGAAGAATTATAGAGTCAGGTGAGCACAGGGCCTGAAGCACAGTTAGGGCTCAATCAATATTTGTTAGGAAGGAAGAAAGGAAGAAGAAAGAAAGGAAACAAGCGAAGGCAACCACCATGTGTCTAAATAAACAGAAGCAACTGAGTAAGAGCAAGACCAAAATTGAGTCAATAAATGTGAACCAAAATTAGAAAGCAGTAAGGCAAATGAGATATTACTCTTATAATTATTATTTTATTAACAATACTATAACAACTTAATGTGTTTTTCTTCTTGCACTAGGAATCTCACATATATTAACACATTTATTATTTAGAAGAGCATTTAATTAGAGCTACCATTGTAATTACTTTATGGATGAAGAAATTAGGCTTAGAGGGAAAAGAAGTTTGCCAAAGCTCGCACAGGTAGCAAATGGCAAATGTGGCATCCTGTCCTCTAAATTATTCAAGATGAGACTCTTCCTGGAGAACATAGATGCTGATCATACCTAGGCCACATCACCTCAACCCATCCTTTTCAGCCCAGTGGAGGTGGACAGTTCCTGTTCCTGCCCCTATCTCACTCAAGCATTTCCATGTGGGTCATATTCTCTTCTGCCTCAGGACTCTCTCGAAAGCCATGGAAGGATAGTCAACTGCCTTATCCCAGATGTGCAAGAGAACAATCCTTCAACAGGGAACGAGAGCTGGTTGAAAAGTCACCAGAGGCTGGGTGTGGTGGTTCATGCCTGTAGTTCCAACACTTTAGGAGACCGAAGCAGGAGATTTACATGAGGCCATGAGTTTGAGATCAGCCTGGGCAACATAGCAAGACCCTGTGTCTCCAAAATAAAAATAACTAGGCACAGTGGCATGTGCCTGTGGTCCTAGCTACTTGGAAGGCTGAGGTGGGAGATTTGCTTGAGCCCAGGAGTTCAAGGCTGCAGTAAGCTATGATTGCATCGCGGCACTCCAGCTTGGGTGACAAAGAACGATTCTGTCTCAAAAAAGAAAAAAGAAAAAGGCACCAGACTGTTGCCCTTTAGCTGCACAATTCTACATGGGTTCTCAGAAGTTCCCTGGTAGTTCTGAGCTCCAGTTGACCGAAAGGTAAACAGCTCAATAACCCAGACCTGCTTTCTCCTCATTCCTGTTTTGCTCCTGGCCTTCCACACTCCTGCTTCTGACATCACCTGCACTCTAATCCTTGTCTCAGGTTCTGCTTTCAGGGGAGCCCACATCAAGACGCTGGTTAATCACCCTGCCAGTCACATCAAGATCAAACTCCATAGGGCATCTTAAAGGAACACCAGGTATCTGAATCTGTTAAGCCATCAATATCACTGCTTGAGAATTATAACTTGTGCGATAGGGAACGATGTGTGTTATTTTTCTTTTCTTTCTTTCTTTCTATTTTTTTTTTTTCTGAGACAAGGTCTTGCTCTGTCACCCAGGCTGGAGTGCAGTGGTACAATCATACCACACTGCAGCCTTGACCTCCCAGGCTCAAGCGATCCTCTCACCTCAGCCTTCTGAGTAGCTGGCACTGCAGGCATGCACCACGCCGGGCTAATTTTTCAAAATTTTTTTTTGTAGAGAAGAGGTCTCGCTATGTTGCACAGGTGGGTCTCAAACTCCTGGACTCAAGTGACCCTCTTTCCTCAGCCTCCCAAAGTGTTGGGATTATGGTGAGTCACTGAGTTCGACTTCTTCCTCGCCCCTAAAAACAATAGTACCTTTTAGGAGGAAGGATGTGTTTTTTAAAAGCTCACCTTTTGGTGTTCCAGTGGTGATTAAAGTCATCTGGACCTTTTTTGTTTCCTTGTGCTTCTATGTTCCTTTAATTGGAACTCGTGGGATTGATTTCTAGAAAATGGTGCTTATTTAAGGAAAAAGCAAGGAGGAAATAAAGGCAACTGTGTGTGCTCCAACTTTGAAAAATGGATTTTGGATTGCTGAGCGGGTCATGACTGTTAGTGGACACGAGGGGGCAGCCTCATCCCGGGCTCTGAGGGAAGAGCTACGGCTTCTTTTTTCCTCCTGTGCACAGTAAGTAAAACTCAACAGTTTTGTGGAAGCAGATGGATTTTTTTTTCTTTTCCTTTATGAAGGACTTGAGTGAGGGACCAGGGTTCACTCTGCCGCACATCACAGGGAGTGTGCGTCTTCGCGTCTCGCCTCTGAGGGCCTTTTGATTATGGGGAAGAGGCACCAACTCCAAACACACTGCGTCTAAGGACGCTGAGAGTCACCTCACTTCCTTTGTTATTTTCAAGCACTGTCAAAGAACTGCTGTGTGTGAGAGAAAAAAGCACAGAGCTCCTCCTGGAAAGGAGCGGGGTGGACTGTTCCTTTGCAAACATTCCTCCTCTTGCCCGGTGACCTCATCCAATTCCATGACTTTTTAATAACAGCTCTAAGGTAGTAACTCCCAATTGGATGCCCCTGTCCCAAACATCTTCCCGGAATACCAGGTTTGTATATTTCTATATCCAGTCATCTAGCTGGTATCTCACATGGGTATCTTATAGCCATCTGCATTTGGCCCAGAAGAACTATTTCTTTCTTCCTCTTTTTTTAAAAAAATTTTTCAGGGATACATGTGCAGGTTTGTTACATAGGTAACAAACATAGGGGGCTTGTTGTACAGATTATTTCATCACCTGGGTATTAAGCCTAGTACCCATTAGTTATTCTTCCTGATCCTCCTGTCTCCTTTAATCCAGTCTCTGCACATCTGCCAGGATGATCTTTTTAAGAGAATTCAGATCACTCCTTGTTTAAAACCCTCCAGTAGATTCTATTTCACTTGTAATAAAATTCATACACCCTATCACGGATGTGCAGAGTCCTGTATTATCTACCCATGCCCTGCTGCACCTCCGTCATCATTCGTCAGCAGCCTCAGGCCTTGGCACCAACCATCCCTGTCTGCTTTTATGCCCTCTCTCTGGTTCTCACATGAATCGCCTGCATGCCATTCAAGTCTCAGCTGAAATGTCACCTTTCAGGGAGAGCTTCCCTGGTCGTTCCATCTGTAATAGTCAGCCAGTCACTATCACATTCCTCTGTTTTAATTCTCTGTAAGTACTGATCCCAGATGCAGCTTTCTTGCTGCTTTGTTGGTTTTATTGTCTATTTTCCTCCACTAGAAGGGAAGCTCCATTACATCGTGTCTTCTTTGGATACTCAACCACTTCCCAGTGACTGAACAAGGTCCAACACATGTAAGAGGCCCATTCAATAATTAACTGGACAGCTAAATGACTAAGTGGGTGGAGAAAGCACATCTGACCCTGTGAGGATGGACAGCGGGGTCCTCTACTATTACCTTTCTCTTTGACCTTAGGCAAGTCATTTCTTTTCTCTGGGCACCAGTTTTCTCTTTCAGGTTAATAATATTCTGTGATCTGTGTATTTATTTTATTTTATTTTTTTGAGATGGTGTCTCACTGTGTCACCCAGGCTGGAGTGCAGTGGTACAATCTCAGCTCACTGCAACCTCTGCCTCCTGGGTTCAAGCAATTCTTCTGCCTCAACCTCTGAGTAGCTGGGAATACAGGTGTGTGCCACCACGCCTGGCTATTTTTTTTTTCCGGTATTTTTAGTAGAGATGGGGTTTCACCATGTTGGCCAGGCTGGTCTTGAACTCCTGACCTCTGGTGATTCACCCACCTCGGCCTCCCAAAGTGCCGGGATAACAGGCATAAGCCACCGTGCCTAGCCCCTGTGATATGTTTATTCTAATTCACAAGTATACTTCTCAGGAACTTCTGTAGAAGTTTTTGAGGCATTGGGAGTAGAAAAGTCTCTTGCTGATGAAGAGTTTTGAACACTGTTGAAGCTGGTAGAAAGCACTAAGATTTAATGGTTTCTATCATCCCATTCATTCACTTTCATATAATGAAGCAAAACCTGAAGCTGCCGTTTTTTTTTTTTTTTTTTTTTTTTTTTTTTTTTTTTTTTTTTTTTTTTTTTTTTTTTTGAGACGGAGTCTCGCTCTGTCGCCCAGGCTGGAGTGCAGTGGCGCGATCTCGGCTCACTGCAAGCTCCGCCTCCCGGTTTCACGCCATTCTCCTGCCTCAGCCTCCCGAGTAGCTGGGACTACAGGCGCCCGCTACCACGCCCGAAGCTGCCAGTTTTTGAAGTCTCTGGTGAAACTGATCCTAGGTCATGAAACAGACCGAGCTCACCCTCTCAAGATGCTAGCCCCCAGAGGAGGGGATGAGCTGTAGGTCAGGCTGCCTTTTTCTAAGCCTTTGGTTAGCGGTTCCTGGTTTGAAATTCTGGACCTGCTATTTCAGAAACAACTTAAGCACAGCAGAACTGTTCCATCTTATTGCACTTTAGGTGTGATGTAAATGAGGCAACAATTACAGACCCACACTCTTTAGGATGTTAAAGTGCTACTCATAACTAACCAGGAAAGGTCACCAAATAAATACTTTGACGTTTGCTAAGAAGGGAGATTAGTGAAAGCCTTGACCCTGTGTTCATCCAGATCCCAGGATGTAGGAATGTTTTTATTCCCTCTCAATTCCTTTGATGCTCTGGGATTCTGATGTGCTTCTAAGCTTTAATTTCTTGAAAAGCCCTTTCATCAACCCTGTTGACTGTACTCTAAGATTCCCTCCTCCCCCCTCCCCTACATTTGGGTCAGCCTGTACCAAAGGAGAAGGTTATCTGGGCTGTTAAACCTTTGACTCGGTGTCTTTTGAAGAGCGCATTTTGCATTTTGTTATGTCAGGATTGTAATTAGATCCGTTAATTAAGGGAAGAATGAACTTTTCCCAAACTCTGCACCTCTTTGAATTTTTGATAAGTTTGCTTAGGTTGCTGCTGACCTTTGCTAAGGGGTATGCCACTGCTCATTAATTGGCAAATTTTAATGAGGAGAGTTGATGAATGTGCTGGCCTTGACAATAAATAAAGCTGGCTACCACTCCAGGCTTTACCACCTTTGGCTACTTCAAAGTGTGTAGTGTTTCTTGACTAGTGACCATTAAACTTGGGACACTTCAGATGACATTTTCCCATATAACTGAGCGAGGGCTTCCTTACCCAGGCACTGTTCCAGATAATTCCTTACCACTATCTCATTTTAGGCTTATGGGAATCTGTTATACTTGTTTCATGGAAGGGAAAACTGAGGCATAGGGAGAGTGATAACTTGCATAGGACATGTAACTAAGTTAATAATGATGATAATAATAGCCGATGTTCAAGTTCTACTTATGTGCTAGGTAGTCTCCCAAGCTGTTTTTTTTTTTTTTTTTTTTTTGAGATGAAATCTCACTCTGTCACCCAGGCTGGAGTGCAGTGGCACCATCTTGGCTCACTGCGAACTCCGCCTCTGCGTTCAAGTGATTCTCCTGCCTCAGCCTCCCTAGTAGCTGGGATTACAGGCATGTGCCACTACACCCGGCTAATTTTTGTATTTTCAGTAGAGCTGGGGTTTCACCATGTTGGCCAGGCTGGTCTTTAACTTCTGACCTCAGGTGATCCACCCACCACAGCCTCCCAAAGTGCTGGGATTACAGGCATGAGCCACCGTGCCTGGCCCCTCCCAAGCTCTTGTAAGTGTTGTATCACTTAATACTCAGAACATTGTTATGAGATAGGCACTGTTTTTGCCCCATTTTACAATGAAGTACTAGAGACAAAGAGCTGGAGTAATTTGTCCAAAGTCACACAACTTACAAATGGTAGAATCAGGATTTAAACCCAGTCTGTAGGAATAAGGCTCTCAACCATACTAAGTGGGTTGCAGGCCAGAATTCCAACCAAGGTCAGCTTCATTTTAAAGCACATAGTCCTTTCTCTTCACCCATTTGCCCCATTGATTTAGCTTTACTGAGGGTATGTGTGCGTGTGTTTGTGTGTGTATGGGTGTCTGTGTGTGTGTATGTTTGAACTTGGATTGTTTTAATTCCCTGAGCATAATTCTTCTGGAGTTATAACAACATCTAGAATATTCTCTGTGATTACAAGTATTTAGAGTACAAAGGAAAATACAATTGAGATTCTCTCTCTCTCACACACACACACACACACACACACACACACACACAGAGACAGACAGACACAGACACACATAGACACACACACACACATTCTCTCTCTCTGTCTCAGATTTCTCTGCTCAAACATAAAATTTTTACTGTCCCTGGAAACGGAGTGAACTGTGACACTTCAGAATATAATCAGAGGTACAATATTTAACAGATAGAATTGGGTGATGAAAGATTTACTTAGTGATCACAGTCTGGGATGTAAATTTTGTTATACTCACTATGACTCCCTGGATTATAGTGAGTGAGAAAGTATTTTCTCTTTGGGGGTCATTGGTGGGAGATGGAATAAGCCTGAGGAGCGCAGTCATAAGTAACTCTTCAGTGCTCTCTCTCTCTCTTTTTTTTTTTTTTGAGACAAGAGTCTTGCTTTGTTGCCCAGGCTGAAGTGCAGTGGCACGATCTTGGCTCACTGCAGCCTCAACCTCCTGGGCTCATGCGATCCTCCCATCTCGGCTCACTGCAGCCTCGACTTCCCAGGCTCAAGTGATTCTCGTGCCTCAGCCTCCTGAGTTGCTGGGACCACAGGCATGCACCACCATGCCTGGCTAATTTTTGTATTTTTTTTGTAGAAATGGGGTTTTGCCATGTTGCCCAGGCTGGTCTCAAACTCCTGGGCTCAAGTGATCCACCCACCTCAGCCATCCAAAGTGCTGGGATTACAGGCGTGAACAACCATGCCCAGGCCAGTGCACCTTTTAAAGGTGCTCCAAAATGCTATAACTTATAACGATGATAAAATATAGTGCTGACATCACTTTACCCCTTGCTTAACACTTGCACTCCTAACAGTCTACAATCGCAATTACTCCCCAAAATAATTATTAAATACTCAACAGTTTAAAATACACCCCAGCATCCACAGTTGCCACAAAGATTCCTCACTTTTTTTTTTTTTTTGCTAAAGACATCCTCTCTTGCAAAATGTCACCATTTTTAGAATTTCTGTCTCTGAACATTGTCCTAAGTGACTTCTTTGAAATTTCTTCCAACTGTTGCTGAAGATAATTTGACATCACTGGGGAGCCTCGTTCATTTGGGGAAATGCCATACTCATTTCATCCTCATGTTCTGTTATGCCTGCTTTATACAGGGGAGACACTGAGGTAGAGGGAATGTTGGTGTCTTGCCCAGGGCACCACTTAGCAAATACTTTGTCAAAGTGTGCTGATTATAAATATCAAAATAAGCCTGTGTATTTGGGTATACACCTTATGATCTGCTAGCATGGTGAAAGCTCCTATTATCCTTAGAGCCAGGTACACGGGCTACCTTATTCAAAAGGGGATTCTTTCACATACCGAGAGGAGGAAGAACTTGCTCAAAATCATACTTTAAGTTAATATCAGAGACATCTCTGGAACTCAGCTGTCTGAGTCCCAGAAAATAGTATTTCTGATTAGAAATATGTCCTGAACTCATGGAAAAAGTTATGATAAACTGGGGTTTCTCAGGAAGCGGTGGAAGCAAATCTCCCTTCCACCAGCTATGGCCTTGCCCTTTTGTTGAGACAGTGAAAGAGTTGGCTATAAAAGTGAGAAAAGAGTGCTGGGATTGTCAACACGGAGCTCCAGGAAGGTTTTTATAGTGAGGGCAGTGAATGAAGCCTTGGAAAATGAATTAGATTTCTGTTTCTAGATGTGTGCTTCCTATCCCATCAAAAGCTTACTTCCCCTCTTGCTATAACATGAATAAAAAGAGGGCAACACATCTTCAGGAAACCTGGTACGCCAAGAAAAATCTTCACGGTGTTCTGGTTTCTTAGCTCCTGTTGCAGAGTGAAGAAATGAGTGCATTTTATTTTCTATTGGTTGTGAAAAAACCAAAGCCATAAATGGGTTAAAAATAAAATCAAATAAAACAAAATCCAGAATATCTGTGACTATGTCATTCTAGTTCTGGATACTGGATGAATCAGCAAATTGGTAGTATTAGGCTTCATAGTGTTTGCAAGGAGGTGGACTGTTTTCCCAGGGAGTTCTCAAGTTTAAACCCAGGAGGGTTATGAAGTCACATTGTTATTATAGTTTGAACACAGCAGTCCTGTCTTCCAGGACAAGAATCACAACTTTTTATGAGTGTTGAATCAAGAGGCAAGGGCCAACTTTTCAAGTAGTGGAAATGCTGCCTATTAAAGTTTATTAAAAACAGAGAAGTAAAAAGCCTAGTTATTCTTGTTTATGCTCTTGACTTCAAATTCCTCTCCAGAACCATCATCTGGATCTACAAACCCGTGTTTGTCCTTGCCAGCATTTCAACTGAATTAATATGAGTAAAACATACGACATCATCTCTTGAAAATATATGTTGTTTCTTGGAATTGAGTCTGGTGTGCCTTTGTTGGGGGCCATGTAGTCTGAATTCTCCCAAGAGAGGCTTAGACATGAACTTGAGTGGGTAGTTTACTAGGGAAGCAGGAATAAGGGAGTGGGAAGAGACAGACAGGGAATGAGAAAAATCAGTGCAAGCATTATCAAGGTCAGTGCTGTGGGGTGATGGGGATTCAATTCTGCTGGGAACGTCTGAGAAGGTTGCAGAATGCCTCTCTTATCCGAGGGGAGGGATGCTGGAGAATTCATCCACATACCTCATCCCCCATTGTTTGAGGTTGTCTTGAGGGTTGGAAAGCACGAACTTACCTGCAGTTTTATGTAGGCTAAGTGGCAACTTAAGGACTAGAGAACTTCCAGGGCAGACAGAGAACACAGTGCATCTTGAGGCAAGATGCTGCCTGTGATGTTAGCCTGAGTTCACATAAAACTGTCCACTCAGCTGCTACTGAATCACACGTAGATCAAGAGAGTGTGACTGCTGTAGTCTGCAACCACAAATGAGATATATATCTGTAAGTACAGTGTCAGGCTTGGGATGAATGGGCTCAGTTTACAAATACTGTCTTAGTCTGCTTTTGTGCTGCTATAAGAGAACACCATAGACTGGGTAATTTATAAGAAAATAGAAATTTATTTCTCACAATCCTAGAGGCTGAGAAGTCCAAAATCCAGGCATTGGTGAGGGCTGCATCCTCTGGAGGGAAAGAACACTATGTCCTTATATGGAGGAAGGTGAAAGGGCAAGCTAACTGAGTTCTGCATGGACTCTTTTATGAGAGCCTTAATCCCATTCAAGAGGGAGGAGCCCTCATGGCCTAACAACCTTAAAAAAATTTTTTTTTCAAATATATCTTATTTTAGATTTGGGGGTACATGTGCTTGTTTGTTACATGGGTATATTGCATACGAGTAGGGATTTGGCTTCTAGTGTACCCAATACCCCGATAATGAACATTGTACTGGATAGGTAATTTTCAACTCCCCCTCACACGCTCTCCCCCTCTTTGGACTCCCTAGTGTCTATGGTTTCCATCTTTATGACCATGAATACCTATTGTTTAGCTCCCACTTATAAGTGAGAACATTTGGTATTTGGTTTTCTGTTTCTGAGTTAGTTCACTTAGCATAATGGCCTTCAGTTCCATCCAAGCTGCTGCAAAAGACACTATTTCATTCTTTTTAGTGGCTGCATAGTATTCCATTTTGTATGTATACCACATTTTCTGGTCAACTGTTGATGGACAATTAGGTTGGTTCCATGAGTTTACTATTGTAAATAGTGCTGTGATGAACATATGAGTACAGGTGTCTTTTTTTATACAAAGACTTTTTTCCTTTGGGTAGATACTCAGTAGTGGGATTACTAGGCTGAATGGTAGTTCTATTTTTAGCTCTTTGAGAACTCTGCATACTGTTTTCCATAGTGATTGAACTAATTTATATTCTCAACAAAAATGTATGTGTTTCCTTTTCTCCACAGCCTTGCCAACACCTGTTATTTTTTGACTTTTTAGTAATATCCATTTTGATTGGTGTAAGATGATATCTCATTGTAGTTTTAATTTACATTTCTTTGAAGATTAGTTATGTTGAACATTTTCTTCATGTGTTTGTTGGCTGTTTGTATGTCTCCTTTTGAGAAATGTCTGTTTATGTCCTTTGCCCAGCTTTTTTTTAAAAACTTTTTTTTTAATATTTTAAGTTCCGGTGTACATGTGCAGAACGTGCAGGTTTGTTACATAGGTATACACATGCCATGGTGGTTTACTGCAACCATCAACCTGTCATCAACAGTAGGTATTCCTCCTAATGTTATCTCTCCCCCCTCCTCCTACCCTGCCAAAAGGCCCCGGTATGTGATGTTCCCCTCCCTGTGTTCATGTGTTCTCACTGTTCAACTCCCACTTATGAGTGAGAACATGCGGTATTTGGTTTTCTGTTCTTGTGATAGTTTGCTGAGAATGATGGTTTCCAGCTTCATCCATGTCCCTCCAAAGGACATGAACTCATCCTTTTTTATGGCTGCATAATATTCCATGGTGTATATGTGCCACATTTTCTTTATCCAGTTTATCATTGATGGACATTTGGGTTGGTTCCAAGTCTTTGCTATTGTGAATAGTGCCACAATAAACATACGTGTGCATGTGTGTTTATAGTAAAATGATTTATAATCTTTTGGGTATATACCCAGTAATGGGATTGCTGAGTCAAGTGGTATTTCTAGTTCTAGATCCTTGAGGAATCGCCACACTGTCTTCCACAATGGTTGAACTAATTTACACTCCCACCAACAGTGTAAAAGTGTCCCTATTTCTCCATATCCTTTCCAACATCTGTTGTTTCCTGACTTTTAAATGATCGCCATTCTAACTGGCATGAGATGGTATCTCATTGTGGTTTTGATTTGCATATCTCTAATGACCAGTGATGATGAGCATTTTTTCATATATCTGTTGGCTGCATAAATGTCTTCTTTTGAGAAGTGTCTGTTCATATCCTTTGCCCACTTTTTGATAGGGTTGTTTTTTTCTTATAAATTTGTTTAAGTTCTTTGTAGATTTTAGATATTAGCCCTTTGTCAGATGGATAGATTGCAGAAATTTTCTCCCATTCTGTAGGTTGCCTGTTCACTCTGATGATAGCTTCTTTTGCTGTGCAGAAGCTCTTTAGTTTAATTAGATCCCATTTGTCAATTTTGTCTTTTGTTGCCATTGCTTTTGGTGTTTTAGACATGAAGTCCTTGCCCATGCCTATGTCCTGAATGGTATTGCCCAGGTTTTATTGTAGGATTTTTATGATCCTAGGTTTTACATTTAAGTCTTTGATCCATCTTGAGTTGATTTTTGTATAAGGTGTAAGGAAGGGGTCCAATTTCTGTTTTCTGCATATGGCTAGCCAGTTTTCCCAACACCATTTATTAAATAGGGAATCTTTTCCCCATTGCTTGTTTGTGTCAGGTTTGTCGAAGATCAGATGGTTGTAGATGTGTGGTATTATTTCTGAGGCCTCTGTTCTGTTCCATTGGTCTATATCTCTGTTTTGGTACCAGTACCATGCTGTTTTGGTTACTGTAGCCTTGTAGTGTAGTTTGAAGTCAAGTAGCATGATGCCTCCAGCTTTGTTCTTCTTTGCCAGGATTTTCTTGGCTATGCAGGCTCTTTTTTGGTTCCATATGAAGTTTAAAGTAGTTTTTTCCAATTCTGTGAAGAAAGTCAGTGGTATATAGCTTGATGGGTATAGCATTGAATCTATAAATTACTTTGGCTTTGCTGGGCTTTTAATGGCTTTGTTTTTTCTTACTGAATTGTTTGAGTTTAATGTACATTCTGAATATTAGTCCTTTGTTGGATACATAATTTGCAAATATTTTCTCCCATTCTGTAGGTTGTCTGTTTACTGTGATACTTCTTTTGCTGTGCAGAAGCTTTTTAGTTTAAGTTCCATTTGTTGATTTTTGTTTTTGTTGCATTTGCTTTTGAGGTCTTCATAATAAATTCTTTGCCTAGGCCAATGGCCAATGGCCAGAAGAGTTTTTCCTAGGTTCCCTTCCAGGATTTTTATAGTTTCAGGTCTTATGTTTGAATTTAGTTTCAGGTCTTATGTTTAAGTCTTTAATTCATCTTGAGTTAATTTTTTGTTTATGGTGAGAGACAGAACTCCAGTTTTATTCTTCTACCATATGGCAATTCAGTTTTTCCAGCACCATTTATTGAACAGAGAGTCCTTTCCCTTTTAAAGGCCCCAGGTCTTAATACTATTATATTGGCAGCACCTGAATTTTGGAGGGGACTCATTCAAACCATAGCAGATACTATGAGCAAGTCAAATCCTGTAGCTGAAGAGGTCACGAGAGCAGATTCCTGGTGAGATGCAGGAAAACAGTCCAAGAGCAAAGACAGGAAGGAGGAAGGAAGTAGAAGTCAGGCAGAGTCTCAGGGAAGGCTGGCAGCAAAGAGTCAGCAGGTTGGGGTCAGTGGAGTGTAGTGATACAGTCACAGCTCACTGCAGCCTCGACCCCCTGGGCTCAAGCAATCCTCCTGCCTCAGCCTTCTGAGTAGCTGAGACCACAGGCATGAGCCACCATGCCTAGCTAATTCTTTTAAATTGTTTTTTGTAGAGATGGGATCTCTCTATGTTGGCCAGGCTGGTCTTGAACTCCTGGCCTCAGGTGATCCTCTCACCTTGGCCTCCCACAGCACTGGGATTATAGGCATGAGCCACTGTGCCTTGCCTTACTGAGTTCTTTATATGACCTGACTGTGAATCCTTCATCTGATATATGTTGTCATAGTTTGTGGCTTGCCTTTTCATTTTCTTAGCAGTGTCTTTTGAAGAGCAAAAGTTTTTAATTTTGATGAAGTCCAATTTATTTATTTTTTATTCGTATTTATTTTTTTTTGAGAGGATTTAAGAGATTCTCTAGCCTCAGCCTCCCAAATAGCTGGGATTGCAGGTGCCTGCCATCATGGCTGGCTAATTTTTTTTGTATTTTAGTAGAGACAGGGTTTCACCATGTTGGCCAGGCTGGTCTCAAACTCCTGACCTCAAGTGATCTGCCCGCCTAGGCCTCCCAAAATGTTGGGATTATAGGCGTTAGCCACCGGGACCGGCCCAATTTATTAATTTTTAAAATAATTAATGCTTTTGTTATCCTATGTAAGAGATCTTATTCTAACTGAAGTCCACTATGATTTTATCCTGTGTTTTTTTTAGAAGTTTTATACTCTAGCATTTAAGTCTTTGGTTCATTTTAAGTTAATTTTTCTATGTCCTTACAATTAATTCAGAACACAGAAAAGGAACAAACTATTGATACACACAACAACATGGCTGAATCTCAAAATCACTTATGGTGCATTAAAGAAGCCAGACTAAAAAGGAGTACACACTATAGGATTTCATTTCTATACATTTCTAGAAAATGTAAACAAAAAGCAGCTTTTAGCTTTTGGCTCAGAGGAGACCAAAGTGCAACTTTATTCCATCATCCCACATTTGGGTTTATCTAACATTGGCTGCCCCCACCATATGGCCTGAGTTCAAACCCAATGAGACCAAAGCCATGTATCTGAGGTGCACGGATGGGGATGTCTGTGCCATATCTGCCCTGGCTGCCAAGGTGGATCCTTTGGGTCTGTCTCCAAAAAAGGTTGTTTATACATTGCGAAGGCAACTGGTGACTGGAGGGTATAAGGATTACAGTGGAACTGACCATTCAGAACAGGCAGTCCCAGATTGTGATAGTACCTTCTGCTTCTGCTCTGATCATCAGATCCCTCAAGGAACCCCTAAAAGAGAGAAAGAGACAGGAAAACATTGAGTGCAGTGTAAATATCACTTTTTATGAGATTGTTAACAATGTCTGACAAATGCAGCATCAATCTTTAGCTAGAGAACTCTCTGGAACCACTAGAGAGATCCTGGGGATGGCCTCATCTGTGGGCCGCCATGTTGATGGTGCCACCCTCATGACTTCCTAGATGGCTGAATGCCCAGGTAGTAAAGAGCTGCAAAAGAAAATATTTCAGTAAAGGGCTGCTGGACAACTAGTAGAACAAAACTAAACAAAAGCAAACAAAGAAAAAGGCAGATGGTAGATGGCTGTGGACAGCATTGGAGAGGGGGTGGATTACCAACAGGTGATAGGAAACTTTTGGGCATTATGGAAATGCTTATTATTTTGATTGTGATGATGGCTTCATGAATGTATGCATATGTCAACATTGGTCAAATTGTGCCCCTTAAATATGTGTAGCTTACTGTATCAATTATACCTCAATAATGCTCTAAAATTAGTTGGTTAGTTGGATGGAAATAGCTGTTCTGAGGCGGCTTACAATTTTGTGACCCCAAACAATTTCTAACTCAGAATCAAATGTTAATTTTCCTTAATCACATTTAAGTTGGGAAGAACCTTTTTAACTTTTTTTTTTATCTAAAAGAGGTTATTTTATTCAAAAAAGATTGATAAAAGAGTTTTTTTTTTATCAATCTGCTTTTTCTAGCGTAATTGTCCTTAGGGAAGGCGCACAATGAAAAAATTTTGTGGTTTCATTGCAATGTGCTTGCTTTATTTTTTAAAGATTAGTGTCATATCTTTTACATCTGCAATTAGCTAAAGCTGGCAACTTCAAGAATAAACCTTGCACCTAAACATGTGGCACTTAACCCTGCACTACCCACAGCAGCAGCTAAAATCATATCTTCCCTTAGAGCAGAGCCTTCATTTGGGGGTGTTAGAAACATATGCACACTGAGATCAGGTACAAAATCTACACCTGTTCAAAAAAAGGGCCAATCTCTGAAAACTAGGAATCGACCATCCTAAAAGAAATGTCCCATTTTCTGCTTCTCAAAAGTAGTCTAATATGCAGCTAAAATAAATGGCAGATTAAAATCTACCTGGATGACCTTGCCTTGAGCGTGCCACCTGATCTCTCGGGCCTCAGTTTTCTAGCCTAACCTGTTGGTTTATTGGGTTAGATAATTTTTAATAGTGTTTCCTATAATGCGCTTCCAGAATCAGTTGCTAGACACCATTTTGTGGCTCACCCTTAACCTACCAAATGCAGCTATATTTTTATTCCAAATGTTAAATATTTAATCAACTCTAAGGTGAAACCCAAATGTAATTCATTAAGCAACTTGGTGTTAAGTCAAATGTAACGGACATGAAAAATGCCTTTTCATTAGTGTCCATTGGCTTCATTGGTTCAAGAATTCTGGCTGATGGAATGAATAGCAAAATTACTCTCTGTTCAAACAAACTGAAAGTGTATAAGTAAAAATAAAATAGAATAAGCTAGGAGGCTTTCCAGTTGTTTTTTTACTAATTGTGATGTATTGATTTTCTATGCTGCATTAATGTCTACAGAGTTCACCTTTGGCTGATCCAAAAGATGAATGAATTTAATGAAAAATTTTATTTCGAACTGTGCATAAAAGTAAAGGTTGGAGAAAGCCCACATGCATGTGAGTGTGCACATACTCACACGAAGGTGTACACAGAATGTGGAGAAAAAGACACGTGGTGCAATTTTTGTATAGGGGCAGTGGTAGAGACCACCATCAAAGAATCTTTTGTGTTCTTAGTTCGCTTTTGTCCCTTGACTATAGGTCTTGAAAAATTAATCTTTCAAAAAAAAAAATAACTATTTTTTTTTTTTTTTTTTTTTTTTTTGGAGACAGGCTCTCGCTTTGTTACCCAGGCTGGAGTGCAGTGGCACGTTCACGGCTCTCTGCAACTTCAACTTCCTGGGCTCAAGCGATCCTCCCACCTCAGTGTCCTGAGTAGGTAGGACTACAGGCACGTGCGACCATGCCTGGCTAATTAAAAAAATATTTTACTGTAGAAAAGAGATCTTGCTATGTTGCCCAGGCAGGTCTCAAACTCCTGTGCTCAGTGATTCTCCCACTTCAGCCTCCCAAAGGATTGGGATTACTGGCATGAGTCAGTGTGCAGCCCTAAAGTCTTAACTATGGTTTAAATAATAAGGATTTGGCTTTTCCTATTTTCCTATTAGTCAGACTTACGAAAAAACCCCAACAAGAATTAAACATAATCACACTGAGTTTGTGAAACTAAAATAAGAAAAAAAAAAAAAGGAAAGAAGGAAAAAAGAAAAGGAAGAAAGGAAGGAATCAAGTGTCATCAGAGCATGTTCTATGTCCCAGCAACATCACTGATCCTTTACTCTATAATAGCCAGTCTTTAGCAGTTTAGAGGGCATTGTTGCCTTACATTGACATCCTAAAATTCAGTCACTGTGGGCTTGGTTAAGTTGGAGGAAGATCAGCATTCCGTGGAATGTGGCTGTCTTCTGATGGTGACCGTTGCAGTAGGTTTCCATCCTTAATCTTCAGGGGAAGGCATACTTTTTTTCTCTTTTACTGTCTTACTGCCAGAAGGACATGCCCTCCTCTTTAATTTCCTAGAGCCAGGGGTTGGCAAACCCTAATCTATGCTTCAAATCTGATCCTCTGCCTGTTTTTGTATGGCCTGTGAGCTAAGAATGAATTTTACATTTTTAAATGGTTGAAAAAAAGTCCAAAGAAGAATAATATTTTTATCGCATGTAAAATTATATTAAATTAAAATTTCAGTGTATATAAAGTTTTATTGGAGCACAGCCACATTCATTCATTTACATATTTATGGATGCTTTTCTGCAACAGAGTTAAGTGGTTGTGACAGAGACAGCATGGGCACAAAGCCTAGAATATTTACTATCCAGCCCTTTACAGAAAATGTTTGCTGAATTTTGTCTTAGCTTATCGCAGAGATTTTACTGAAGACTGGTAATAAGGAAAGAGAAGTAAAACATGCCGTAATTTACAGTTCTGGCACAGCCTCAGGTCCTTCACCAGACTGGCTTCTTGTTTCTTTCTGGAACTGTCACTGTGGCCAGGAGTAGCCAATACCAAATGTTGTATTGCCCTGACTCCTTGCCCCAGAAGGACCTCTTCGCAGGACGGCTGAGAATGAAAATGTCGTTTCACTTTAAGAAAACTCTACTCCCATCTGTGGGAGTGTAGTCTGGATCTGAGATCCCTCCAAGACAATTAATTACACAATAAACCTGTACCAGCATAGTAGTTGCTCCTTATTTACAGATTCGCTTTCTGTGGTTTCAGTTACCAGAGGTCAACTGCGTCAGAAAACATTACATAGGATAAGATATTTTGAAACACACACACACACACACACAACATTTACCTAACTTTTTTTTTTTTTTTTGAGACAAGAGTCTTGCTGTGTCACCCAGGCTGAAGTGCAGTGGTGTGACCTCAGCTCACTGCAACCCTCCGCCTCCTGGGTTCAAGCGATTCATGTGCCTCAGCCTCCCACGTAGCTGGGATTACAGGCATGTGCCACCATGTCAGGCTAATTTTTGTATTTTTAGTAGAGATGGGATTTTATTATGTTGCTTAGGCTGGTCTCAAACTCCTGGCCTCAAGTGATCCATCTGCCTCAGCCTCCCAAAGTGCTGGGATTATAGGCATGAGCCACCAAGCCTGGCCTACAAAACATTTAATACCGTATATTGTTATAATTGTTCTATTTTATTATTATTATTGTATAATTTATAATTTTTACCATGGGTATGTGTGTATAGGAAAAAAACATAGTATATACAGTGTATAAGGTTTAGTACTATGTATGGTTTCAGGCATCTACTATGCATGTTAAAATGCATCCCCCATGGATAAAGGGAGTGATATGATCTAGCTCTGTGTCCCCACCTAAATCTCATCTCGAATTGTAATCCCCAAGTGTTGAGGGAAGGGACCTGGTGGGAGGTGATTGGATCATGGGGGCAGATTTCCTACTTGCTGTTCTCATGATAGTGAGTTCCCACGAGATCTGATTGTTTGATGGTTGTCTGGTGCTTCCCCCTTCTCTCTCTCTCTCTCTCTCTCTCTCTCTCTCTCTCTCTCTCTCTCTCTCTCTCTCTCCTGCCACCTTGTGAAGAAGGTACCTGCTTCCTCTTCTACTTCTACCATGATTGTTGTAAGTTTCCTGAGGCCTCCCCAGTCACATAGAACGGTGAGTTAATTACACCTCTTTGCCTTATAAATTACCCAGTCTCAGGTATTTTTTAATAGCAGTGTGAAAACAGATGAATACAGGGGGACTACTGTGTAGTCCCCAAAGTCTGGTTTATTCAATCCTGTGATCTGGGTTAGACTGAGTGAAATTCAGCACCACTTTTTTATTTTTTTGTAGCGTTTTCAAATAAAGGCGTCAACAATCTTGTCTATAGTCACACCCAAGGTTACTTTGAACCAGCATGTTCATCCGTAAAATAGAGATGATAACATTCACCTCATTGAGTTTCTCATCACCACACTGAGGTGTTGAATAAACTTGCCTGAGGTTGCATAGACCACAAATGTCAGAGTTGGGATCTGAATCTAATTTTGTCAACCCCAAACTTCCTTTTTTGGGAGTTTCTTCACGAGTAAATATATGATTTCCACTGAATTTTTGGAAACTTTTCAGAGTTTGTAGAATTCCATATAATGGCATATGGGACCCTTGGAAGGTGCTCACAAGCTCACCTCCTGGAATCAGAGAAACCTGAGTTTGAATCACCATTTTGCCACTTACTAAATGAGGAATATCTCTTCAGAATGTCTCTTGGAATCTCAGAGGACATCGTCCATAAAATGGGAATGATAATGGTACTTACAGGAAACTTGTGAAAGGTAAATGACATACAAATGCAAATAATTTGTTACAGTCTGACACTCAGCAAGTGTTCTGAGTGTTATTGGCTATTATTTCATTCCAATTGGATAAAAATGAAACTCCTATGTAGTAATAGCTTACTCTTCCCACTGTGAAACATCAATTTCTCAAATATTATCTCAGGTTTAACTGTTTTTTTAAAGTTCAGATGTACACTGTTGAATTCCCCTTGAATTTTGCTGCCAGCTTTTGAGAGCCTTCAAATGCATTTGAAGGTTGCTTTGGGGAAGGGGCACTTGGGGAGATACCAATGCGGCAACCACTGGTGGTTTTTGACGAGGTCTTGAGAGTCAATGATGTTCAGGGACAAGGGGGCTTCAAAATGCTCTTCATGATCCATTAGGCATTGGATCATTTACATGGCTCAGAAGTACATGGAGACATTTGTAGGAATCTGTACTATCAGCAGCCTACAATGAGCCCATTCTTGTCACCACAGACTCTTAACATTTCCGTTCTAAGAATTGCAGTGATGGTTGACACTTCATTTCAAAGAACAGACTGAACACACTGTTCTTTATGAAGACGTTAGCAGATGTACTTTTAAAGTTTTAAAATGTTTCCGAGTAGGACAGCTATGTAAAAAAGGCACTGTGTGTCTTAATGTGCTAAGAATATTAAGAAGTGAGATACATTCTGTTAATTTCCTAATGTTAATTTCTTTCCCTCCCTCCTTCCCTCCTTCCCTCCTTCCCTCCTTCCCTCCTTCCCTCCTTCCCTCCTTCCCTCCTTCCCTCCTTCCCTCCTTCCCTCCTTCCTTTTCGAGACGGAGTCTCACTCTGTCACCCAGGCTGGAGTGCAGTGGTGTGAACTCAGCTCAGTGCAACCTCTGCCTCCTGGATTTAAGCGATTCTCATGCCTCAGCCTCCCGAGTAGCTGGGATTACAGGCGTGTGCCACCACACTAGGCTAATTTTTGTATTTTTAGTAGAGACAGGTTTTGCCATGTTGGTCAGGCTGGTCTTGAATTCCTGGCCTCAAGTGATCCACCCGCCTTGGCCTCCCAAAGTGCTGGGAATTACAGGTGTGAGCCACCATGCCTGGTCACATGCTGTTAATTTCTTAAATGTTAATATTTTTACAAAGCTCTGCCCAAATATCTACATCTATATCCACATACATAAGTATTAATTTATCAGTAAGGTCTATTTTTACCATACCACATTGGATCAACAATACATCTAGAAATCATGTATCCTAGTACTGTTTTTCAACCATTTCTCTCCAGTGGAGTTATTTTCGTATAGTTTTCTACTTGAACAATTTCCTATGCTAAACTCTAGATGGGGTTCTTATTCTATCTCAAAATATATGTGAAGGGGAAAACATAAGAGGGGAATGCTGAGAATGGGATGGAAAACTCACTTGTTTTCTTAACTGATAGTTTTAGCCAGTCAGCCAGATTGTTGGTTACTGTTCTTAGAATGGAGTCCGCTCCAAAAGGAAGCTTTTTGTATCTTGTCTGTCAAATTGTTAAGAAGGAAGTCAACACATAGTTCATGAAGACTTCCTTTATTTGATTGTTTTCTCCTTGTAGTGGGGCCAAATTCCATGAATGATAGAGTGTTTGCATTTTATGAGCGATGCTACCATACTGTCTTTCAGATCTCAGTGTTTAATTGGTTCTAGTGCTGTGAGTCATTACTTAGCTTGAATTCTTTAGGTTCTGGCTTGGATAATTACCATTTCTCTTTGTTTGTATTTTGACTGAAGTAAAACATCTCTGAATATAGAACCCTTTAGTCCCACAGGCAAGTGCTAATGTCTCCAGCTTTTTCCCCCACCCCAGATTCACATTGCTTTGATACAAGGGGCTGGGGCTTGGTGTGAGGGTAAATGTGATGCCGGCATTTCAAATTCACCAGGGCCAATGTTAGATGGCCTCTTGCTCAGCCTGATCCACTGGAATCTGTTTTGCTTCTTCCTCAAATTGCCCCCTTTTTTTTTTCCAGTGATATATCCACCCCACCACCTCAATGTCATACTGTTAATAATTCATCTTTGACATCTCTCTTTTCCTTAACTCCTTGCCTGTAATCTAATGACAGGTCCTGTCATTTCTAGTTCTGAAATATTTCTCCATCTCACTATCATCCCCTTGGTTTAAGACACTGTCATTTCCTCTACCTCAATGGCCTGTTTCCCCCAATTATACTATTTTCACTTCTGCATCATTTTCTACACTGCAGCCAGATAGAATGGTGTCATAGGCACTTTTGATTATTTTTGCTGTGAACATTGCTAAAAAGCCTTCAAGAGCTTCTTCACACCATTGAAACAAAAACACCAATCCCCAGCCTGACGCAGAAGGACCCCCATGGTCTGGCCTCCATCTGTTTCTACAGACTCACTTCATGCCCCGTCAACTCATTGTATTCTATCCACAATGGGCTTCTCTCAGTATTTTTTTTGAAACAGGGTCTCTCTCTGTCATCCAGGCTGGAGTGCAGTGGTGCCATTACAGCTTACTGCAGCCTTGACCTCATCCTGGGTTCAAGCGATCCTCTGGCCTCAGCCTCCAGAGCAGCTGGGGCCACAGGCACACACTATCACACCTGGCTGATTTTTTCTTTTTCTTTCTGTAGAACTGGGGTCTTGCTCTGTTGTCCAGGCTTGTTTCGAACTCCTAGACTCAAGTGATCCTCCCACCTCAGCCTCCCAACATGCTGGGATTATAGGTGTGAACCACTGTGCCTGGCCTCAGTCTTTTTAACTTGCCAAGTTCTTCTACTCTTCCCTGCATGCTTTTCTGGAACATGCCAACTCAGATTTTAGGTCTCAGAATCTGAGAGGCCCTCCATTACTTCTCTGCACCTCAGCTACACTCCCAGGTAAAGTAGGGTCCTCTTGTTTACTCTCTCCCAACAGCTGTTATTTTTCTTCACCTGGCCTCTTCTCTATTGTTGTTGTGCAACTGTGAGAGAATTTTTGGGTGTCTTTTTCCTACTAGCTGGGGCTCCATGAGGAAAACACCACAAGTTATCAGAATTATAAAAAAAACTATCCCTTTTTTTCCTCAAAATTTCAATACCCCCTTCCTCTTTTCCTAGCTTATCGCCTCCCTGTTTATTTCACTGAAACAAACAGAAGTAATCAGAAGAAAATTAATCCAGCTTCCCGGTGATAAATCTCCCAAATGCCTACATCTTCTGCCGATCCCTCTTTCATAGAGGAGGAAATGTCCAGCCTTTATCTGTTCCCCTCCTCACACACCTCGGATACTAGACCTCATACCTGTCTGTCATCTGCTTGAGAACTTCAAGCCTGCATTCACTCCTTTCTCTTCTGAATCACCCATTTTCCTCTTCTTGCCAGATTTATCTCATCAGTATAAACACATGACCTCATATATTTCACCTTTTAAAAGTCCTGGCTGGGCACGGTGACTCAGGCTTGTAGTCTCAGCACATTGGGAGGTCAAGGCAGGAGGATTGCTTGAACCCTGGAGTTAGAGGCCGGCCTGGGCAACATGGCAAAACCCCATCTCTACAAAAAATACCAAAATTAGCCAGGCATGGTGACATGCACCTGTAGTCTCAGTTACTCAGGAGGCTGAGGTGGAGGATACATTGAGCCCGGGAGATTGAAGTTGCAGTGAGCTATGATCATGCCACTGCATTCCAGCCTGCATGACAGAGCAAGACCCTGTCTCAAAAAAAAAAAAAAAAAAAAAAAAAAAAAAAAAAAAAGTTCTGCTTCAGATACTATCAACTTGTGTATTTTTCTTTATTGCAAATTTCTGAAAAGTATCTGTATCCTGTATTTATATATTTTCGCTGTACTTCCTTTCCTCCATTTCTGCCCTCCCTACCTCTAGAAACTTCATTTGTCATGCTTGTCTGTGCCTTTCTCTTGCTGCTGTCATTGGCCACTTCTTAAAATTCATCTTGTTTAGCCTTTGAGCAGCTTTTGGAATGGTTGATTATCCCTTCCTGGTTGAAACATTTCTTTCCCCCAACGTAATTTTTTTCCAACATTTGTTTTAGAATCAGAGGGTACATGTGCAGGTTTGCTACAAAGGTAAAATGCATGATGCTGAGGTTTTGGGTGTGAATGAATCTATCACCCAGGTAGTGAGCATAGTACCCAATAGGTAGTTTTTTTTTTTTTTTTTTTTTTTTTTGAGGAGGAGTCTTGCTCTGTTGCCCAGGCTGGAGTGCAGTGGCGTGATCTCGGCTCACTGCAAGCTCCGACTCCTGGGTTAACACCATTCTCCTGGCTTAGCTTGCCGAGTAGCTGGGACTACAGGCGCCCGCCACCATGCCCAGCTAATTTTTTTTTGTATTTGTAGAAGAGACGGGGTTTCACCGTGTTAACCAGGATGGTCTCAATCTCCTGACCTCGTGATCCACCTGCCTCGGCCTCCAAAAGTGTTGAGATTACAGGTGTGAGTCACCGTGCCCGGCCAGGTAGTTTTTCAGCCCTTGCCTTGCTCCCCCTCTCCTCCTTCTAGTAGGCCCCAGTGTCTATTGTTGCCATCTTTGGGTCCCTGAGGACCCATTATTTAGCTCCCACTTATAAGTGAGAACATGTGGTATTTGGTTTTCTCTTTCTGCATTACTTCACTTAGGATAATGCCTCCCAGCTCCGTCCACATTGCTGCAAAAAACACGACTGACTTTATTCCTTTTTATGGCTGTGTAGTATTTCATGTTGTATATGTACCACATTTTCTTTCTCCAGTCCACTGTTGATGGACATCTGGGTTGGTTCCATGTCTTTGCCATTGTGAATAGTGCTGCAATGAACATATGGGTGCATGTGTCTTTTTGATGGAATGATTAGCTGTTTTTTGGGTATATACCCAGTAATGAGATTGCTAGGTCAGGTGGTAGTTCAACTCTTAATTCTTTGGGATTCTGCAAACTGCTCTCCACAGTGGTTAGACTAATTTATATTCCTCCCAACAGTGTATAAATGTTCCCTCTTCTCTACAGCCTCACCAACATCTGTTTTTTTTTTTGACTTTTTAATAAAAGCCATTCTGACTGGTGTGAGATAGTATGGCATTGTGGTTTCGGTTTGCATTTCTCTGATGATTACTGATGATGAGCATTTTTCACCTTCTTTTGAGCAGTGTCTATTCATGTACTTTGCCCACTTTTTGATTGGGTTATTTGTTTTTAAGACACCCCACTCTCCTGTTTTTCCTCCTACACCATAGGCTGCTTCTTCTAAAGTTCACTTTCAGCCTGTCCTCCTCTTCCCTACGTTGATATTGGATCAGACTAGCGCTCAGACCTCATGCATCTTTTCTTTTCTTCTTTAGCCTAGATGATAACATTTGACTTCAAGGCTTTAATTCTTACCTACATCCTGAGGTTTCCCCTTTGTACATACCCTTGGGCTTCCCCTGACTTAGAGGATGTGCATATGAACGAGTAAAAAGAGATAATGTTTCTCTTTTCACAGAAAGACACAGCAAAAAAGCCCAAATAAGAGTACGCGAAGGAATCTCACCTTTAGTTATGATCATCTGTGCCACTCTCATGTATTTCCTTCTTTGTGGTTAGAAAGATGTCTGTTTTAAGGACTCGAAGTCCGCAGACTGTTTCGGTTGATATGCAGACTGTATTTTACATCTAAATGTCCCTCCTAAAAGGTCTTCCTATGAGCTACATTGGAATGCCACTACTGGTGCCAAGACTTCAAACAATTTTATGCAGGTTTGAATTAAGAGTAGGAAATGAAAGCTGCTCATAGCAAATTGGCTTCTCTGCCTTCCCAGGAGTCATTTTCTACTTTCAAGCAGTTAGGAAAATCATAAGTATTACTTTTTTGGTTATTAAATATATGAATGACACTAGAATTTCAGGTTGTGTTTTAGGGAGATTTGTGATTTAAAGCCTCAGATACTATGATATGCATGGTTGTTTAAAATGAATAAAATATCTGAAGAATTATTTATTTTCTGGGAAAATAGGTCAATTAGTATATGTGAAAACACAGTATGGCCAGGTTTTTGTGGCTCATGTACAAGATTGATTGAGGTGCCTCTTCTCCTTTTATTATGTGGTAAATTTTTACAGGTTGTTTAGATTCGTCCTTTTCAGACTTCTGTGGTGATGTCTGTAGTGGTTTAAAATATTGGTGATTCATAGGGGTACTAAATTTCAGGTGTTAAACAGGACACATTGTCAGGAAGTGTCTGTTTTAACTGACAATAATGAAGGGAAATGTTTTTAATATTAAAGTAGGCATGATTATATTATTAAGCTAACCTTTACTGATATACAATACTTAAATGGCATTCATTAAGCGATTACTTAAGACTTCCTGATTCTCCCTCAGCCCTGGGGCTATGTGCTTACTCTTCCCTGGAGTTAGAACTACATTGATGAGAGATTTGGGCAGCACATATACTTTGGTGGAGGGGGGCACATAAGCAATATCATGTTTATTTCTTTTCTTTTCTTTCTTTTTTTTTTTTTTTGAGACAGACTCTTGCTCTGTCGCCCCGGCTGGAGTGCAGTGGTGCAATCTCAGCTCACTGCAATCTCCAGCTCTCAGGTTCAAGCAATTCTCCTGCCTTGGCCTCCTGAGTAGCTGGGACTACAGGCATGCGCCACTACACCTGGCTAATTTTTGTATTTTTAGCAGAGATGGGGTTTCACCATGTTGGCCAGGCTGGTCTCGAACTCCTGACCTCAGGTGACCCACCCACCTCGGCCTCCCAAAGTGCTGACATTACAGGCGTGAGCCGCCGCACCCGGCCTCATGTTTATTTTTAACAGAGTCCAAGCTCGGCCTCATGTTTATTTCTAACAGCGTCTAAGCTCCCCCAATTGTGGGACTATACCTTCCTTTATTTCATAGCCCAGCAAGCAGCACAGTGCTTGGCACTGAGATAGAACTCTAATAAAACTTATTGACTGGAACTAAACCAGATAGAATATAGAAATTTCAAAAATAATCTGTAAGGCAATAACAGAATCTCTACAAACATAGAAAGGTTGTATTGTTCTCTGGCAAAAGGACTTCCTGGTTCTTACATGGGGCAGTGGTTGGTTGGACCTAAGAGTCGGAGTTTGGGAATCACTGGCATGGACAGGGGATGGCAAGGAATTCGTGGGGCTACTGTCCGAGCATCATTAGAAGATTGCTAGAAACTTAGGGCACAATGATTTGATTTGCATTCACAGACCCAAATATGATGGGCTAATGGCTATATGGAGACCTGCATTTACAACCAGATAGACAAATCTTGATATAGTCACACTGTACAGCAATGAGAGTGAACAAACTATAGTCAGAACAGTATAGATGAATCTCATGAATTTAGGGATCACTCTGTGTGATTGTGTTTCTATAAAGTTCTGAAAAAGAAGAGAAGCAAAATGAATGCATGGTGTTAGAAGTCACTCTGATTGGTATACCAGTTACCCTTGCCTGGGTAATTTGTTCAAGGCATAAGGGGACTTTGGGGACTGTGGCAATACCGTGTTCTTTGATTGGGTGCTGTCTATGCAGAAATGTTTACTTTGTGACAAGTTTATCAATTTGTACAATTAGAATTTGTGCACTTTTCTGTGTGTATGTTATACGTCAATAAAAAGTTAAAACAACTAACTTAAATAAAATGTGAGCATGAGCAAGAGAACACCTAAGATTGCTAGAATCTGCCCAGAAGTACCGAGATACCATCATAGGGAAAACTGACTTGAGAAGGACAAGGATCTGAGAATAAATGGGCCGCGTTGTTTCAGTTCACTTACACCTGAAACTCCTGAGTTTTATCCTTTTTCATCAAGCTCTAAGGATTCTGTATATCAGGCCAATAATAGGGGTTAGGCTATTAGAGGCACACATTCATGAGGAGGCTTTAAAAGTAATTTGGCTGCATAAATGTCTTCTTTTGAGAAGTGTCTGTTCATGTCCTTCGCCCACTTTTTGATGGGGTTGTTTGTTTTTTTCTTGTAAATTTGTTTGAGTTCATTGTAGATTCTGGATATTAGCCCTTTGTCAGATGAGTAGGTTGCGAAAATTTTCTCCCATGTTGTAGGTTGCCTGTTCACTCTGATGGTAGTTTCTTTTGCTGTGCAGAAGCTCTTTAGTTTAATTAGATCCCATTTGTCAATTTTGGCTTTTGTCATGCTGCTATAAAGACACATGCACACGTATGTTTATTGCGGCACTATTCACAATAGCAAAGACTTGGAACCAACCCAAACGTCCAACAATGATAGACTGGATTAAGAAAATGTGGCACATATACACCATGGAATACTATGCAGCCATAAAAAATGATGAGTTCATGTCCTTTGTAGGGACATGGATGAAATTGGAAACCATCATTCTCAGTAAACTATCGCAAGAACAAAAAACCAAACACCGCATATTCTCACTCATAGGTGGGAATTGAACAATGAGATCACATGGACACAGGAAGGGGAATATCACACTCTGGGGACTGTGGTGGGGTCGGGGGAGGGGGGAGGGATAGCATTGGGAGATATACCTAATGCTAGATGACACGTTAGTGGGTGCAGCGCACCAGCATGGCACATGTATACATATGTAACTAACCTGCACAATGTGCACATGTACCCTAAAACTTAGAGTATAATAAAAAAAAAAAAATTAAAAAAAAAAAAAAAAAGTAATTTGGAATTTCCAATCTGAGAAAGCAGCAGTGCAGACTTTTAGCTTTTTCTCCTTTTTTTCCCCCCAGCATATTCAGCAGGAAGGGCCACAGGTCTGGAGGTGGCTTTGGGACTCCTTCCTTTGCTCTAAGTTTTCAGGAGTATCAGGAATTGCTGCTAACTGTTGTTGAGAAATCATTTTAAGGATCATACAAAATCCTGGTAATAATTGAAAGGAATTCAAAGCTATTTATACTGGGGCCTTATCCCAGGTTCTGCCCAAGTTGCTCTAGGTGGAAGATGAATGTGGATCCCTTTATTCCTTTTACTTTTAGCCAAATGAGTTAGAATCAAAACCTTTTCTTATATGTTAGGTGGCATTCAAGGAGGTGTACTCTTTCCCATCCTGAACATGGGGTCAAAATAATGTAGAATTTGTGATATTGGTGTGGGGCCAGTTAGAAAAATTATGTTATTAGACAAAAACTATCCTACCTCATGTCGTAATTCTGTTTATGTTAAAAATAAAGAGGCTGGGCACAGTGGCTTAGGCCTGTAATCCCAGCACTTTTGGAGGCTGATGTGGGTGGATCACTTGAGGCCAGGAGTTTGAGACAAGCCTGGCCAACATAGCAAAACCTCATCACTACTAAAAACACAAACAATTAGCTGAGCATGGTGGTGCATGCTTGTAATCCCAGCTACTCAGGAGGCTGAGGCATGAGAATCGCTTGAATCCGGGAGGCAGAGCTTGTAGTGAGCCGAGATTGCACCACTGCACTCCAGCCTGGGCGACAGAGGGAGACTCTGTCTCAAAACAAACAGAAACAAACAAAGCAAACAAACTACCCTTCCTATTCTGTGTGTGTTGGTATGCTTGCATGCAAGCTCACTGTGTGTTATGTGACCTGTCATGGAGATGCCTAAAGAAGTTGTGTTTAAGGGATAATGAATTTCATCTCATAATTTTTTTTTATTATACTTTAAGTTTTGGGGTACATGTGTACAACGTGCAGGTTTGTTACATATGTATACATGTGCCATGTTGGTGTGCTGCACCCACTAACTTGTCATTTAATATTAGGTATATCTCCTAATGCTGTCCCTCCACCCTACCCCCACCCCACAACAGTCCCCAGAGTGTGATGTTCCCCTTCCTGTGTCTATGTGTTCTCATTGTTCAATTCCCACCTGTGAATGAGAACATGCGGTCTTTGGTTTTTTGTCCTTGTGATAGTTTGCTCAGAATGATGGTTTCCAGCTTCATCCATGTCCCTCCAAAGGACATGAACTCAAATCATTTTTTACGGCTGCATAGTATTCCATGGTGTATATGTGCCACATTTTCTTAATCCAGTCTATCATTGTTGGACATTTTGGTTGGTTCCAAGTCTTTGCTATTGTGAATAGTGCCACAATAAACATATTTGTGCATGTGTCTTTATAGCAGCATGATTTATAATCCTTTGGGTATATACCTAGTAATGGGATGGCTGGGTCAAATGGTATTTCTAGTTCTAGATCCCTGAGGAATCGCCACATTGACTTCCACAATGGTTGAACTAGTTTCCAGTCCCACCAACAGTGTAAAAGTGTTCCTATTTCTCCACATCCTCTCCAGCACCTGTTGTTTCCTGACTTTTTAATGATTGCCATTCTAACTGGTGTGAGATGGTATGTCATTGTGGTTTTGATTTGCATTTCTCTGATGGCCAGTGATGATGAGCATTTTTTCATGTGTCTTTTGGCTGCATAAATGTCTTCTTTTCAGAAACGTCTGTTCATATTTTTCGCCCACTTTTTGATGGGGTTGTTTGTTTTTTTCTTGTAAATTTGTTTGAGTTCATTGTAGATGCTGGATATTAGCCCTTTGTCAGATGAGTAGATTGCAAAAATTTTCTCCCATTCTGTAGGTTTCCTGTTCACTCTGATGGTAGTTTCTTTTGCTGTGCAGAAGCTCTTTAGTTTAATTAGATCCCACTTGTCAATTTTGGCTTTTGTTGCCATTGCTTTTGGTGTTTTAAGACATGAAGTCCTTGCCCATGCCTATGTCCTGAATGGTAATGGCTAGGTTTTCTTCTAGGGTTTTTATGGTTTTAGGTCTAACATTTAAGTCTTTAATCCATCTTGAATTAATTTTTGTATAAGGTGTAAGGAAGGGATCCAGTTTCAGCTTTCTACATATGGCTAGCCAGTTTTCCCAGCACCATTTATTAAATAGGGAATCCTTTCCCCATTGCTTGTTTTTGTCAGGTTTGTCAAAGATCAGATGGTTGCAGATGTGTGATATTATTTCTGAGGGTTCTGTTCTGTTCCATTGGTCTATATCTCTGTTTTGGTACCAATTAAAACATTTTTTGACCATTTAAAACATTTTTAATTTTTAATTTTTTAGAGATGGGGTCTTGCTATATTGCCCAGGCTGGTCCCGAATTCCTGGGCTCAAGTCATCCTCCCGCCTCAACCTCCCAAAGTGCTGGGATTATAGGCATGAGCTGCAGAGCCCGGCCAGTCTTAACCACTTTTAAGTGTATAGTTCAGTAGTGTTACATATATTCACATTGTTGTGCAACTGGTCTCCAGAACCTTCATCTTACAAAACTGCAACTGTATACCCATTAAACAACTTTCCACTTTCCACTCCTGGAAACCACCACTCTAGTTTCTGTTTCTATGAGTTTGACAACTCTAGGCATCTCATATTAGTGGAACCATACAATAAAGCTTTGTTTTAACTTTTCACCCTGAGCCTGGCTTAGACCAAGACTATGGCTAAAATAATTTTACTGCATATAGCTTAGAGCTGAATGAGCCATCCTGTAAGTTATAGCAGAAGACACAAGAGGTCAAGACTGTAGGTGAAAACTAAATGTGATGATCAGGTGGCCCATAGTAACCATGCCTTAGATGTGCTATTAACATCTTCTTGAATCTTTGACCTACGTTTGCAATAGGAAAAGGAGGTCTAGGATAAGCAGAAACTTCAGCTAGAAAGCTTGATGGCCTCACCCAACATCCATGCCCCTACCCCAAATGGAAGAGTTGGGCAGAAGCACTGGTCCCAGAGTGTGCAGAGTTAAGTACTTATTGAGTGCCTAGGGTACACTGGGTTCTTTTTCATATAAGCCATCTGCTTTTAATCCTCATGTTAATATTATAAAGTTGGTTATAATTGTACCTGTTTTATAGACAGGAAACTGGAACTAAGACAGTGACAGTCTTCTTCAGAATGCCAAAGTTAATCAATGACAGAGATGGTATTTGACCTTGATTTCATTCTACCCTTCTTTACTTTCTGTTATGCAGTGGTAGTGGGGGTAATATATTCATGATCCTTGTATCAGGGATGATCAAACTGAGTTAAGTTAGGCTAAGCAATTTTTAAAAAATTACACATTTAGCAGGTGATAGAAATAGGAGTTGAAATCAGGACATTATTAAAAATAAGCTGCAAGCCCTTCCAAGATTTGGGACTATCTTTACACAAAGGTTTGTGGAATTCTAGAAGTTAAAAAAGACATTAGTATGTGAGAAGTCTGCATGTGCAGGAATGATACTGGTGTGGTGACATACAGCAGTGCCTTCTTCAGAGGAAATGAAGGTCATGGGGATCATTTCATGGAAGCCCTTGAATAATCCACCTAAGAATGGGTTCTTAATTTGGTAGGTAATCAGAGGGTTTTGAAGAATCTTGATTGAAGGTGATCAGAGCTTGTGCTTTTAGAAAAATCAATGCATACATTAGAAGGTGAAGCAACTGAATGTAAGCATTCTCTCTGAACATTAAAATTGGAATGACTTTATTGCTTCTCTGTATTCCCTTGACCTTTTCCCAATATCATCTGGGAAACCTTGTGTTATTTAACATTTAATACAAGACTGTTTTTCCCAAAGGCATTTGAGTAGTAAGGCTGAGATCTCAAACTTTTGTATATATACAAAAGAAGACATTTTAATACTAAGTCGGTAAGTCAGAACAGAGAGTTTCAGTGATGAAGACTGAAATGTGAAATTCTACATGTTGTTTCTTAGTTGACTTTTAAATGGATGAAATGATAACTATGTTGCAATGAAGCTTATACAACACACACACACATACACACACACACACACACACACACACACACTTAGGATTCAGAATCATGGGCTATTTTCTTTTACTTTCTTAATATTCTTCTCAGTAACACTAGAGGTCACTCAGACCCTGTCTTTAATTCAGTTTTGCCACGATTCATCTTTATTTAAGCTACATCTGAATTCCTGTTGTGGACTTGTATTTCTCTTTATGAATTATACAGCTCGCCTCTCTTAACCTGCTAATGTTAGTTTGTAACATTCCCTATTACACTGATAGTTTAATTGACTAATTAACTTGTGCTAGTTTGCCAGATACTGGCACAAATGAGATTTTTCTTCATCTCTTCAATGGTGGATGTCAGCAACAGAGAGGCAGGTTGATTGGATGCAGAATGATTCTAATTTCAGAAAAATCAATGCGATAACCTTTGTGTTCAGACTGCATTTCTTCAAACATTTTATGTTCAGTTATATAAAATCAGCTTTAATTTTTGTTTTCAGTCTATTTTTAACTTTTTTGGTTAGTCGTCTGTAGACATACACTCAAAACATTAGTTTATTCTGTGTACTAATTATGTCATCTATATAGTTAACAATCTTTTATTAAATACATACTATATTCAAGAAACTGAGCCAGGCACTGAGAACACAGGGGTGAGTGACGGTAAAAATGACCCAATAGACTTTTGTTCACATTCCCCTAAACTCTAAAATGTTGCAAAGTTGAGAATTGACTTACTTGAGTTCTTGAAGTATAAATTTAGTAAACTCTAGGGAAAAGAGGTGACCATCTTCTTCCATTTCTTATAATTTTCTTTCTCTCTCCTTACTCCTTCCAGCAGGTACACTGGTGGGCACCTGTTCTTGGGTCTTCACATAGCTCGCACCTAAAAGACATCTGTAACTGATTTTTCCAGCCACCTGAACCTGTTGTGACTGCTAGGGTATTGGCCATCAAAGGACTCCCTCAAGCAGAACGTTTTCATACCATTTTCACAAAGTCCTTGATTGATAGAGTTTTATTATGAACATAAGGCTGTTTTCTCAATTGACCAAAAAAAGAGGCAATCTTTGCTTTTCCTTTAGTTTCCTTCGTGAAAATTCCTTGGGAATGTGAAAATCACAACATGGTCGAGAGCAGCAATTCTCAAATTTTAGTGTAATTCAGAATCAGGTGGAGGGCTTTTAAAGGCCCACATTTCTGGGCTGTATCCTCAGAGTTTCTCGCTCAGTAGTTCTGGAACGAAGTCTGAGAATGTGTATTTCTAATAATCTCCTGGGTAGTGCTGAAACTGTTAGTCCTGGGACCCTTGTTTATGAACCACTGGTCTGGAGGATAGAGCACCACACTTGGAGTTGGGAGACAGCTTCTAGGTTTAGTTTTGCCACAAACTAGGTAAAAATGAACAAGTGATCTATCCTTATGTGACATTAATATTTTATTCAAGTTTGCTTATAACTCCATTATGGTCATTTCAAAAAATTGCAACCTAACATTTATGAGAATTGTGTTTTTTTTTCTCATTTCTCCTCCTTATTTTACCCATTTCTTCTGGCTCTAATCTAATTTACTTGGAGTTCCCTGAAGATGCTATACTTTTCCTTGCTATTGTTTATGCTGTGCCCTAGAACCCTCTCTTCCCTTTGATTAACTTATGAACTCCTATTCATCCTTCATGTACCACTTTAACAGTCATAACTGAGAAGCTTTACTTAACTTGTCTCTACCTCCAACTCCTCTTTTTTTTTTTTTTTTTTTTTTTATTGATCATTCTTGGGTGTTTCTCGCAGAGGGGGATTTGGCAGGGTCATAGGACAATAGTGGAGGGAAGGTCAGCAGATAAACAAGTGAACAAAGGTCTCTGGTTTTCCTAGGCAGAGTGTTTGTGTCCCTGGGTACTTGAGATTAGGGAGTGGTGATGACTCTTAACGAGCATGCTGCTTTCAAGCATCTGTTTAACAAAGCACATCTTGCACCGCCCTTAATCCATTTAACCCTGAGTGGACACAGCACATGTTTCAGAGAGCACAGGGTTGGAGGTAAGGTCACAGATCAACAGGATCCCAAGGCAGAAGAATTTTTCTTAGTACAGAACAAAATGAAAAGTCTCCCACGTCTACTTCTTTCTACACAGACACAGCAACCATCCGATTTCTCAATCTTTTCCCCACCTTTCCCCCTTTTCTATTCCACAAAACCGCCACTGTCATCATGGCCCGTTTTCAATGAGCTGTTGGGTACACCTCCCAGACGGGGTGGTGGCCGGGCAGAGGGGCTCCTCACTTCCCAGTAGGGGCGGCCAGGCAGAGGCGCCCCTCACCTCCCGGACGGGGCGGCTGGCCGGGCGGGGGGCTGACCCCCCCACCTCCCTCCCGGACGGGGCAGCTGGCCGGGTGGGGGGCTGACCCCCCCACCTCCCTCCCGGACGGGCGGCTGGCCGGGCGGGAGGCTGACCCCCCACCTCCTTCCCGGACGGGGTGGCTGCCGGGCGGAGACGCTCCTCACTTCCCAGATGGGGTGGCAGCCGGGCGGAGGGGCTCCTCACTTCTCAGACGGGGCGGCTGCCGGGCGGAGGGTCTCCTCACTTCTCAGACGGGGCGGCCGGGCAGAGACTCTCCTCACCTCCCAGACGGGGTTGCGGCCGGGCCGAGGCGCTCCTCACATCCCAGATGGGGCGGCGGGGCTGAGGCGCTCCCCACATCTCAGACGATGGGCAGCCGGGCAGAGACGCTCCTCACTTCCTAGATGGGATGGCGACCAGGAAGAGGCGCTCCTCACTTCCTAGGTGGGATGGTGGCCGGGCAGAGAGGCTCCTCACTTTCCAGACTGGGCAGCCAGGCAGAGACGCTCCTCACTTCCCAGACGGGGTGGCGGCCGGGCAGAGGCTGCAATTTCGGGGCTTTGGGGGGCCAAGGCAGGCGGCTGGGAGGTGGAGGTTGTAGCGAGCCGAGATCACGCCACTGCACTCCAGCCTGGGCACCATTGAGCACTGAGTTAATGAGACTCTGTCTGCAATCCCGGCACCTTGGGAGGCCGAGGCTGGCGGATCACTCGCGGTTAGGAGCTGGAGACCAGCCCGGCCAACACAGCGAAACCCCGTCTCCACCAAAAAAAATACGAAAATCAGTCAGGTGTGGCGGCGCACGCCTGCAATCGCAGGCACTCGGCAGGCTGAGGCAGGAGAATCAGGCAGGGAGGTTGCAGTGAGCCGAGATGGCAGCAGCACAGTCCAGCTTCGGCTCCGCATGAGAGGGAGACCGTGGAGGGAGAGGCAGAGGGAGAGGAGGGAGAGGGGGAGGGGGAGAGGGAGAGGAGGGAGAGTCCAGCTCCTCTTAATAAAGCTCATTATTCCTTTTAAAGTCTTCTCATGTTACCTTGAACATAATATCTATCGTATTAATATAGGGCTCTTATTTGTTTATTGGACAACTGCTTCCCTTAGAGGATATAGAGTTTAATCATCTTTTTGACTCTAGTACCTAGTGCTTTCTAGTACAAAGCTGGCATTCAGTAAGTGTTTAGTGCCTGATCAAATCTATGTATGTTTCTGCTTTCCTTTCTATATTGTGAATTCCTACATGTACATCTTCATCATTTTTGCTTTTTTGAGAAATTCATCTCTTCCTACATTATAGCTCAATTTTAATGAAGGTTAAATTGAATACAAAATGAAAGAGTTAGAATGAGAAGACTTCATATGTCTTTTAAAGTGTCTCCAGAGTCTAAGTGCAATACTGACTTTGTATTTTTGTATTGTGCAGTTATTGTAATTGAACCTGATTTTAATAATAATATGTGACATTTAGAAGTTCTTTTTTTTTTGCCATGGACTGCACTGAACACATTTTTGTAATTTTTGCAATTTTTACAACCTAAAATGGGAGTTGCCTAGTTACTTGCGTTTTATAGAACAAAATACTGAGGTTGGACAAGGCAAAGTCACATGTTTAGTAAGGAATCTTGGATTCATATTTATTAGACTATTATATTAAAAATAATTTTGAGAGGAGAAAAACATTTAACCAATGAATTTGAATTGCCAAGCACATGTCAACATTTAATGTAATATTCACAAAGACAATGAAAGCAGGATACAGTAAATATTTTTGTCCCAGAAGTAAGATGGAAACAAGTTGTCTAGGGGTGTCCTAAGATAGAGTGACTTTGTAAAGCTTTGATAATGTGTCGCAACTTTGTGGCAGGGAAAGCAAACATACGTATTTTATGTCATTGGTTCTGGGGCAGAGCTCATGCTAAGCAGAAAAGCTGACATAATTCCTGTTCTGTTGTTCGGCTGCCAAAGTCTTAGGCTAAAAAGAGGTGGTTACTGTTGAATGAATTAAGTCTTCCATGCTCCTAGGATTCTGGTTCTTCCAGGCTGAAAGTTAAGAAAAAGAGTGGGTTTTACCCATTGGCTGATGAAAATACTTGCTTACTTTGTCTCAGTGTTGGTTACAGCTCTGTGTGCAAACAGAACATCCAAACAGCAAGGAACTTTGTTCCAGCCTCATTATATAAGGTTGCTTACACAGTCAGTTTGATTTGGTCACCAAATTCTAATCAATAAAATTTAGGCTGCAGTTGTTATTAGTGACACTATTGTCATTAGCAACATAAGGACTCTTTTTAACCTAGAAATGTATAATTACGATGTTCTAGTCTGGATTTAACCACATGTCCTCCTACCACTTAAAGTTGACACTGAGATGAGGACTTGATGCAGGATGCTATGGGTGGAATGTGTGTTTAACCCCAGCATTGATATGTTGAAACTCTAATCCTCAATGTGATGGCATTCCAAGGTGGGGCTTTTATGAGGTAATTAGGGTTAGATTAGGTCATGAGGGTGGGGTCCACTTGATGAGATTAATGAGCTTATAAAGAGAGAGAGACATGATATCTCTCTCTCCTTCTGGCAAATGAGGATATAACAAGAAGGCAGCCATCTGTAAACCAGGAAGAGGGCCTCCAAGAAAGACCTAACCATGCTGGCACCCTCATCTTGAACTTCTATCCTCTAGAACTTGTGGGAATTAAATGTTTGCTGCCTAAGTCACCAGTCTGTGGTATTCTGTTAGAACACCCCAAACTGACTAAGATTCAGGGAGTTTGTTTTGGAGGCAATCACAGAAAGTGGAAGTGCAAGAATAAGGAAAGAGAGACAGACAAGAAAGGGAAAAAAACAACAACAACTGTAAAGTACGTGTTAACGAGCTGGTTACTGCTTAGAATTGTCCTACGGGAGGACAAGGAAGCTGGGACATTTATCCATAGATTTTATCCCCCATTGGATGAGGATTACCTTGAGGGGCATAGACTCCCTCACATTTCTGGGTTGCACCTACATGTGGCTAAGCTACTTTTCCCAGCTTTTGAGAAAGCGATACAGTAGGACACCATGGACATTGGCAAAGAGGCACAGAGCTGCCCACCACATCAGTACTGAAATTAGGTGTGCAGAGGGGATATGTATGGCACAATTCATCACAAATATCTGCTACAGATAACAAAAAGGCTTTCCTAGAAATAATGGCTGAAATGATGAAATAAATTGTTCGTGCCCTACTAATCCTTTTATATATTTCTGTATTTTTTTTGTGTGTTTTGGGAGATTACAACCACTTCAAGTCAAATTTAGTTTATGGTTGGCAGTAGTGCCAACCTCTCATCATTGAAAACTTTGCAAAATGCCAGTTTCTGGACAGTTTTGAAAAGACTGACAAAACTAAAACTTTAGTTTTCAAGATCATTAATGAATTACCTTTTACTAGACAGTTAGGTCAGTGAATGGGAATAGGTGATTATAAGGCTAGAAAATGACTTACATTTAATAAAATAGCATTCAGAATTTTTGATTTAAAAATCATTTTATTTCTAATTTGTCATTGCAGAGTATTTTTTTTTTTTTTTTGAGATGGAGTTTCGCTCTTGTTGCCCAGGCTGGAGTGCAGTGGTGCGATCTCGGCCTACTGCAGCCTCCCCCTCCCAGGTTCAAGCAATTCTCCTGCCTCAGCCTCTCGAGTAGCTGGGATTAGAGGTTGCCACCACCATGCGTGGCTAATCTTTGCAGAAAATTTGAAAAGCATAAATTAAAATATAAAGCAGGAAACTGTATCAATAACTTCCTACCCAGAAATAATCATGGTTACTGTACTGATATAATCCTTCCCAGTCAAAAAATTTTATTATAGATGTGAGTAGGTGATTTTTTTAATAATAAATGCCAGTTCCCTATTGAGTGGCAGGTAAGGAAACTAATATTTATTGAATGCTTTTTATTTGCTAGGCATCAAATTGAATGTTCTATACACCTTCCCTAATCCATCAGCCTCTGTACTGTTTGTTTTTAGGAAGCTACATTTTCAGCCCCAGAGGCCAGTCTACGTGCATTGGGTACTGCCTAGTGCCTGTCTCCAGTCATTGAAAGAGTGCTTTGTCTTCTACAGGCCCCAAGTAAGCAAGTCAGAAAGGTTAAGGGCAGCCTGGAAAATGCTGAGAAGTTTTTTATCTAATGGAAATGAAAATGGAATAGAGAGAGGGAGGAGGAAAGCAGGAAATGCATTAGAGTAAAGCAATGAAAGAGAAATTCTCTTACATTTGTTTTCCTTGCAGCACTATGTTATGTCTGTTTTTAGGTCTGCTTGTTCAAATGACTAAGCAGATTTTCCCAATTAAACCATCATTTACAACCCTGCTCATCCCAAACGTGTAAATAAGCTTCCTTTGGGTTTGTCTGACAGGCATTTGCTTTGCATCATCATTGGTGTTTTGACAACATTACCAGAGATGGAAACAATTCTGCCATACGCCCAAATTCTTCAAAACGCCTTTTTCCTTCCTTTATCTTTGATTCATTGGTGTAAATAAATAAAACCTGCCATACTGTGTCCTGTTTATCCTCTCTCTTTTCCTTTCCAATTCAAGAATTTAATTTGAAAATGGTTATTTTTAGCCCTGTTCTCAACTTGCTTGCTGAGAACAAGCTTATCCTCCATCCCTACCATGCTGCTGATTGCAGATAATGCAGCTGGCTTCAGGGTGGCAGGCACGATCCGAAAATATTACAGATAAGATTGATGGAAAAGTGGGTTGCGGTTGATAGAGACCCCTCTGAGGCCTAGGAAGCCTCAGAGCTTGCTTTTTAGGGTGAAGTTTGCATCTCCATGGGTAGGGGGAAAAAGCAGCTATTATAAACTGTCCCTCTTGGGTATTCTTGAGACTAAGGGGTGAGCTGAGCAGCCATGACTTAAGAAAATTGTTGACTCTAGGGTCAGAGAAAGGGCTATTTTTGAAACGATGTAGGAGAAAAGAGTCAGGAGGTGGACCAGATCCAGAGGTGGTTCAAGATGAAGCTTTCAGTTAAAGTATAAGCTGGCCAAGGTGGGAGGATTAGCCTAGGCAACATAGCTAGACCCTGTCTCTACAATAAAATATATGTTAAAAAGTTAAAATATAAACAGCACTTCAAATCTGATAACCTGTAGGCCACAAGTGGCCTGTAGACATGTTTCGTTTGGTTGCACAGTGTCTTTCTTTAAACAGGTATTTTTTTTTGTTGTTATTAAATTATAAATTCAATGTTCAATTATGTATTTAACATGAAATTGAATATTACATATTCATTAGATGATACATATTCAAATATGTATGTACACACTTACCATACACCAAGAACTGCTTTAAACTCTTCATAAATATCAAATAATTTATATCTCATAGTAGCCTTGAGAGTTAGGTTCCAACATTGTTCCCACTTTACAGATGAGGAAATAGAGGCAAAGAGGGGTTAAATAGTTGTGCCATGTCATATATCTTGTACATGATACTAAAATAGTGACAGATTTTTACATATAAAACTAAAACTCAATATTTCTGACTTCCCTTGAATATTTGGGAGTTCTGGTGAATATTGGGCTCTCAATCCTTAGGGCAACAAATATCCCTATTAGAAAGGACATGCATGCTCTAGTTTGTCAGATTCTTCACATATTCCTATTTGTGATCGGTTGACTTTAAACATTTCTATTATTTTTCCATACTCCTGTAGGTATTTAAGAAAATAACATGTGGGATAGAACCATAGTTTTCAAGTCAAGGAGGTAAAGCTTAGCAAAGAAAGGGATTGGAAAATGGCCATGGGAGATGGAGGAAGTCCTGAGAAACTGCTTAGAGTACAGTGGTCTCCGGCATCCTGCCACCCACCTGGGAAGTGACTATAGTCACTTTTCTATTCAGCAATATGTAGTAGATGACTGAAACTGAGCTGAATGCAGAGGACACACCTCTAGGTGAAAGTCGAGCAAAACTTCAAGTCTCATGGAAGAAAGTGCTGGATAATCTCTGCCCACTCTGTACATTACAAAGAGGAGGGAATGCTGGTCAGGCACGGTGGCTCACGCCTGAAATCCCAGCATTTTGGGAAGCTCAGGCAGGTAGATCTCTTGAGCCCAAGAGTTCGCGATCAGCCTCGGCAACTCTCATCTCCAAAAAAATACAAAACTTAGCCAGGCGTGGTGCATGCGCTTGTGGTCCCAGCTACTTTGGAGGCTGAGGTGGGAGGATCGCTGGAGCCTGGGAAGTCTACACTGCTGTGAGCTGTGATCATGCCATTGCACTCCAGCCTGGTCGACAGAGTGAAACTGTTTTAAAAAAAAAAGAGGGGACGTTGAAAGTGGCCACTCTGAGATGGCGACTTTTATTCTAAGGTCATGAGTAGAAGTTAGCCAGGTGGTGGAAGTTAGCCACATGGGGATAGGTCACCACTTATGGCCACGGAGATTATGCCCTGAAAACATAGCTTTCCTGACAGAGCATTAAGAATACAGAGCAGCAGTTGCAAATGCTGGAGAGAGCGCAGCAGGCAGAGGAAAGGAACAGAAGATGTGTGTTTGCTGAGAGGGACCTGGAACAGGTTGGGGAGGACACACTAGCTGCCTCTACTGGTTGAGGCATTGGCTTCTGAGTATCAATTTTTGTTTTTTAATGTGATGATTAAAAAAAAGTGTTGGCTTCATAGTTTTGCTGTAAAACTTACTTTGGGCAATACAGATAAAGTGCTTACAGGGAACATGATGCGTTGCAAACACTCATCAATATGGCTATTAAACTTAGTATAAAAACTTGTACTACGTTTTTATTTTATAGTTTTTGGTATTGATAATGATAATGATGAGATTGATAGTATTTAAAACATTATTGTTATTAGAAATTCCACTTTGTGCCATGAAAACAAAAAATTTATGAGTTTCCATAAATGCACCATATGAAGATCCCAGTAGTAGAGCCATGGATGAAATAATGTACAATAAAGTGACCCTTAGGTGATGGGACATTGGGAAGCAGCAGATAAAATGAAAAAGCAAACCAAACAGAACAACAGCAACAAAAATCCACTCAAAAATGCTTTGACAAGATTTCTTTCTGCTGTGGAAATATATTTTATATATTTTCATATGAACTAAACCATCCGGGTTCCAATTTCTCCATATCCATGACCTTTGTAATTGATTGGAGAAGTAAAGAGAGACAATTCAGGTTTGAAAAGGTGATGGTTAGTTTCTTTCTCATATCCAAAGTTAAGCTAGACTCTGAAGTTCAAATCCTCATTATAATCCTCTTTATAGCACTTACAATTCAGAAACAACTTATTTGTTTGTGCAGATAGTCCAGCTCTGCATCGGTGTGCTTGTCCTAAAGGAAAACGAAGTGAGAGCTTCCTGCTAGAACAGCCCCACAGTCCTGCCAGCAGTTGTCATCTGGATCTGTCATATTTTGCCTCTATTAACATCTGATGTCACTGATCTCACAAAAGATGGAGAACTGATGTCCTTCCCGCTGTTGTGTATTCTCTCACCCTCACTTTCTATCAGTTTTTCCTTTCAGAAGACATAAGAGGATGATGAGCTACAGGAAACAAACCGAGTCTTATACACCTAAAATTGGGTTCAGGTGCCTTTGTTTCTTGCTTGCCCTCTCAAATAGTTGAAAGCTACAGGCTCAGCTAGGATGGCATGTTCCAATGTGGGAACTCAGGGGAAATTTCTGGCTTTTTCCTTTCTCTTCTCAGCATTCATTAGTCCCACTAATAACAGCTTCTGGAGACTCATTTAGGAAGCACAGCATCTCCTCTCTTGGACCAAGAGGTGACACACCTTCAGCTCAGGGGTGTGTGAATGACCAGCCTGGCCATCAGTTGATCCAATCCCTGGTGCGACAGCATTTTCTTCAGGAATGGGCACATGCCCTAGTTAATCCAATCAGAGCTAATACTTTGACTGTTACCGGGGAGATTGGAAGGAAGTTGGCAGTCCTTTGTGCTGCTTTTATAGTTTAAAGATGAAAGACGGGAGCTTCCAGAGACCACATGGAGAGCTCCTGTTTGAGTATGAAATGTACACAGATGAAAGTGGAGCCAGGGCATGGGGAAAGAAAGAGAGGCAGAGAGATAGAGATCCATAGACAGGTGGACAGATAGAGAGGGATAAGCTTAAAACCAACTCTCCTACTAGCCTTTTTCCATTACATGATTGAACAATTCCCCTGTTTTACTTATGTTACTTTGAGTTGAATCTTCATTAATTTGCAATTCTAAGAGTTATGACTAATAAATGTGTGCTCACAGCCATCTGGGTCCCAAGCCAAGTCTCGCCTTGCCTCTGAAGTCAGTTTGTTAATTCAGAAGGAGGAAGACAGTGAGGAAGAGAGCTGTGAAGCCAGGTGACCCAGAAATAGAGACAGTCACAAACATTCAAGTAGAGGGGCTGTGCTAACTTGGAGTTGGTTCTGAGCCATTGGGTGTGACAAATGGTATGAAGTGTGAATTTAAAGAGATGAAGTAAAAGGTTGCAACTCTTGACAATGACACTTTGTGGCTGGAAAGCCCCCATATGACAGCTGAAGTCACACTTCCTGAGGTCGTGTGAAAGATGATCAGCTTCTAGTTCTGCTCCTATCAAGCTGTGTATCCTAGTCTTCATTTCCCGTGTTCTTAGGATGTTACCAATAAAAGCATTGGTATTTTAAAATATCAATATTTATTGGTATTTTATAAATACTGGTATACCAATATTTATAAATACTGGTATACCAATATTTATTTTTTATTAATACAAGCACATGAATCTCTCTCTTTGGCTTGGGGGTAGAAGGAGGAGGATCACTGGCAGCGACAAAGTTAGGCACTTATACATTACCGTTTCTCAGGAGTGCTGTGATTTTAGGTGCTTTCAGGTACAGCCCTATGAAACTCCCATTTACAATGATGTTGCAAGATAGGGTAGCGTTTTGTAGATGATTTTAAGGGGCTTGGAGGAAGCTCACTTCTACACCCCATCATGTATTTTGAGACAAGCCTCATGGCACCTCTTCTGCTTTCCCTTCTCAAGCTAAATAATGTAAGTTACTCCCAATAATCATATGATTTTTATTTCACCAAATTTCTTGAATGCAGTAACTAATCTTATTTAAAGGTGCACCCCCAGATTCTAGCACAGTTCCTAGCACATATCAATAACAGGTGTTTAATACATTTTTGGGATTGGGATTAATTTCCTCATTATATCATCTTTGTTTATATGTATTTTTGGTCACTCTGATTCTCCTTCTGCAAGATGCTGCTTTTTATTCCAAACTCCACTCAGTTCTTCCTTGTGTCTCTGCACTTCTCCTACAAGTAAAGAGAGTGAGTGAGTTCTGGTTTCCTATGAAAAGAGGAACTCAGTCATGGTGGCCAGAGCCAATTGATTCCTAATTAAACGAAGCATAGAATTGAGCTGGGATGCATTTGTTCTGATTCAAAAGCCACCTTTCCTCCCCGCCTGATGATTGTGTCTCTTTCAGTGTCAGCACAATGTGGGCAGGGAGGAACTCTCTCTGCTCTGCTCCACTCCACACAGAGATAAAGAGAGATATAAGCACAGAATGCTTTGTGATGAAGCGGAAGCCACTTGTTAAAGCAAGGGGAGAATCGACAATAATAGGAGACTGTCCAAATGGAAAGGATGGGATCACAGGCAGTCATTCTTTTAGTAGCAGAAACTTTTTCACTCCCCAAGACGCAGGAAAGAAGCCAGCAGAGGTGATTAAGCCAGCGATTGGGATGAAGAGCAGTCAGAGATAGTCGGTGTGCAGAAACGACTCAGCAGGCTCGCTGAGCTGGAGCTCAACCTGTGGCTGTGTGAACCAACCCAGACACTTCATCACCGGGAATCTGCCAAGAACCAGGGCTTTAATTTATTTGTGGCAGTGGACACTGATCATCGGATATCCCGCTTAGACCCACTCATTCATGCCCTCCACAAGTATGTATGGAGCTCCCTCTACATGCCAGACTGCTTGTTAGATAGTAAGGATTCATAGGTAATTAAGTCTCTTTCACTAAAGGAGCTCCTGTTTTAGTGGGGGAAATTATAAATGACACCATAGTAAGCTCTTCACAACCACTAGCTGTTATTTTCATGTACTGGGGACCCAGGCAAGAATTCATTAGTGATTATTTCATTTGACACTAGGAAGTAAATTCTGTTTTTCTCTCTGCTTTACTGATGCGAAGAAACATGATCAGCATTGCCCAAAAATCAGTTGCAAAGCTAGGGTTTGGAGCCATGTATTTAAGAAGCAAGCACAAAGTACTGTAAGAACACAGGAGTGAATGTCTCACCTTTTTGGGGTGGGGGCCATTCAGAGAAGTGTTACCAAATAGGTATTCTTTGATTTGGGTCTTAAGGTATCATTAAAAGTTCACCTGGCAGACAAAGGGCATTTCAGTATTTGTAATATGTGAGTTGGACTGACCATAAGAGGTATTTCTGGTTTCATTTGTGAAGCCCAGTGAAGCAATAACCTTCGTTGAAAAGTCTATTTTGATAACCTGGTTTCTATTTAGTTTTATGGCTTTAAGCAATATAATTTTGGCTTCATTGCGATGTTGTCATTTTACTGACTTTCATAGCAAGAGGTGAAGGGTTAAGAGAAGGTTAGAAGGGACAGTGGGTTTGTAAAGGGATATGGGGTCAACTCCCAGAATCAGACACAGGATTTAGAGCAAGGATAGCAAAGCCATCATGGAAGTTGAGCCCACAGTGATGATCTCAAGCGGGTTTAGAGTGTGAACACCTGGCTTTATCATCTACCTGATATGGGGTACATGAGTTTGTCCATTTGACTTAAAAGAGTTGGTTCCAGAAGACAGAAATGATGTAAGGTCATTTAATTTGCCTTGGTGTGGAGTCATTTAAATGGTCTCCTGAGCTCCATTTCTGCTCTTCTCAAATCAGTACTTCCATCAGTAACAAAATTAAAATTATAAAAAATAATTTTTGCAAGTTACTCCTTTGCTTAAAAATCCTGTAGTATTCAGAATAAAATTCCCAACCATCAGTAGAGCATATAAAGCTTCTGTTTGACTCTTCAGTTTTAGCTGTTTTGTAAGCTAGAGCCTCCCCTCTTCTCCATCCCCAATGCTAGGCCCCAGTCTTTTCACATCTTGGGATATTATTGCTCTCCCATGCTGACACATACCTCCTTCATCTAGCCAACTCCTCTTTCCCTAGGGATCTCATATTAAACATCCCCTTTTTAGGAAGGCCTCTCTGATCCCTTAAAAGACTGGGCAAAGGTTGCCTTGTCTCTATTTTCGTTTCTTTTTTTTTTCTTTTTGAGACGGAGTCTCACTGTCACCCCCGCTGGAGTGCAGTGGTGCAATCTTGGCTCACTGCAACCTCTGTCTCCCAGGTTCCAGCAATTCCCCTGTTTCAGCCTCCTGAGTAGCTGGGATTACAGGTGCGCACCACCGCGCCCGGCTATTTTTGTATTTTTAGTAGAGACAGGGTATCACCATGTTGGCCAGGCTGGTCTCAAACTCCTGACCTCAAGTGATCTGCCTGCCTCAGCCTCCCAAAGTGCTGGGATTACAGGCGTTCCTTGCCTCTATCTTCCATAGAACCTGTTTTAACACTTACCATGCAGTCCTGGAAGTGACTGTGTGTGTCTCCTTTGCAGCCTGTGAGCACCAGAGCATTTTTGATCATTTTGAACAGGAGGTATTCAATAAATATTCTATGACTAAATTAATGGGCAAATGAAAAGATGAGAACAACTTCATTTTAAGTTTTATGGAAAAATTTGTCCAGGTTTCTAGAATGCGATTTTGGTTGTGTGTGTTATATAATAATATGTTTGGTTTGAGTTGTGTCAGGGTATAGCTCCTTGCTTTTCAATCATCTTCCCCAGTAGAATCACTGGGTAAAGAGGATCTTTACTGTGATAACAAATAAAAATGATAATTTTTAAAAATATAGAAGAGCCCCTTTTAATTTTTTATTTTGAAATAACTTCAAAATGACAGAAAAGTTGGAAGAATAATACAAAAAATTCCAGATATTGTTCACCCAGGTATTCCAAATGTTAACATTTTGTCACATTGGCTTTCTTTTTCTATATATACATGGTTTTTCTTCGAAAACATTTGAAAATAATTCAAGCTACTTAAATTTACAAGAAAAAAACAACCCCATTAAAAAGTGGGCAAAGGACATGAACAGACACTTCTCAAAAGAAGACATACTTGCAGCCAACAATCATATGGAAAAAAGCCCCAAATCACTAATTATTAGAGAAATGCAAATCAAAACCACAGTGAGATACCATTTCACACCAGTCAGAATGGCTATTATCAAAAAGTCAAAAAATAAAAGATGCTGATGAGGTTGTGGAGAAAAAGGAATGCCTTTACACTGTTGGTGGGAGTGTAAATTAGTTCAACCATTGTGGAAGACAGTGTGGTGATTCCTCAAAGACCTAGACAGAAATACCATTTGACCTAGCAATCTCATTACTGAGTACATACCTAAAAGAATATAAATCATTCTATTATAAAGACACATGCATATGTATGTTCATTGCAGAACTATTCACAATAACAAAGACATGGAATCAAATGCCCATCATTGATAGACTGGATAAAGAAAATATGGTACATATACACCATGGAGTACTATGCAGCCACAAAAAAGAACAGAGGATGTCCTTTGTAGGGACATGGATGGAGATGGAGGCCATTATTCTTAGCAAACTATTGCAGGAACAGAAAACCAAATACTGCATGTTCTCACAAGTGGGAGCTAAATGATGAGAACACATGGACACATAGAGGGGAACAACACACACTGGGGCCTACTGGAGGGCAGAGAATAGGAAGAAGGGGAGAATCAGGAAAAATGACTAATGGATACTAGGCTCAATACCTAGGTGATGAAATAATCTGTACAACAAATCCCTATGACACATGTTTATCTATGTAACCTGTACATCCTGCACATGTACTCCTGAACTTTTAAAATAAATGTTAAAAAATTTCCAGCTATGATGTCCCTTTAACCTCAAATACTTTGGTATGTATCTTTGAAAATAAAGACATTCTCTTACATAAATAGAGCCCAATGATCAAAATCAGGAGATTAATAATATTGACAAAATGCTGTTATCTAATCTGTAGATCTTATTTCAAGTCAAAGTTACTTTATAAGAAGGATTCAGTATTTAAAGAAGCATTTGGTCTGTCCTGTGTCTTCATGCTTAGCTAATTGAGACATCTTTGAATTGGAAGCTTGCCAGGACGGGATCAAGAGTCAAGAAAGGAGGGATTGAGATTTTCCTGTTAGGACACAAAGGACTGAGACAGGATGCAGCCAGGATCCTTTGTGAAAATAGATTGAAAAAGACAGAGTTAAAGATGGAGATGGAGGGAGAGAAAGAGCGAAGAGAAAGGGAGGGGAGAATGAGAATGAAATCTGAGTGAGACTTCAGATGTCCATGTGAGGACAGACACTTAGACCTACTCTGCTCTGTTCAGCTTCCAAAGTCCCTGGTCCCTCTTCCCTGGATTGTGAGAAAGCTATGCTACATGCCAGATTGGGCTCTTTTTGGTGAATAAACCAGTGTGTTTTTCACACACACTCACACCCCATTAGATGACCTTTAAAAGACATTATTTTAAAGAAACTATGCAAAGTTTTGCCCTCTCCTGCTTATACTAGTTTGCGTTTTCAAATAATTCTCCTTTCCATGCTTTAATTTTACTTCTCTCCCAATAGATGACAGCTAAATGCAAATAAATATATTGGTTTTTCCAAACACAAACTGACCCTCTTTTCACAGTATACATATATTAAAAAGAAAAAGCAGGTTGAAAACACCTAATGAATTGAACCTGTTCCTTCCCATTCGATGTTTAGGAATGGCTGAAATTTAGCTATCCAGGGCCACTGTGTCAGGGGTTGCTGGGACCTGGTTGTTCTTCACTTCTCATTTTTCATCACAGTGATCATGCTTTCTGCTTTTTGTCCGTTCTTATCAGACACACCACCGCAGACCACACTGGAAATGGGAAGCAGGCAGCCCTGTCTGGTTTGACTTAGATATCCTGAGGGCTGCACTCACCCTTACCTTCGCTGTATCAGTGAAAGCTTTTTTTGGGCATGACTAGTCTAAGACCTGGAATATGAGAACAAGACATTGAGAAATTTGTGTTTTTTATCCAGAGAGCAGTAATTTGTTTATGCATTCTACAATTATTCCCAATTCTCAGCAATGTGATCTTAATCTGTTTAGGAACAGAACACAATTAGCTATAACCTAGATCTAACAGAGGTAAGTCTAACCTCTCAAAAAACGAAGGATTTGGCAGCCAAAATTAGTAATAAGTCACAATCAGCATTTTGGTCTTTGATGATATTCCCTGGTTCAATGATTACACCTTTGTTCCAGCAGATAATATTGGGGCACTAATTAAATGAGATAATTTTTAGCTTAAAAAGATCTTAAAGATGGCATACTCCAATCTCTTCCTGATGTTTTCGCAAATGTGCCTCAGTTTACTCATCTGTGGCTGTCAGTCCTGAACTTAGGGAGGAGTTCGGTGTTCAGTGGAAGGTGTCCACTTTAGCATGCATATGGGAATGATTATTTTCCGTAACCTTCCAAGCACAGAAGAGATTCTAAATACAAGATGTCCTGTGAGTTAGAAGTAGAGATTATTGGCAAAGACAAAGAATGGCAATGGACTGGGAAATGGATCCAGAATCCTGATCTCCAGTAGTTCTCCACCTAGTTTCACTGTGAGGGTCATTGCTCAGATGACCTAGAGATGCTGAAATTCTCTTTTGCTTTGGGATCAAGACCACAAGGAGAGTTTTTATTATAACTCTTCTCTTCTGGTAATAATGAAAATGAAATATTAAGAGCTCTTCATTACAAGCCTTAGGGAAGTAAGCAAATATGTTACAACTTTCTAAAATATGTCCTGATTAAATATCTCATTTCTCCACTTTCATAATTGGGAAATAATAGACCAACTGATTGTGCTAAATGGATTTCAGCAAGCCTCACTGTCTTGTTCCATCAGGAGGGAATACTTATTTCTCCATCGTGTCATCTTTTTTCTACAAACGATAACTCATTCCTACTATTCAAAGCAAATCTCTTAAAAAAATCTAACAAAGCTCTATTTCTGGATTATATAAGAGTATTTATATATGTCTGTATAGATATAAACATGATCATAGATCTGCATTGGCCCATACTGTTGAAAGCAATTTTTCTGGTTAAGGAGATCAAGGAACTTTTTTGTATTTTTTTGTTTTGTCTTTTTTGGTAAGATAAGTGCATTTTTACGAACAAACAAAAACAAACATCATAAAAAATTTAGTACTAATTCATGAGTTGCTAACATAATGTTGTGGTTTGTTTTAAACTCCCAAATACCTCCTATACCTTGTACCTGGGAAGAGGAATTCAGTTAAATTCAACAAATAAGGATGGAGTATACACTATATGCCAAACATCGTGCTGAGATCTGGATATATAAAGATGAGATAAGACTCTACAGGCAAGACTTTTGTGTGCTTATTTGTCTTATTGTTTCATGCAGTAATAGTAAAGATATAGATCAGGTTTTGGAGATATAGAAATCATCTTTATTTGGAACAATGAGGGAAGATCTCTCAGAATAGCCTGAACAGGTTTTTGAAGGATGAGTAAAAGTTTACTATCCAAAGATAGTGAAGGAAGTCATTCCAGAAGGTGGGAACAGTATGGGCAAAGCAAAGAAAGTTTAGTACTGCATCATGTGTAAGGGCAAATAACAGTATTTGTGGATTGTTGTAGTATAAAGGAGTGAGACAGCATGAGGGTTAATGATCAGTATGGCTCAGAATATGAAGATCCATGAAGATCAATTAAAAACTTGCCCTTTATCTTCTAGGAAATTGGCAACTGATGAAGGGAAGTGTATCAGTCCGTTTTCATGCTGCTGATAAAGACACACCCGAGACTGGGAAGAAAAAGAGGTTTAATGGACTTACACTTCGACATGGCTGGGGAGGCCTCACAATCGTGGTAGAAGGCAAGGAGGAGCAAGTCACATCTTACGTGGATGGTGGTGGGCAAAAGAGAGAGAGCTTGTGCAGGGGAACTCCTCTTTTTAAAAGTATCAGATCTCGTGAGATTTATTCACTATTATGACAACAGCAGAAGACAGACCTGCCCCCATGATTCAATTACCTCCCACTGAGTGCCTCCCTCAACATGTGGGAATTACGAGTTATACTTCAAGATGATTTGGGTGGGGACACACAGCCAAACCATATTAGGGAGCAGGAAAAAGAAACAAAAACAGCAACTAATAACTCCCAAGACCACAGCTTCGCTCCTGTCTAGAGCTTTGCTACTTAGCCACAGGAACACGGGTGATCATACCTCAACAGAAGTCTGCCAGCATTCATTACGACCAGTGCTTAATCTCATCTGACAATATCAATGTCAAAATCAGAGCTTGGAGCTGGCGGTGTTTCAGCAGAGGAGTCTTTGGAGCTTCCACGAACTGGTTCAATAAACAATCTTGCTGTGAAACACAGAGCTTGGTATTTAGAAGGGTTTTAGCTGGCATATCCACAAAGCTGCAGCATCCTGTCCACTGCTAATTCCACTGTGAAATGTTGAAATACAGCTCTTAGCTCCGAGAAAGCATGTAGGCTTCTATTTGCATGCAAATCATTGCCATTCATGTGTGAACTACAGCAGGTAACAGCTCTGCCAGATGGAATAATTTGGGGTAAGGCCATCCTCTTTGTTAAAGGCCACAGGTATCCATGCATGCTGCAGTGTAGCTCATTCCTACTTTCCACGTCACCCCCTGGGGAATAATCATTTTAATGATGGGCCTCAAGGAAAGGAAACGCCATTCTACCCTGTCATCATTTAGTAAACAAAATGGTGCCAATTAGTGTAATGCTGACCTAATGTAATATTTGATGCAATTAGTAAATTGAGAGGGATAAAAAGGAACATGGTAAATTGATAGATCAAGAAAACTCCCTTGGATTTTGAAAAAGTACAGATTGCATGCATGTTTCAAGGAAAACCACTGTGGTCTCACCCCAGGTGGCAGTGCCTTGTAGTGGTTAGGAGTGTGTGTCTCTAGAATCGGAATGCTTGTGTCTCAATCGCAGCTCTACCTCTTACTAACCAGAAGACTTTGAATAAAACTCACACTTCCTAAGTGTCAACTTCATCATCTGTAAAGTGAAGATAGTAGTAGACAATTGAACTTAATCCTCTCCTGGTCATATGAGGTAGGTCTGATTTAAGTAGTTGAGCAGCCTGCCTGATACATGTAAAGCTTAACAATAACTATAAATAATCATAATTACAATGAATAAAATAGCCATAGAAGCTAGTTGCATTAAATTTATTTGTAATAAATGTAGTAGCTAATGCTGTACTTGATCAATTCACAGAGCTGATTTCTCCAATAAATAGGAAGCTCCTAAGTATAGAGACCATGTCTTCTCTTCTTGTCATCAGTGGTTTGCTCACCATCTAACACTTAGGATGTATTCAACAAATGGTTATTAAATGCACAGGTTTTAAAATTAGTAGCATTTTTTGTGTTATTTATTCCTTTACCTCCTCCTTCTTCATATCTCTTTCTCCTCTGTCATCATCATCATCATCATCATTTTTTATCCTCTCTATTTCCAAAGACATGGGGATAAGATTTGTCCCAGCAGGATTCATGCTGGTTACATGGAAAGCAACACTGTTGATATTCAAATGTCCCCTAAGGCTACCTACCTCCTTATGAATCTTTGGTATCTTTCGTTTGAATCTCCAGGCATACTCTTTATCTTTTCCCAAGCCTGCTCTATGCATTAATTTTATGGACTCCATTAATTAGTTTGCTTATCTTTTAGTTTCCTGTTGGATTAAGCCAGTGAGAACCCAGAAGGGTAAGGAGAGAGTTAGGGCAGGTTTCTGTCTTCTGGGTCTAACTGTTTGCCTTTGTTTTTCTCTCTGTGGCTACAGCTTCCACTAGGCAACTTTCTCTTATAGCTTTAGTGTTCCTCTTTGGATTCTGGTATGTACTTCTTTTCCTTGCCATTCCCTTATTGGTTTTCCATCACCCTGCCCACTCTTTAGTAAATGTCCCTTTCATTAGTTTCTCCCCTAGGTTGCTCACCTTGAGTATGTCATCTGTTACCCATCAGGACCTTGACTGATACAGGGTTCTAGAGCATATAAACTTCAATGGTCTGCCACCAAGTCTGTGTGATATCTAGTTCCCACTTGCCACGTGGCAGGACCTTAGCAGCAGAAAGGGACATTTTCTTGCCTTTACAGTGATCACTAAGTGACGAGAAGAAGAGCAGGTGTCTCCTACATAATTGCTGCAGAACCGTTGTTTCTCAGGTCCAGCTGTTTTTGTCTCTTTTATGCTATCTGTCTCCAAATCTCTGATATGTTGCTAATATACTGCTTAGGCCACCTATGAGATATCCATGAGGTCCATTATGGTGGATAATTAGATTTTAGGGTCAGAAATCCTGAAATCAAAGCCTTTCCCAAATTGCCTATCAGTCAGAACTCAAAAGGATTCTAGGACTCATTTAAAAATTCAACTTTTTTTTTTTTGCCATAGAGACAGGGAGGAGTTGCTCAACTAACATGTTGGCAACTACAGACAGCTCTTTTGTCATCTGTTGGATAAGGGAGACACTTAATCAAACACCTAAAACAAAACATGCTTGTTATTTACAAAGAGATATGTAAAAGCAAATATCAAATGTTTGCACAAACTTTTTATAAAAGGACCACAACTTGAGAACCCCAGAATAATGTCCAGAGATGCCTGTGACTTCCATTTGAAACCATACTCACTTGGCCGGGCGTGGTGGCTCACGCCTGTAATCCCAGCACTTTGGGAGGCCGAGGCGGGTGGATCACGAGGTCAGGAGATCGAGACCATCCTGGCTAACACAGTGAAACCCCGTCTCTACTAAAAAACACAAAAAAATTAGCCGGGCGTGGTGGCAGGCGCCTGTAGTCCCAGCTGCGCGGGAGGCTGAGGCAGGAGAATGGCGTGAACCCGGGAGGCGGAGCTTGCAGTGAGCCGAGATCGCGCCACTGCACTCCAGCCTGGGCGACAGAGCGAGACTCCATCTCAAAAAAAAAAAAAAAAAAAAAAACCATACTCACTTAAGAAAACTAGAACTTTATCCTATGAAAATTTATTTGAATGGAGACTCATCCACCCAAGAGAAAGCTTCTGTTTTAAAACTGGTAAATTTTATTTGTAGATTATCAGCAAAATAAAAACATAACGTTGAAATAGGAGTCTCAGAGACAGTATGGGTTCCTGAATATACATTCTTATGTCACAGTTTGGGAAATACTTACATAAATAAACTATAGTGATACAAGAGAAATTCATCCCATTTGAAGATTCACAAAGAAGGTGATGTTTAATTTGAGTCTCTTAAGGATGAGGGGAGATGGTGAAGGGATAAATATGGTGAGAAGAGGCAACAGCAGTTGCTCATAACAGCAACCGTTTTTTGAGAATATATGAAGTGTCATGGCAATAACTTATCTGCCTGCCCATATTTGAGGGCATGGCATATTTTAGAAAGTGTGGAAAGTCCAGTATGGCTGGGCTGTAGTGTGCATTATTGGAAAGCCACTGGAGAGGAGGATGAAATAAGAGATTAACTTTGAAGGCGCTTGAATGTAAAGGAGTTAGGACCAGTCTAAGTCAGTGTTTTTCAAGCTCATTCTGTCTCTCTCTTGCAGTGAAACCTTTTATTGAAAAAGTCTCATTCAGAAGACAAATGTGTAACAAAGAAAATGGGGTTCACTTCCAGTGGAAGATGCGGAGATGGGCAGGAGCTTCCTAGAGTTTAATAAGCACAGTCTGAAAGCCTGCTCTGGGTAGTGGGAAATCATCAGATTTGTGTTTAGGAAAGATTACCACAGCTCCATGGAGAAAGAAAGAAGACCAAATTGTCTAGTGCAGTAATAGAAGGGAGAGGTGATGAGGGCTGGCATGAAAGCTACAGTGGCTGGCTGCAGTGGCTCACACCTGTACTCCTAGTACTTTGGGAGGCCAGGGTGGGAGGATTGCTTGAGCTTAGGAGTTCAAGACCAGCTTGGGCAACATAAGACCTCATCTCTACAAAAAATAAAAAAATTAGTCGGACATAGTGGTGCACTAATTTTGCTGGCGAGGAAGGCACTGACAGATTTACATCCTGATGAGGAAGGCACCAGCTACTCAGAGGTTTCAGCTACTCGAGAGACCGAGGTGGGAGGATCGCTTGAGCCTGGGAGGTGGAGGCTGCAGTGAGCTGTGATCATGCTACTGCACTCCAGCCTGGGTGACAGAACTGAGATCCTGCCTCAGGAAAAAAAAAAAAAGCTATGATGATGAAAATAAAGAGGGACAGATGCATAGTCAGGCCTGAGGTAGAATCAGTATGTGATAATATGATAATGTGACTTCTTAACAGGTGTAAGGGAAGTAGGAGCACCAAGAATGTCTGGGGCTTTCTAATAGGCTTAGATTGATTAGGAAGTTCTAGGCATCACTAGGAAACAAACCAAAGAAGACTGTCTCCCTTGTTTCAGAGCATTGGTCTATCATGCTGGACATATAGAGGGCAGTCCTCAAAAAGGCACTTGGGAAGAGAAGCAGAACAACCTGTTTCTGGAATAACATCTGGAATAGAACGGGGTCCCATTTCCCCATTAACCAAGAATAAATCCCAAAAACAAGAACTCAGGATGGAGCGCTCTGAAATCCCCATGGTTTGGAAAGGGTGTGGAGGACATGCTCAAGTTTACTGTATTTAGTTTAGGTGGTGAAAGAAGATCTCTTAGTAGATGACATCTGGGGGAAAAATCTGAAATAAAGGGAGGAAGCCAACCTGATTCAGAAAAATCGCATTCCAGGTAGAGAAAAAGGCAAGCATAAAGGCTGTATTCCTGCATATTTCAGGAGCAGCAGGAAAGCAAGTGTACCTATAATGGAGTTTCCAGGAACCTGCAGGTAGTCTAGGTGGAGGCAACAAAGGTGATAAGTGTGATAACTAGGCAGAGGTCAAATCATACCAAACCCTGACGGCCAGGGGCAAGGAATAGGTAATACGGTAAACTTGGTATTTGGTAAATTTGGGTTTTGTGTAAGGTGACTTTGGAAAAGGACAGGCATAGTTTGAAACATGAAGGATCAATTTTAGAGTGAATGACAAAAAAGATATGACTTCCCCAAACTGGTGTACAGATTCAGGAATTTACCAAAGCCCACGTATATCAACTGAAAAAGATTCAGGAGGTTAATGGACACCAGATAGTTAAGGGGATTTACTAAAGGAACAAAAAATATATCACCATCATCTGTTCTCCCAGAGACATCAAACATACACATATTGCTTGTCTTCGATAGCATAGGCAGCTCACTTACAAACCACCTCTTCAGAGTGTCTTAGCAGCACGTTCCCTCAACTAATTGGCGTTCCTCTCATCTAACACATCAGCAAAATCTATTGGCTCTATCTTCAAAATGTCTTCTGAGTCTATAGGCTAGTTTCGTTTCTTTTCTTTCTTTTTTTTTTTTTTTTTGAGATGGAGTCTCGCTCTGTCACCCAGGCTAGAGTGCAGTGGCGTGATCTCAGCTCACTGCAAACTCTGCCTCCCTGGGTTCAAGCGATTCTTGTGCCTCAGCCTCCTGAGTGGCTGGGATTACAGGCATTCGCCACCTCGCCTATAATATTTTTTTTTTTTTTGGTATTTTTAGTAGAGACGGGGGTCTCACTATGTTTGTCAGGCTGGTCTTGAACTCCTGACCTCAAGTGATCTGCCCGCTTCGGCCTCCCAAAGAGCTGAGATTACAGGTGTGAGCCACTGCGCCCAGCCTATAGGCTAGTTTCTATCCCTCCTGTTCTCATTTCCATATTTTCCTGGCCCAATAAAATGGCTTCCATATTTCACTCTTTATTTTACCTTTACCTTGCACCCAGTAAAATCTATTTTCCAAAAAACAGCTAGAGCGATCTTTCAAAATGTGAATCTGATCCTGTTATTCACTTTTGCAAAACCTTCAGTGCCGTCCTGTTCCTTGCCCCTGTCCTTCAGAGCTTGGTATGATTTGACCTCTGCCTGGTTATCACTCCTATCACCTTTGCTGCCTCCACCTAGAATACCTGCAGGTTCCTGGTAACTCCATTCTAGCTACACTTGCTTTCCTGCTGCTTCTGACATATGCAGGAGTAGAGCCTTTATGCTTGCTTTTTTCTCTACCTGAAATGTGATTTTTCTGAATCAGGTTGGCTTCCTCCCTTACTTATTTCAGATTTTCCCCCCAGATGTCATCTACTAAGAGATCTTCTTTCACTTCCTAAACTAAAATAGCTGTATCCCCTATTCCCATCTCCAAGTTATCCTTAACCCTTTCATGTTTTTCTGTAATACTTATGTCTCCTGGAAAATATATTACATTTGCATTCATTTGCCTCCTTATGAGTGCCTTCCTCATGAGCATGTAAATCTTTGAGGGTAGTACTTTAGTTTTTATTGGTCATTGTTAAATTGCTAAGACCTCATACAGTGTCTGGCACATAGTGCACAATATTTTTTTTTTTTTAGTGTATCTTGATGCATAAATCAGATGGCTGCCTTCCTTTCCCCTTGGATATTTCTTCTCCTGGCTCTTATGTGTAATCTGCTGGCTATCCAACCCGTGCCACATCAGAAACCTCTTGCTTGTCTCGGGTAATGATTTTTCCAGTACTGAGGGGAATGTCACATTTGCCATGTGGTTGGAGCATCTGAAAGGACTGATTTATTTTGCAGAATCTCATGAAATCTGGGTGATTTAGGTGTGAAATAATGGCATACATAATTATGTGAAAAAAATCAGATACCATTATATAGAGTAGTAGCAGATACCAAAATGTTTAAGAATAACTTATAAACAGAAAGGAAACTTAAGTCTGTGAAAATTCTGTCCAGTGACTTATTAGGGGTTTTAGTAAGCATTTGAAGAAAAGGGTCAATTACTCTATTACAGTTTTAGAACTTCTTAGATAATTTTCTTGGGGTAACAATTAACTTGTCAGTCATAATTGTCAGCTTTCAATGAGCAGCGATTATTGCTCCCAAGTTTTGTGGGTTGAGGGGGAGTGGGGCTCCTCCAAAGGTGGTTAATGCTATCTTTAAGAGTGCACATTCTGCCGGGTGCGGTGGCTCACACCTGTAATCCCAGCACTTTGGGAGGCCGAGGCAGGCAGACCACGAGGTCAAGATATTGAGACCATCCTGACCAACATGGTGAAACCCCGTCTCTACTAAAAATACAAAGATTAGCTGAGCGTGGTGGCACACGCCTGTAGTCCCAGCTACTCGGGAGGCTGAGGCAGGAGAATCTCTTGAACCCAGGAGGCGGAAATTGCAGTGAGCCGAGATCGAGCCACTGCACTCCAGCCTGGTGACAGAGTGAGACTGTCTGGGGGGAGGGGGTGCCGGGGGTGGGGTAAGAAAAGAAAAAAAGAAAAAAAAAAACAAAGAGTGCACACTCTTTCTTGTCTTTCCTGTTTACTGCTGCTTGGATAGTTTTGAGCATGGTAATATGAGAATTATTGTCAAAGGCATTAGAGCCCAAAAGGAGTCAGGAGGATTTTTTTTTCCCTAATGATAAACTTTTTGAACCATTATCCAGCTAATTTGAAACACTTCAAGAAATGATTCACTTACGATTCCCCTTGTATGAATATTCTGCAATATCTAATAGAAGTGTCAAGGAAAATTTTTTTCTATGATCTAAAGCTTAAGCTATTTTTTTTTCCTTAATTTCGCCCCATTAGTCTTACTTTCATCTTGTTCGTGTTAAAAATTTACTCTCCATTTTCAGCCTTGCGCACTTCGGATGTGTTTCTGGAATTAGTGACCTGGATTAAGTTCTTCTGTCTCTCTCTTGACTTGGCTGCTTCCTTTCCTGTTTCTCTTCTTGGGGCTTTCTCGGGTTTAATTTCATATTTTGGGAGTTAAAGTGCTCATTCCTGAGTCCAGCAACCCTTCTCGAGGCAGGGATGGATCAAAGCCTGCTTCATTTCAGATGTAGCCAACATTTGCTGGGCTTCCAGTCACGGTAGGCATCATGCCTATTGCTTTTTGCACACATTGTCTCATTTCATCACCATAAAGGCAGCCCTGTGAGGTGGGTATTATTTTTCTCATTTTAGAGGTGAAAAAATTGGATCAGATGAGATACCCGAGTTTGAATCTCAGATCTGTCTTATTGACTCCAAATTCTGCTCTATCATAGGGCAGTAAGCCAAAGAAATTCTTTTTGGCTGCCATTTAACATTATAAGCTAAGATTTAATTGACTTTTCACTCTAACTCCTGGGTCACTTTTAGAAATGGTGCTTTGGAGGAAGAAACGTCTTAGCAGATGATGTCATAAATGTTACTTTTTCCCAAATGATTCATGGAAGCAGAAATTATAATATAAATTACAAAATATTTATAAGTAAGCAATAAAAACATTTGATATTATAAAAAAAATTTTTCCCTATCAGCTTCTTCCCGAATACCACTCCCCATACATCCTGGTTTCAACTCTGGCTTTCCATGTTGCATTATAGGTTATTCATTTGTGTCTAGATATCTTTCTTCTGTGAGTTTCCTTTGATAATTTAGCGATCTTTATCAGTGTTTGCCATGTCTCATTTGTGAATTTCATTAACAAGCTATTTGCTGCCTCTTTCAGACCATTAATGAAGATGCTAAATGAAACTCAGTCCATCAATCCCTATGCCACCCTGCTGGAAAACTAGGTACTCAGAGGTTTATGATTATTCCTTGTTCGTGACTCTTGAGCCAGTTCCCAAATCAACTGAGAGTACTTATAGCCAAGCCAATTTCAATTAATCTGCCAGGAGAATTTCATGAGCAAAAGCAGCACCTGCTTCTCTAAAACTAAGATGGATCACTTGCATTCACTTAACCTACTAAAATTAAAGTTGTGTCCAAGTAGCAATTATGAGACATTACTCTAGTGATAGTCAATCTTTTTTTGAATTTCTGTTTACCTCATATTTTCTGTGACCAAGAGTTGTTTCTTAAATATGTCTAATTTTCAGTTCTACATTTGAAAATCAATATGATTATTTATGTTCTTTATCTTCATAATTTAAAAGAGGCTTGTGTTAGTGTTATTTGTTTCTTTCTCTACCACAGCTAATAATTTTTCTGCCGCAGTTTATACTAGAAAAAATTCTTATGATCAGCATTGTGTAATAAAAAAACATGCAGGCTTTGGATTTAGTAGATTTAGGTTTAAAATCTCTGCTTCCCCGCTTTCTAGCTATCTGACTTTGGACATATAATAACTTCTCTGTGCCTGTAAAAAGCCTCAAAATAATGTCTATAGCATAAGAAAATCTATAAAAATAATAAAAACCATAGGAACAGTAATTTCTACCTTTCCAGTTTTCAGAATGAAGATGAAGATTAGCATTGATGGGATGTAATAAGTAGTCAACAAAAGGGAGCCATTATTGAATTGAATTTTTCTTCCTCCTTTGCAATGACTCCTGGCCTACTTACATATTAATATAATTATGTTCCATGAATTAATTTAAAAGGTAGTGAGAAGTCCAGTAAAAACCAAGAAAGTCTAATATGAAAAAAATCAACCTTGCTAAGAAATTAATGAATTTTTATTTTATTTTATTCATTTTATTTTATTTTTTGAGACAGAGTCTTACTCTGTTGTCCAGGTTGAACTGCAGTGGCATGATCTCGGATCACTGCCATCTCCGCCTCCTGGGTTCAAGAGATTGTCCTGCCTCATCCTCCTGAGTAGCTGGGACTACAGGCACATGCCACCATGCCCAGCTAATTTTTGTATTTTTTTTAGTAGAGATGCCATGTTGGCCAGGCTGGTTCTGAACTCCCAACCTCAGGTGAGCTGCCTGCCTCGGTCTCCCAAAGTGCTGGGATTATAGGTGTGAGTGACTGTGCCCGGCCTGAATTTTATTTTATTTTATTTTTAATTTCAACTTTTATTTTAGATTCAGGGGATACATGTGCAAGTTTGTTATACTGGTATGTTGTGTGATGCTGAGGTTTGGGGTTTGATTAATCCCATCACCCAGGTAGTGAGCTTAGTACCAGTACATAGTTTTTCAGGCTCTGTCCTTCTCCCTCTCTGCCCCCTTTTGGAGTCTCCACTGTCTATTGCTCTTGTCTTTGTGTCCACATGTATCCAATGTTTAGCTCTCATTTATAAGTGAGAACATGTGGCATTTGGTTTTCTCTTTCTGCATTAATTTGCTTAGGATAATGGCCTCCAGCTGCATCCGTGTTGCTGCAAAGGACAAGGTTCTTTTTTATGGTTGCATAGTATTTCATGATGTATATGTACCATATTTTCTTTATTTAATTCACCATCGATGGGCACCTAGGTTGATTCTGTCTTTGCTATTGTGAATAGTCTGCAACAAACATATAAGGGCATGTGTCTTTTTGGTAGTACAATGTATTTTCCTTTGGCTATATGCCCAAGTGATAGGATTGATGGCTTGAATGGTAGTTCTGTTCTAAGTTCTTTGAAGAATTGCCACACTGCTTTGCTTTCCGCAGTGGCTGAATTAATTTACATTCTCAGCAACAGTGTATAAGTGTTCCCTTTTCTCCACAGCCTCATCAGCATCTACTATTTTTTGATGTTTTATTAGTAGCCATTCTGACTGGTGTAGGATGGTATCTCATTGTGGTTTTGATTTGCATTTCTCTGATTCTTAGTGATGTGGAGTAGTTTTTCATGTTTGTTGGCCACTTGCATATCTTCTTTTGAGAAGTGTATGTTTCATGTTCTTTGCTCACTTTTTGTTTTTTATTTATCTTTATTATTTTTTTTCACTGTTTTTTGAAACTTTATTAGATCAAACTTTTAGACTACCTTATTGACTAATGTTTAACAAGTTGTATTTTAGTGTATTATTCTACTTGTTTTTTATTTTTATTTTATTTATTTTATTATTATTATACTTTAAGTTCTAGGGTACATGTGCACAATGTGCAGGTTTGTTACATATGTATACATGTGCCATGTTGGTGTGCTGCACCCATTAACTCGTCATTTACATTAGGTATACCTCCTAATGCTATCCCTCTCCCCTCCCCCAACCCCATGACAGGCCCCCGTGTGTGGTGTTCCCCACCCTGTGTCCAAGTGTTTTCATTGTTCAATTCCCACCTATGAGTGAGAACATGCGGTGTTTGGTTTTCTGTCCTTGTGATAGTTTGCTGAGAATGATGGTTTCCAGCTTCATCTATGTCCCTACAAAGGACATGAACCCATCCTTTTTTATGGCTGCATAGTATTGCATGGTGTATATGTGCCACATTTTCTTAATCCAGTCTATCATTGATGGACATTTGGGTTGGTTCCAAGTCTTTGGTATTGTGAATAGTGCTGCAATAAACATATGTGTGCATGTGTCTTTATAGCAGCATGATTTATAATCCTTTGAGTATATACCCAGTAATGGGATTGCTGGGTCAAATGGTATTTCTAGTTCTAGATCCTTGAGGAATCACCACACTGTCTTCCACAATAGTTGAACTAGTTTACACTCCCACCAACAGTGTCAAAGTGTTGCTATTTCTCCACATCCTCTCCAGCAGTTGTTTCCTGACTTTTTAATGATCGCCATTCTAACTGGTGTAAGATGGTGTCTCATTGTGGTTTTGATTTGCATTTCTCTGATGGCCAGTGATGATGAGCATTTTTTCATGTGTCTTTTGGCTCCATAAATGTCTTCTTTTGAGAAGTGTCTGTTCATATCCTTTGCCCGCTTTAATGGGGCTGTTTGATTTTTTTCCTGTAAATTTAAGTTCTTTGTAGATTCTGGATATTAGCCCTTTGTCAGATGAGTAGATTGCAAAAATTTTCTCCCATTCTGTAGGTTGCCTGTTCATTCTGATGGTAGTTTCTTTTGCTGTGCAGAAGCTCTTTGGTTTAATTAGATCCCATTTATCAATTTTGGCTTTTGTTGCCGTTGCTTTTGGTGTTTAAACATGAAGTCCTTGCCCATGCCAGTGTCATGAATGGTATTGCCTAGGTTTTCTTCTAGGGCTTTTATAGTTTTAGGTCTAACATTTAAGTCTTTATTCCATCTTGAATTAATTTTTGCATAAGGTGTAAGGAAGGGATCCAGTTTCAGCTTTCTACATATGGCTAGCCAGTTTTCCCAGCATAAATAGGGAATCCTTTCCCCATTTCTTGTTTTTGTCAGGTTTGTCAAAGATCAGATGGTTGTAGATGTGTGGTATTATTTCTGAGGGCTCTGTTCTGTTCCATTGGTCTATATCTCTGTTTTGGTATCAGTACCATGCTGTTTTGGTTACTATAGCCTTGTAGTATAGTTTGAAGTCAGGTAGCATGATGCCTCCAGCTTTGTTCTTTTGGCTTTGGATTATCTTGGCAATGCAGGCTCTTTTTTGGTTCCATATGAACTTCAAAGTAGTTTTTTTCCAATTATGTGAAGAAAGTCATTGGTAGCTTGATGGAGATGGCATTGAATCTATAAATTACCTTGGGCAGTATGGCCATTTTCACGATATTCATTCTTCCTATTCACGAGCATGGAATGTTCTTCCATTTGTTTGTGTCCTCTTTTATTTCCTTGAGCAGTGGTTTGTAGTTCTCCTTGAAGAGGTCCTTCACATCCCTTGTAAGTTGGATTCCTAGGTATTTTATTCTCTTTGAAGCATTTGTGAATGGGAGTTCACTCATGATTTGCCTCTCTGTCTGTTATTGGTGTATAAGAATGCTTGTGATTTTTGCACATTGATTTTGTATCCTGAGACTTTGCTGAAGTTGCCTGTCAGCTTAAGGAGATTTTGAGCTGAGATGATGGGGTTTTCTAAGTATACAATCATGTCATCTGCAAACAGGGACAGTTTGACTTCCTCTTTTCCTAATTGAATATCCTTTATTTCTTTCTTCTACCTGATTGCCCTGGCCAGAACTTCCAACGCTATGTTGAATAGGAGCGGTGAGAGAGGACATCCCTGTTTTGTGACAGTTTTCCAAGGGAATGCTTCCAGTTTTTGCCCATTCAGTATGATATTGGCTGTGGGTTTGTCATAAATAGCTCTTATTATTTTGAGATGCGTCCCATCAATGCCTAATTTATTGAGAGTTTTTAGCATGAAGGGCTGTTGAATTTTGTCAAAGGCCTTTTCTGCATCTATTGAGATAATCATGTGGTTTTTGTCTGTGGTTCTGTTTATATGCTGGATTACGTTTATTGATTTGCGTATGTTGAACCAGCCTTGTATCCCAGGGATGAAGCCCACTTAATTATGGTGGTTAAGCTTTTTGATGTGCTGCTGGATTTGGTTTGCCAGTATTTTATTGAGGATTTTTGCATTGATGTTCATCAGGGATATTGGTCTAAAATTCTCTTTTTTGGTTGTGTCTCTGCCAGGCTTTGGTATCAGGATGATGCTGGCCTCATAAAATGAGTTAGGGAGGATTCCCTCTTTTTCTATTGATTGGAATAGTTTCAGAAGGAATGGTACCAGCTCCTCTTTGTATCTCGGGTAGAATTCAGCTGTGAATCCATCTGGTCCTGGACTTTTTTTGGTTGGTAGACTATTAATTATTGCCTCAATTTCAGAGCCTGTTATTGGTCTATTCAGGTATTCAACTTCTTCCTGGTTTAGTCTTGGGAGGGTGTATGTGTCGAGGAATTTATCCATTTCTTCTAAATTTTCTAGTTTATTTTCATAGAGTTGTTTATAGTATTCTCTGATGGTGGTTTGTATCTCTGTGGGGTCGGTGGTGATATCCCCTTTATCATTTTTTATTGCATCTATTTGATTCTTCTCTCTTTTTTCTTTATTAGTCTTGCTAGCAGTCTATCAATTTTGTTGATCTTTTCAGAAAACCAGCTCCTGGATTCATTGATTTTTTTGAAGGTTTTTTTGTGTCTCTATCTCCTTCAGTTCTGCTCTGATCTTAGTTATTTCTTGCCTTCTGCTAGCTTTTGAATGTGTTTGCTCTTGCTTCTCTAGTTCTTTTAATTGTGATGTTAGGGTGTCAATTTTAGATCTTTCCTGCTTTCTCTTGTGGGCATTTAGTGCTATAAATTTCCCTTGACACACTGCTTTAAATGTGTCCCAGAGATTCTGTTGTGTTGGGTCTTTGTTCTCATTGGTTTCAAAGAACATCTTTATTTCTGCCTTCATTTCGTTATGTACGCAGTAGTCATTCAGGAGCAGGTTGTTCAGTTTCCATGTAGTTGAGCGGTTTTGAATGAATTTCTTAATCCTGAGTTCTAGTTTGATTGCACTGTGGTGTGAGAGACAGTTTGTTATAATTTCTGTTCTTTTATGTTTGCTGAGGAGTGCTTTACTTCCAACTATGTGGTCAATTTTGGAATAAGTGTGATGTGCTGAGAAGAGTGTATATTCTGTTGATTTGGGGTGGAGAGTTCTGTAGATGTCTATTAGGTCCACTTGGTGCAGAGCTGAGCTCAATTCCTGGATATGCTTGTTAACTTTCTGTCTTGTTGATCTGTCTAATGTTGACAGTGGGGAGTTAAAGTCTCCCATTATTATTGTGTAGGAGTCTAAGTCTCTTTGTAGGTCTCTAAGGACATGCTTTATGAATCTGGGTGCTCCTGTATTGGGTGCATATATATTTAGGATAGTTAGCTGTTCTTGTTGAATTGATCTCTTTACCATTACGTAATGGCCTTCTTTGTCTCTTTTGATCTTTGTTGGTTTAAAGTCTGTTTTATCCGAGACTAGGATTGCTACCCCTGCCTTTTCTTGTTTTCCATTTGCTTGGTAGATCTTCCTCCATCCCTTTATTTTGAGCCTATGTGTGTCTCTGCACATGAGGTTGGTCTCCTGAATACAGCACACTGATGGGTCTTGAGTCTTTATCCAGTTTGCCAGTCTGTGTCTTTTAATTGGAGCATTTAGCCCATTTACATTTAAGCTTAATATTGTTCTGTGTGAATTTGATCCTGTCATTGTGATATTAGCTGGTTATTTTGCTTGTTAGTTGCTGCAGTTTCTTCCTAGCATCAATGGTCTTTACATTTTGGCATGTTTTTGCAGTGGCTGGTACCGGTTGTTCCTTTCCATGTTTAGTGCTTCCTTCAGGAGCTCTTGTAAGGCAGGCCTGGTGGTGATAAAATCTCTCAGCATTTGCTTGTCTGTAAAGGATTTTATTTCACCTTCACTTATGCAGCTTAGTTTGGCTGGATATGAAATTCTGGGTTGAAAATTCTTTTCTTTAAGAATCTTGAATATTGGGCCCCACTCTCTTCTGGCTTGTAGAGTTTCTGCCGAGAGATCCGCTGTTAGTCTGATGGGCTTCCCTTTGTGGGTAACCTGATGTTTCTCTCTGGCTGCCCTTAACATTTTTTCCTTCATTTCAACTTTGGTGAATCTGACAATTATGTGTCTTGAAGTTGATCTTCTCGAGGAATATCTTTGTGGTGTTCTCTGTATTTCCTGAAGTTGAATGTTGGCCTGCCTTGCTAGGTTGGGGACGTTCTCCTGGATAATATCCTGAAGAGTGTTTTCCAACTTGGTTCCATTCTCCCCATCACTTTCAGGTACACCAATCAGACGTAGATTTGGTCTTTTCACATAGTCCCACATGTCTTGGAGGCTTTGTTCATTTCTTTTTACTCTTTTTTCTCTGAACTTCTCTTCTTGCTTTATTTCATTCATTTGAACTTTAATCACTGATACCCTTTCTTCCAGTTGATCGAATCGGCTACTGAAGCTTGTGCATGCGCCATGTAGTTCTGGTGCCATGGTTTTCAGCTCCATCAGGTCATTTAAGGTCTTCTCTACATTCTTTATTCTAGTTAGCCATTCGTCTAATCTTTTTTCAAGGTTTTTACCTTCTTTGTGATGGGTTCGAACATCCTCCTTTAGCTTGGAGAACTTTGTTATTACCGATCCTCTGAAGCCTTCTTCTCTCAACTCGTCAAAGTCATTCTCCATCCAGGTTTGTTCTGTTGCTGGCAAGGAGCTGCATTCCTTTGGAAGAGTAGAGGCCCTCTGATTTTTAGAATTTTCAGCTTTTCTGCTCTGGTTTCTCCCCATCTTTGTGGTTTTATTTTCCTTTGGTCTTTGATGATGGTGATGTACACATGGGGTTTTGGTGTGGATGTCCTTTCTGTTTGTTAGTTTTCCTTCTAACAGGATCCTCAGCTGCAGGTCTGTTGGAGTTTGCTGGAGGTCCACTCCAGACCTGTTTGCTTGGGTATCACCAGCAGAGGCTGCAGAACCACAGATACTGCAGAATGGCAAATGTTGCTGCATGATCGTTCATCTAGAAGCTTCGTCTCAGTGGGGCACCTGGCCGTATGAGGTGTCAATCGGCCCCTACTGGCAAGTGCCTCCCAGTTAGGCTACTTGGGGGTCAGGGACCCACTTGAGGAGGCAGTCTGTCTGTTCTCAGATCTCAAACTCTGTGCTGGGGGAACCACTACTCTCTTCAAAGCTGTCAGACAAGGACATTTAAGTCTGCAGAAGTTTCTGCTGCCTTTTGTTCAGCTATGCCCTGCCCCCAGAGGTGGAGTCTACAGAGGCAAGCAGGCCTTGTTTAACTGCAGTGGGCTCCACCCAGTTCGAGCTTCCTGTCCACTTTGTTTACCTACTCAAGCCTCAGCAATGGCGGATGCCCCGCCCCCAGCCTCTCTGCCACCTTGCAGTTAGATCTCAGACTGCTGTGCTGGCAGTGAGCAAGGCTCCGTGGGCGTGGGTCCCTCCAAGCCAGGCGCGGGATATAATCTCCTGGTGTGCCGTTTTCTAAGACCGTTGGAAAAGCGCAGTATTAGGTTGGGAGTGACCCAATTTTCCAGGTGCCATCTGTCACGGCTTCCCTTGGCTAGGAAAGGGAATTCCCTGACCCCTTGCACTTCCTGGGTGAGGTGATGCCCCACCCTGCTTCGGCTCACGCTCTGTGGGCTGCACCCACTGTCCTGCACCCACTGTCTGACAAGCCCCAGTGAGATGAACCCGGAACCTCAGTTGGAAATGTAGAAATCACCCATCTTCTGTGTTGCTCACGCTGGGAGCTGTAGACTGGAGCTGTTCCTGTTCGGCCATCTTGGAACCTCTCTCCTTTGCTCACTTTTTAATGGAGTTGTTTTTGTTTGTTGATTTGTTTTATTTCATTATAGATTCTGGATATTAGACCTTTGTTGGATGTATAGTTTGTGAATATTTTCTCCCATTCTGAAGGTTATCTGTTTACTCTGTTGATAGGTTTTGTGTGTGTGTGTGTGTGTGTGTGTGTGTGTGTGCGCTGTGCAGAAGCTCTTTAGTTTAATTAGGTCCAAATTTGTCAATTTTTGTTTCTGTTGTGATTTCTTTTGATGTCTTAGCCATAAATTCCTTGCCAAGGCTAATTTCCAGAATGGTATTTCCTAGGTTTTCTTCTAGAACTTTATAGTTTGAAGTCTTAGATTTAAGTCTTTGATCCATTCTGAGTTAATTTTTATATGTGGTGAAAGGTAGGGGGCCAGTTTCATTCTTCTGCATATGACTAGGCAGTTATCCCAGCAGCATTTATTAAATAGGGACTCTTTCCCCCATTGGTTAGGATATTAATGAATTTTAAAACCAATGAGATTCTACTTTACATCCAGTGGACTTACAAAAATTTCATTGGTCAGGACTTAACATTATCAAAGTTGGCAAAGATATATGAAAACAATAACTCTTACACTGTGGGAATTTCAAGAACCTCCACTTTTCTAGGTGTTTTAAACTGTTTTCCAGAGTTGAATAGCAACATAACCTTATGATCTTCCAGTACCCTCAGAGACTCACATGTGTGCAGAGAAGTTCATTGTGCAACAGTGTTGATTGCAATCTGGTTGTGGCTGGAAAGAAGAAAATAACTAATTGGAATGCATAAGTGGACATATAAACAATGGCATGCTCATTAAATGGGTTCTATTATTAGTTAGGAATTAATTAGATTGCAAGTAAAAAGAAAACCAACGACTGTACCTTAAACAAAGTGTGAATTCTGCTTTTCTCATTTGGTATGAAGTCTAGAGGCAGGGCTGCTTGTTAGGAAAGCTTTACAAAGTCATCAAGAACCCAAACTTCTTTACATCTCACTATCTCCTATCTAGCAGGCAGCTCTTTCTCTTAACGGTTACAAAATGGCTGCACTTCCACCATGAAGTACATCCGCATTCTAGGCAGGAAGTAGTAAAGAGGAAAGAAATGTGGTGGAGGTAGCTGAGCCATCAGGAACTCTCCTGAGCAAACCCAAGCCGACTTTGCTTACATCTCATTAGCTAGGACTGTGCCAGAGAGCTAAGTCTAGCTGCAAGAAGCTTGGAAAGTATTGTCTAATTTTTCAGGGCTCATGATTGCATTGAAAAATATTATGTTTCTCTTAGTAAAAAAAAAAAGGTGGGGGTCATAGTATTGGTTAGGCAGCTGGCAGTGTCTGTCCCCTCTATTTAGAAGTTGAAAAGAATAAACTTTACCCGTATTCACAACGTGGATACATCTCACAAACATAATTTGGGTAAAAAATCTAAGTAACAGAACAATATCCTGGTACGACACAATTTATATGGTTTTTAAAAAGCCACACACAAAATAAGAATATCTGTTATTTATAAATACCTTTGTATGTATTTATAAAGTAAAAACATGTTTGGGAAAGCTGTACACTTTGGGAGAGTAAGAGAGGGGAAAAAATTAGAGCTGGCCACAGAGGGAGTTTCAATTGTTTCTTTAATGTGTAATTGCTAAGTAAAAGTTCTAAGAGTAAATAAAAGAGAAATAATTATGAGCATATTTTATGAAATTATAGATAGGCACACTTCCAGGTGCCTAGTTGCAATTGTTTTCTGTTTTCAGGATCTTTTCTGTTCCAAACTTCCTAAATATAAAAGAATGGACCCTGAGGTGACAATCTAATTAAATTGATATAATCATTTTCCAAGAATGAAATCTGTCACTTAAAATCCATAATAAATATTTTGAAGAGAAAAATAATAAGAAAACATAAATAGGGATTTGCTTTTGGCAATCTATTAAATATTTAATTTTGAGTAAAAATGAAATAGTCAGTTCTTTATGTTATCCAATGCCCCCTGAACTGTGAAATTCTTGTGGAGGAAATTACAAAGATGAAAAGTAAATGCCATTTGATAGGAGTAGACAATTGGATTTTTTTTTAGTAATATGTGTTGCGTTATAAAACTGTTTTGAAAATACGTTGTTATTCAGAAATGATAAAGTTTGTAAAATTTTTTTCCAATTCTTGGATCAAACTAAAGCTAAAAGTATTTACTGGTAGCAATAGTGGGATGAGACAGGCCAGTGTCACTAATAAAAGCATTTATTTATGCTGAGAATTACTCTTATAATTTCTACCATTGGTTTATACATTTATTCAATAAATTTTTATTAAACGCCTTTTATATATGAGGTCTTTGCCATGTATGGGGAGTTCAGATATTATACAATTATTACTCTGGTACTTAAGGAGCTAGTGAAGAACACAGACCAGCAAAGAAAGATACAATAGAAGAGGTCCTATGACTACCTTTTTCTTTTTAAATTTAACAGTTTAATTGAGCCAAGAACTATTCATGAATTGGGCAGCCTCCACCCAGGATAGGTTCAGAGAGGCTCCAGTGTAGCCACGTGGTAGAAGATTTATGGACAGAAAAAGGAAAGTGATGTATAGAAAACGGACGCGAGGCACCGAAACAGCCAGATTGGCAACAGCTCAGCGTTTGCCTTATTTAAACATGGTTTGAAAAGTTAGTTGGCTGCCTTTGATTATGACTTTGAGATGGGAAGATGGAAAGGCTGAATTCACTTAATGGCTGGATCAGTCCAGATACCAACAGGAAATAGATAGTACACTCAAAGCAAGATAATGTGAGGTCGGTCGAATAAAGGACCATTTACAAAGGGTAGCCAGGGAATAAAAAAACCATAAGGCATAATGCATAATCCCAGAGCTGGGGTTAGTACCAGCTGCAGGTTCAGTGTGAAGAGAGGGAAGACATGGTCAATATTCTCCCTCCTCAGACCTGCTACCAAAGCTCTTTGTTGGCTGGACACAACTGGAAGTCAGAGGGCTTGACCCCTCACAGGTATTGCTCATGCGGGTGACTCTCTTGGGAAGGAGAAGAGGGTGGAGAAGGGTGGGGAATAGATGTGGACACAAACACAGTATCCTGCAGTATGGTTTTAGCTGGACCTTCAGAAATAGAAGGAGTTCACTGAGAAAGCTTTGCAGGGGTGTGAGGTGGGGTGAGAAGGGGTGGGAGGTCTGGCGGTCTCGGTCAGGAAATTACACAAAGAGTGAAAGAGGAACTTGTTTATGGGTTTAGTGTGTTCGGAATCTATTTTCACTTTATGCCATGGCACTGTAGAATATTGCGTATATATTGCAGCACTCTCTGGCCCTCTCTCTGTATCTCTTCTTCTCTCTTTCTGATGTTGGGGGGAAATGTGCCTTGAACTCAGCCTTGGCATGAAAATGTAACATTTTGTGTGTGCGCCTGTCCACATGCCATGGACCTCTTTGGCAGCCTGAAGAAGACTATGGATTCTTTCTCAAAATAATCTTTAAAAATATCAAAAATCTAATACTTAAAATTATAGAGGGCACATTTATGTTGAAATACTGCTTCGATAAATCTAAAAATTGTGATGCAGCAAAATGAGCTTTGTTAATGCACTAAATAGCATGTTCTTGTGTGGGTCTGTTAACTATCATAATTTCAATGTAATGATGTGATAAACAGAAAGTATGTTGAGATAACAATTGTATTGTTAAATAGCAATATCTGTGATTTTCACTAATGACATAGTGCCAATTGAAGGAAATGTTAAAATTCACTTAGCAGTTAATGAAAATTGAGATGTCATTTTTCCCATCCAAGTCTGGAACCATTGGAAGTCTGTGGACCCCCACATTGAAAACAGCTGTTTTAAAGTATATTTACCATGTCTTTAAACAAGTCACTTGAATTATACAATTATTAAATTCACCAAATAAGATGAGTGCATATCTTATGCCAAATGTCATGCTAAGGAGATACATGGTGAAAGATTTTTTTTTTTTTTTGACAGAGTCTCATTATGTCACCCAGGCTGGAGTGCGGTGGTGTGATCATGGCTAACCGCAGCCTCAACTTCCTGGGCTCAAGTAATCTTCCCACCTCAGTCTCCTGAGTAACTGGGAAAACAGACAGGTGGCACCATGCCTGGCTAATTTTAAAAATTGTTTTGTAGAGATGGAGTCTTGCTGTGTTGCCCAGACTGGTCTTGAATTCCTGGGCTCAAGCTATCTTCCCGCCTTGGCCTCCCAAAGAGTTGGGATTATAGGCTTGAGCCACCACATTTAGCTGGGAAATTTTTTAAACATTTAAAAATTCTGTGGAAAAATACAATTATCTCCAAATGGCTCATCATAAAATACTAGAATGCAATAACTAAAAATGTCTTCTACTATTTCCTAGAGATAATTAATAACACAGTGATACTCATGGAATAATCTATGTTTAATGCAATAAAAAATCTATAATTGCTGAATTTCTTCTTTTAATTTTTGTTTTAAGTTCAGGGGTACATGTGCAGGATGTGCAGGTTTGTTACATAGGTAAACTTGTGTCATGGGTTTTTTTTTTTAAATACGGATTATTTCATTACCCAGGTATTAAGCCTAGTACCCATTAGTTACTTTTCCTGATCCTCTCCCTCCTCTCACCCTCCACCCTCCAATAGAGGCCAGTGTGTTGTTCCCCTCTATGTGTCCATGTGTTCTGATCATTTAGCTCCTACTTATAAGTGAGAATATGCGATATTTGGTTTTCTGTTCCTGCGTTAGTTTGCTAAGGATGATGGCCTCCAGGTCCATCTCTGTCCCTGTAAAGGACATGTTCTTGTTCTTTTTTATGGCTGCATACATAGTATTCCATGGTGTACATGAGGTAACCACAAAATAAATTCAACCCAACTGGGGTCTACCAAGTGGGAGAAGGGATGAGGGAGAGAATAATATTGTTTCTTTAAATTTGAATAGTACTTTTTTTGTTGTTCTGCATTGAGACCTTTTTTTTTTTTGCTTTGACTTGAAATAAGTTCTTTGACAGAACATATTGCTTAGTTAAGTAAGTAACCTGAAATATGCATTAGGATTGTGAAATGTATCATGCAAGAGACAAGCTAAATTTCTACAATAAAAATGTAACCTCTTTTTGTGACACAGCTTTAGCCAATTATAGTCATTGTTAATTCTTATAATTGGATGCAAATCATGCCTTACTTCAGGAAATAGGCTGCAAAGATACTGTCTTCTATTAAATGTCATTACAGATGTGTTGCTTTTGAAGACTTTCTGTTGAAGTACAATAACATAAATAAAGATAAGTTTGCATGTTGTTTAATTAGTCAGGGTTCTCCAGAGACACAGAATCAACAGAATATGTATATCCTTTTATCCATATATTTCTATACTTGATATGTGTGTGTGTTTATATATATATATATATGTAGAGAGAGAGAGAGAGAGATATCTCATGTTTTCTCTCATTCTGTGGGTTACATTTTGACTTTGCTAGTAATATCTTTTTATAGACAGATATTGTTAATTTTAGTATAGTCCAATTTATCATTCTTTAAATTTATGGTTAGTACATTATATGTCTTGTTAAGAAAATCTTTGTCTACATCAAGACCATTAAGATGTTCTATATTTTCCTCTATGATTTTAACTTTTTATGTTTAGTCCTGCAATCCATCTGGATTTTATTTTTGTAACTATTTTGAAGTAGATGACAAGATATATTTTTTCCATATGGATATCTGATTGATCCAGAACAACAACAAAAAATCCCTAGTCTATCCCATGTGACCATAGAGGTCTATTTTTGAACTCTCTATGCTCTCCCATTGGTTATTTTGTCTACCCTTGTGCTAATACCACTCTGTCTTAATTAAGCTTTACACTTGGCCTCCATAGACGGTAGTATAAATCCTCCAGCTTTGTTCTTTTCCTTTAAGATTTTTCAGATGTATCTCTCTTTAAATTGGATAAAATTAAAAATTCTATTTTAGAAGACAATGCAAACTAGACCAGACATAACTATTTAGATAAAGAATTACATCAGCTGACAGATAATCATAGATAATCCTTTATAGCACATGTAAGACAGAATCATTCCTGTTGAGGTCTTTAACTTGAATTGAGATAAAGTCTAGTATAAGAGAAGCTCATAGGGCTTTGAATTCAAGTCTAGTGAAACATGTAGTACTAACTAGATTTCCCTGATTTAGGTCCAGTAAATATTTACTTAGCACCTACTATTTGCCAGGTGTTATTCTGTGCATTTCTGCTGTAGCATATTATTAACTTCATTAACCTCTGTGATCCTCAATCTCCCTTTTTGTAGGATAAATTATTATAGAGATATATTTCAATATTCAACCAAACTATACTCTTGTCTGAAAAACCAGTTATGGTTCCTTGGCTTTAAGTAACAGAAACTGACTCTGACCAAAATGGAATTTATTAGAGAGACAGTGGGTGACTCATAAAATCTAAGAAAGGTTGAACAAAAGGGCACCAAGAAGGATGAGGAGGATCAAGATAGCTCAGGAGAAGAACCTCAGGGAGAATCTGAGTTCCCAATAAACAGAATCCAAAGCCAGATTTAAGTAATAATGATTTATTGGAAGTTCAAATCCCAGAGCAGAGAGTGAGAGAAAAAGAAAATGAGGCAGGAAAGGACGGGGAACGAATGTAGGTGATGCATTACCATGTGGCCGTGGTTTCATGATGAGTCGTGGAGAGGCTCTGCTGGTTTCTTAGTATATATACCAGCTAAGCCATGCAGAGGGGATAGCTGGACACACTGCAGAAGGCAACTGGGCTTCAGTCCAGTGCAGTAAGAAACTGGGAGGAAACTTACTTGCCAGCTTCATTCCATCCCGTTTCCTATTTCCTGTTGATCAAAGTTTATCCCAGAGGGAGGGTAGCTACTCTACCCTTCTAGATTGGATCACTCAGTCCCTTCAGCAATCACGTCCCATGCCCTGGGACTTGTGCCTTTTCTGTGAATCCAGAAAGATGAGGAGACAGAGCATGAGGCAGTGGGATTTGGTGGTCATGCATGGAGTTAAGGTCCCAGCAACAATTGAAGTGGAACAAAATAGCCAAGGGCCTAGAAGACAGGTGAGGTGAAGAGCATGTAATGATGTACATGTGATATGTTCCAAACTCATGAATTTGAGAAGTAGCAGTTCTTCAAAGTAATTTTTGCAGGGCAGATAAAAATCAAACCAAGGGGCCCAGGGCATGGTGGTTCATGCATGTAATACAAGCAGTTTGGGAAGTCAAGGTGGGAGGATTGCTTAAGGCCAGGGGTTTGAGACCAGCCTGGGCAACATAGTGAGTAGCTGGGCAGATGGCATGTGCCTGTAGTTCTATTTACTCAGGAGGCTGAAGCGAGAGGAGGCTTGAGCCCAGGAGTTTGAGGTTATAGTGAGCTATCATTACACTATTGCATGCTAGCCTGGGTGACAGAGTGAGACCCTGTATCTAAACAGCAGCAGCAACAACAACAACAAGAAATAAAAACCAAAAACCAAACCAAGCAAAACAAACAAATAAGCAAATACATATATATGTATGTGTGTGTGTGTGTGTGTGTGTGTGTGTGTGTATTTTAGTGCATCAAAATACTGCTCTTAATGCCTAAAATGAAAATGACTGACAATAGTAGTAATGGCAAAGGTGTAGGGCAGCTGAAACTCTCAAATACTGCTGGTGTGAATGTAAAATGGCACAGTCACTTTGGACAAGAGCTTGGCAGTTTCTTATTCAGTTAAATGCATACCTACCATATGACCCACCAATTCTGCTCCTTTGTATTTGCCCAAGAAAAATGAAAACATGCTCACAAGATATTGCACATACATGCTCATAGCAGTTTTATTAACCACGGCCAAAATTTGTAAAGACCCTAAATATCCATCAACAAGCCAATAGATGAATAATAACATCCTCATTAAATGGCATACTCAACAATCTAGAGAAATAAACTACTGATTCTTTTAACAACATTGTGAATGTTAAAAACATGGCAAGTGAAAGAAGGGAAAAAAATACACATTTTAGGATTCAACAAAGGCAAAACTAATCTGTGGCAGTAGAAATTAGAATCAGTGTTTCTTTGGGATGGGGAGAGAATTGACTACACTGGGGCATGTGGGAACCTTTTGGGGTGATGGACATGCTTTATATATAACTTGGAGTGGTAGGTACATGGGAGTTTATGTCAAAACACATTGAACTGTGGATATATTTTACTTAGTGCAGATTAGACCTCAATAAAGTTGATTTGAAAATGTTGCTCTTAAACATGAGTCAGGACACTCTACATTGTGGGATAATGTACTCAGCTTATCAACCACTAACACCAACTGAAAAAGCATCCGCCTGGTTTTCCCATTTGCCTTCATCACAGATTGAGGGCAGGACGGAAGGCAAATGTGCGTGGCTCTTGACTGATTTCTGTTGCCCCATAGCCATTCATCTACCATAGCTTTGTTGAATTCAGGCAAACTTCTACTCACATGGCCCCATATCTTAATGTTGGAATGCATGAAAAACTCAGAGAGACTATAGCCTCCTCTATACAGTATCTTTAGGATTCTGATTTAGCCTTTATTTATTAACATTTCTATTCATGTCTTCCACATCAACCTAGATTTTTGTATCACCACCAGTCCTTCCTCCTTTTAGCCCTGTTGCTTTTCTTAGCTTTATGATCCTCCATTATATTTCCAATGGGAGACATTTGGGAGAGGCTGAGGCAGAAACAGAAGAGAGTTTCCTAGGATTGGGGCGCTTGCCTTATTTTATAACTAAGCATGGTTCCTGAGTCATTGAATCAGAAGTAGATAATAAATGGAGAACCAAACTTCCTCCCAAGTATCTTCTGGGTGGTGTGTGTGCCGTGAGATTATTTGTGACTAGTCTCATTTCAGCTCTTGGCTTGTAATTGTTGGAATTTCCTAACAGATTCCGGCAATGGCTTGGCTGTCTGTTTCAGTTTCCAGGCTTCCTTTGAGTTCCATATCTTCCTGAGTCTTTGTAGGTATTTCAAGGGCACGTTTGGAGATGTTGATGTAGGGATTGCTAACCAGATGCGATTTTATACCAGCAAATCCACTTCCATTAACATTGTAGGATTCTCTTTAAAGAGGGCTATATTCTTCAGCAAGATTTATTCTAACCTAAATGTGTGCTGTTTAGTCCTGATTTTGTCAGTTTGGAAATCTCTACTTGTGCTTGCCAACTCTCTCGCTGTCATTTCTCATCAACCTGGCACTTCCTCCCATGCCTGTATCTGTGTAATTACATTAATAGGATAGTGTCCTAGGGGATTTCATCTATATTTTATCTTGAAAGTGAAAAATCAAGGATCTTGTAAATCCCTATTTCTCATGAAACCGCCTTCAAAGGACTGAGTACATGCCTACTTCCTTAGATTTCATCAGCATATAAAACGCTGCTACAATTAAATGGATACTACCTTTATTTTGCAGAGTAATAATTGGCTTTCTTTTAAAAACCTAACCCAATTCTTTCCAACTTGTTTTAGATAACAGGGAAGTATATTTAGAAATTGTATTTACAGGTAAATTTAGAAAGATTAGGTAAGGTTGAGTTTGAACATATGGCATGCAGCTTATTAAAAGTGAGCTTTTCACCAAATCCTTTGACCCCTAGAGAAATGTTCTCAAATTTTAGGATACCAAGTTCAACCCCGGACCTCAAGGATTAGAATGTGTATGTCTGGGAAATGGGAATCTTAATTGTTCACAGCAACCCAACCTGTTAGTTTCTGATGCTCATGTGTCCAGTCCACAATTTCAACATTACCCCATCGTTAGAAGACTCAATTCAAGTGAGTTTTCACATGTACAAAATAGAAATGGAGTCCTGTATTTTTATGCTTGATCCAGTCAACATTGCTGAAACTCAGCCTTTTTATTATGTAATCAAGTAACAACATATTTTCTCAGTAAGAACTTACTGAAGAGTTTCAAGAATTAGAAAGAGTAAAAGAGTGCCATTCCATTAGGGGAAATATATCTGTCACAAAGTCCATGCATTTTAAACTGGAAGAGAAATGCAGCCATTAGAATTTTTGTTTTTACTCAAACTTTCATACTTAGCCAGCATATTTATCTGTTTTTTCTTAGAAACTTTTTCTAGCTGAAAGTGGAATGTAATATTTCACCGTGTGCACTGGTGAAAGGTAAAGGAGGGAGGGAGACTAGATCTAGTAACCAGAGAACTGAGAGGTGACACATTTTGAAGCATCATAAACAATAGAAATACTATATTCAAGACATTTGGAGCTATATGGTTTAGGGAAAATAGCACTAAGTTCCCAAGAAAATAACTCCATATTATCAAAGCAAAAATTGGTTTGCATAAAATGGTCCAGTATCATAACAAAAAGTTAAAATTACATTCAGGGCCATCTGGTAAAGACATTTTCATTTGCTTTATTACATTTTGGAAAATGAAATTCTTTCTAAGTAGCTTCTGTTAAAGCTTAGAGCTAAGAAAGGGAAGAAAAAATGCTAAATAGAAGGGAAGAAAAGAACGATATTTATGAAAAGCAATGGGACTTTTGCTGCTTTTCTTTACAGAAGAGTAAAAGGTGTCATATGCCAGTGACCTACTTTGGGGAAACAAGTGAAGCAGAATCATGCGAAGATGTGTTTTGGGAGCCCTGCGGTGAGATTTTCAGTTGGATTTCTGCCAGTATTTGATATCAAATTTTAGAAACAAAGTTTCTGCAAGAACCTAAGAAAGTAATGCCCCAGTGACTGAGAATGATGCTTTTGGACAATTAAAAACCATGATTGAGATTTTGCTGATGGAATTCTTAATTTCTATCTAATATACACATAATTAATAGAGATATCACAGTGATAATGACTATTAGATATAAACTTGGTTCCAGCCACCGGAATAAGTGTTTAGTGCAAATTCTCGCATTTACTCATTGCATTAGTCCTATTCAGTATGTATTATTATAATTCCAACTTTACAGGTGAGGATGCTGAGATTTAAAGTGATCAGAAAACTTACCTAAGGTAATATGACTAGTTAAGGGACAGATTTGAACTTCAAATCCCAACTTTAAACTGTCCCACTAAACTACTACCACACATGTGTGTGTATTTATAATTATACCAACATTCATATTTATATCTATATGTGTTTGCATTCATAGTTATTCATAAACACGAATTATGTCTCTTTCTATAATCTTGAGAGAATAGCTTTTTTCCCCCCCAGAAAAGTAGATATTCACAGTTAAGTTGAAGAGACTACAAAAATCTAAAGGGAAACTTTTGAAAAATTTGGCATTGAGTTTTCTTTCTGTTTGGCTGAAGTTACTTCAATATCAGCATCAATATAGAATATAAACTTTGTGAGAGCAGGGCCTGAATTCCTTTCTTTCTTTTTCTTTTCTCTGGTCTCTTACTGCTGCAGTGTAATTAATAGTGCCAACACAAATCAGACACTGCTTTATACATCTTTTTGAGTTAATGAGCAAATTAAACAATCAAATGACTCTCAATTTTTATCTCTCAGAGACCAGTCACTTCAAGAGTAGTGAATGGAAGTCATTCTGATTTTGATGCTTTAAAAACCGTGGGATTTTCTAGAATCAAAGGATGAATGATTTGGGGCTGAGTGTTCATTCCCCTTCTCTCTTACTTCTCTAAGACTAGGGTGGTGGTCAGGATTGATTAGTTTTCCAAGTAAAACATCCAAATGCAAGTCTGATCTGGTACTGACAACAGGTGCTGGAAGGGTAGAATGGGTTAGGGAACTCTTGTGAAATAAACATTTCGGTTAGAATTTTTGGAGGTACTTTCTTTATTTCTAATTGCTTTAACTCATTATGAGTTGAAATTAATTTGGAAACAATTATTTTTTAATAAAAACGAAGTCAGTATCACAAGTGCTGTTTGCTCCATTTGAAAACAAACGTTTCTGGATCTCCATAGGAAAAATAAAAACAATTCAATCGGAGGTTACCTAAAACTAGTCCTTGTCATTCAGAATAGCTTCAGGCTGCTCACATCATACATACCTTGGGCATATGCTGAAGAGAAAACAAAAAATCATGGAGAGATTAATTTAGGTACATTATTCTGATAATTCCTAGCAAAGGATAGCCACTTTTGTCTTCCGTGTCCTCTGAGCCTTTTTATGAACTGATAGTTTGGAGCTAATGAAAACCAAGCTTTCAGATTTCCTGAGTCTCATTTAGACAGTCAGTAGACTGTCAGCCCAGAGAGGGACATCAGGTGCTTTCCAAAAACATTCTTTAGTATGAGGTTGTGGATTTGACTATGTTAGAGAGATTGTGAAAATTGAATATAGGAATTTGCTTATTTATTTTATTAAAAAAATTTTTTTGAGACAAGGTCTAACTGTATTGCTCAGGCTGGCTCAAACTCCTGACCTTAAGTGATCCTCCTGCCTCAGACTCTTGAGTAGCTGAGACTTGAGTTGTGCGCCACGGCACCCAACTCTGGAATTAATTTTAAATCCAACTTTGCTACCTGATTGTATGACCTTTGGTAAAATGCTCGCTGAGTTTAAGCCTTACTACCTGTAAAATGGGAATAATGTGTACCTTTAGGAAGATTAAATTAAATCTATATATGTACACACACACACACACACACACACACACACACACATACATAACATCTGTTACATGGCAGACACTGCGTTAATAATATGGTAGTTAATATTACTGTTAATCAGAGTAGTATTACAGTTTCTTGTGTCTTGCTGGTGTATTTTCCTCAGTGACAGACAGAAAAGACCCGCAGAAAAGGAAACCGAGATAATTTTTGGCTCCAGTGGATGTTTTATAATAAGCTATTTTTAAACTACATTTTGTCATATTTAAGCAACGTAGTCAATCATACAATATGATCCCTAAAATTTCCCATTAAGAATAATTACCTCTGTTCATATTTTTCCCACACCTCAACCAAATATATACAACTATGATCCCCCATTACTACTACCACTCATCACTACCATCACCGTCTCCCACACAACCTTCAACTACAACACCCCACACAACTACCACCACTACCACTCCCACTCACAACTACCATCATCTCCTGCACAATGTTCAATGACAGCCACACCCCACACAGCTACCACCACCATCACCCCCACTACTACCACTCACCACTGCCATCACCATTTCCCACACAACCCTCAATTACAACCACACCCCACAGAACTACCACCACCACCACCACCACTACCACTCACCACTGCCATCACCATTTCCTACCACCACCACTACCTCCCCCATCTCCCACACAACCCTCAGTAACAACCACAACCCACACAGCTACCACCACCACCACCACCACCACCACCACTACCACTCATCACTCCCATCACCATTTCCCACACAACTCTCAACTACAACCATACCCCACACAGCTACCACCACCACCACCACCACCACCACCACCACTCCCACTTACAACTACTGTCATCTTCTGCACAATGTTCAATTACAACCACACCCCACACAGCTGCCACCACCACCACCACCACCACCGCTGACAACTACCATCATCATCTCCCACACAACCCTCAACTACAACCACACCCCACACAGCTATCATGACCACCACCACTCCCACTCACAGCTAGCCCCCACATCATCACCATTACCACCTACAGTAACTACCACTCACAACTGTCACCACTATCTTCCCGAATTGCTATCTCCATCATCATCACCTCTCATAACTATCACAATCCTCCATCACCACCGTATCCACGATTACCTCAAACTGTCATCACCACTGCTACCCATAGCTACTGCCACCCACAAATGTCACCATTATCTCTCCCATAACCACCACCTCTACTGCCATCACCTCTACCTGCAGCTACCACCTTCCTTACCACTGTTACCCATAACTATCCCCACTGCCACCTCCCTCAACTACCACCGTACAACCTACAACTACAACCACACCAAGCACAACTACCATCACCTACCAGAATCACTCACACCTGTCACTCCCACCACCCACAACTGCCACCATGCCCTCACCACCTCTGCTAATACCACCACCACTATCACTTTCTTTTCTTCAGGAAGAGTGCAAGTTATTGGTAGAAAATCTTGTAAAAACCAACTGGAAGAAATATTCCAGAAAAGTAATTATTTCTTTTCTTTCTTCTTTTTTTGAGACAGGGTCTCACCCTGTTGCCCAGGCTGGAGTGCAGTGGTGTGATCTCAGCTCACTGCAGCCTCAGCCTCCCAGACTCAGATGATTTCCTACCTTAGCCTCCCAAGTAGTTGGGACCACACACACGCACCACCTTGCCCAGCTAATTTTTTGTATTTTTTTTTGCAGAGACAAGGTCTCATTATGTTGCCCAGGTTTGTCTCGAACTCCTGGGTTCAAGTGATCTGCCCGCCTCGGCCTCCCAAAGTGCTGTGATTATAGGCATGAGCTACCTCATCTGGCCAGTAATTCTTTAAATTAATTCTGAACATCATTTTTCTACTTAAAATCTTTTACAGTTAACATTTTCTATTGCTGAGAAAGTGATTCATTATAAAACACTTCTCATAAAATTGCCAGAAGGATACTGTACCTCTGTTACATAAATTTTGGCTTCCTCAAAAAGTTCAAAACGATAACTCTGCTGCTTTAAAAAAAATAATTTCAACTTTTATTTTAGATTCAGGGGGTACATGTGTAGGTTTGTTACGTGTGAATATTGTGTGATGCTGAGACTTGGGGTACTAAGTGTCATCACCTAGGTACTGAGCATAGTACCCAATAGATTTTCAATCCCTGTCCGCCTCTCCTTTCCCCCTCTAGTAGACAACAGTGTCTATTGTCATCTTTGTGTCCATGTGTACCCAATATTTAGCTCCCACTTATAAGTGAGAACATGCAGTATTTGGTTTTCTGTTCCTGTGTTAATTCACTTAGGATAATGGCCTCCAGTTCCGTCCATGTTGCTGCAAAGGACATGATTTCATTTTTTTTATAGCTGTGTAGTATTCCATGGCATGTATGTACCACGTTTTCTGTATCCAGTCCCCTGTTGATTCCATGTCTTTGCTATTGTGAATAGTGCTGCAATGAACCTGCAAATTCATGTGTCTTCTTGGTAGAAAAATTTGTTTTCTTCTGGATAGATACCCAATAGTGGGGTTGCTGGGTCGAATGGTAACTCTGTTATAAAGTTCTCTGAGAAATTTTCAAACTGCTTTCTGCAGGGGCTGAACTAATTTACATTCTCACCAACAGTGTATAGGCGTTCCCTTTTCTTTTCCCCACAGCCTCACCAGCATCTGTTGTTTTCTGCCTTTTTAATAATAGCCATTCCAACTGGTGCGAGATGGTATTTCATTGTGGTTTGGATTCGCATTTCTCTGATGATTAGTGATGTTGAGCATTTTTGCATGTTTGTTGGGGACTTCTGTGTTTTCTTTTGAGAAGTGTCTGTTCATCTCCTTTGTATTCTGCTGCTTTTCTTCAAAGTTTGACTCTTCTACCAGTCTTTGTTACATATATTTATACCATACACTATAAATATGCTCCTAATTTGTGCTGACCTCATTCATATATGAACACAGGGAAAGGCAAAGAGTTAAATTCTAATACATTTTAATAATATAATAAAAAATGCATTCTCTTGGAAAAAGTATAATGTTTATTTAAAACTGTTGGCCCATCTGCATGTTAGTCAGGTATGTGTATCAGGATAAAAAACATTTACTTTTGTTTACAGGACCCTTTTGGAGAAAGGGAGGTGCTGGTTACTGTAATAGTTTAGTACTTTTTTTTTTTTTATAAAGTCCATTTCTCTTTAAAGTTTAAAAATGCCTCCTCTCTTCTGCATAGGAGTGGACATTTTTCCTCTGGTTGAAGATTCATTTTAAGAGCAGTTTTTCTAAAAAGATTCTGAGAGTTTCCCAGACAATGTTAAGAAATGTGGGGTAGAGAGAGAAAGGGCTTTATTTCTACTCCATGCGTGTCATGACTCTATTTTTTCGACCCAAAGTGTAAGCTTTCATTAAATTTATCAAGTGCATTTTTATTTTTATTTTTTTTAAGAAGGCATGGACTATAACCAACTTTTAATTAATCATGAGATTGAAAGTTTCAGCATTTATCGTTAAAAAAAGCCTTCCATGGAATAGTTTTATTGAGAAGTATTCTGAATTATTAGCTTGTGCGCAAGCTAATAGAACTCCTGAGCTGGAGGGAAGAAAAAGAGAGGTGGCCTTTATAGTGAGGACAGGTTAGCGTGGTGACACTCTGATAAGGAACAGAAACTGGGAAAAATAAGGCCTTGCCAAATGTAGATGGTTTCCTGGGTACCTTTTGTGCATGTGGGGAATTCAACTACCCATTACCTATTTATATATTCCTGCTGTGTTGTTAGTACCAAAGGAAATAACTTGCCCAGTTTTCTGCCCACTACATAATTATTTATTGCAAAATTAAATTAGTGAAAGGGAAATTTTTATATCTGTTTTTGTTGTCTTCAAACATAGTTTATGCACATAAATTACTTTGGAAATCAAATGCCCCCTTGTGAAAGAGAATGTTTATTTTGGAGATGTACACAAAGCATGCAAAAAGGACATAATAGCGTGTGATTCTCTAGAAGTTTTTACAAACATCAAAGAATATGACAGCTACTGCTCAGTGTCTCTCACCTGTGAATATGCTGGGCTGCCTCCCAGATGTCCATTTCTTTCTTTTTTCTTTTCTTTTTTTTTTGAGACGGAGTTTTGCTCTTGTTGCCCAGGCTGGAGTGCAATGGCACAATCTTGGCTCACTGCAACCTTTGCCTCCTGGGTTCAAGCGATTTTCCTGCCTCAGCCTCCAGGGTAGCTGGGATTACAGGACGCACCACCATGCCGGGCTAATTTTTTATTTTTAGTAGAGATGGGGTTTCACCATGTTGGTCAAGCTGGTCTTGAACTCCTGACCTCAGGTGATCCACCCACCTTGGCCTCCCAAAGTGATGGGAATACAGGTGTGAGCCACTGCGCCTGGCCCTAAATGTCCATTTCTGTGTCCAAAAGTCAAATGATTTGCTCAAGCTAAGCTGTCTGTTGTTTCCTCCAACGATTGATGAACTTCTTCAAAAATACACAATGAATGAGAGTGACCTATAATTTCAGAGAATTGCTGCTTGAACATAGTTTCATTAAAAATGCCTGCCAGACACTGTTCACAAAAGCAAAGACTTGGAACCAACCCAAATGCCCATCAGTGATAGACGGGATTAAGAAAATGTGGCACATATACACCATGGAATACTATGCAGTCATAAAAAAGGCTGAGTTCATGTCCTTTGCAGGGACATGGATGAAGCTGGAAACCATCATTCTAAGCAAACAATCACAAGGACAGAGAAGCAAACACTGCATGTTCTCACTCATAGGTGGGAACTGAACAATGAAATCACTTGGTCACAGGGCGGGGAACATCACACACCAGGGCCTGTCAGGGGGTGTAGGGCTGGAGGAGGGATAGCATTAGGAGAAATAACTAATGTAAATGATGAGTTGATGGGTGCAGCAAACCAATATGGCACATGTATACCTATGTATCAAACCTGCACATTGTGCACATGTACCCTAGAACTTAAAGTAGAAAAAAAAAATGCCTGCCAGAATCCAGTTAAACAACGAGCCTGCAACAAACAAACCATGGTCAATTAGATATAGAAGGAAGACCCCTCTTCTAATTGAGAACCTATTGCTGCCATGAACCTCATTGTACAATGTCTCTTTGAGACCCTGCTTTCAACTCTTTTTAGTATATACCCAGAAGTGAGATTGTTGAATCATATGGTAATTCTATTTTTAATTTTTTTGAAACATTGCCTTACTGTTTTCCACAGCAGCTGCATCATGTTACATTCCTGCCAACAGTGTACACGGGTTCCAATTTCTCTACATCCTTAACATCCTAGTGGATGTGAGATGGTTGGTATTTAATTGTGATTTTGATTTACATCTTCCTAATGATTAGTGATGTTGAGCATCTTTTTATATGCTTTTTGGCCATTCATAGATCTTCTTTGGAAAAATGTTTTATTTCAGTCCTTTGCTTAATGTTTATTTGGGTTGTTTGTTGTTTTATTGTTAAGTTGTAGGAGTTCTTGATACATTCTGGATATTAACCCCTTAACAGACTACATAATTTGCCAGTATTTTCTCCTCCATAGTTTCCTTCTCACTCTAATTGTGTCTTTTGACGCACAAAAGTTTTAAATTTTGAGTATTCCAATTTATCTATTTTTATTTTGTTGCCTGTGCTTTTAGGGTCATATACAAGAAATCATTGCCAACTCCAATGTCAAGAAGCTTTCCCCTATATTTTGTAAGAGTTTCAAAGTTTAGCTCTTATGTTTGTCTTTGATTCATTTTGAGTATTTTGAGTTTTTTTTGTTTGTTTGTTTATGGTGTAAAGTAAGAAGAGTTCAACTTCATTCTTTTGCATGTGGACATCTGGTTTTCCCAACACCATTTGTTGAACAAACTGTCATTTCCTCATTGAATGGTTTTAGCAACCTTGTTGAAAATCATATGAATATATATGTAAGGGTTTTACTTCTGGGCTTGCCAAATCTTTTGATATTTCAAAACAAACCAGATTCAGAATTTCATGTATAATAGTATTTTAAAGTATAGGAATGTAAATGTAAAAAAATAAAAATTAAAGGACTACAGAGCTAAAACAAACAAAACAAATATACAAACATACATGGGCCATTTTTGAGTCCATTGGGCATTAGCTTGTTGCTTTTATTCTGAAGAGAACAGAGATAGATGGATATATGCATGCATACAAGAAAATGTTCTTCTTTACTGCATTTACAGTTAAGCTTTTTTTTTTTTTTTGGCAGGGTTTCTTTTGCCTAGGCTGAGCGCAGTGGTGTGATCTCAGCTCACTGCAACCTCCACCTCCCAGGTTCAAGCAATTCTTTTGCCCCAGTCTCCCATGTAGCTGGGATTATAGGCGCACGCCACCACGTCCAGCTAATTTCTGAATTTTTAGTGGAGATGGGGTTTCGCCATGTTGGCCAGGCTGGTCTCGAACTGCTGACCACAGGTGATCCACCGCCCCCCTGGCCCCCGGCCTCCCAGAGTGCTAGGATTACAGGTGTGAGCCACCGCACCTGGCCTAATGAAGCAAACTTTTGTAGAGAAGTATTAGTCTGGAAAAATAGGTCATTTTAGTTTTGCTAGGGGGGTGAAGTAAGAAGTAAAGTGGGATTCTGAAACCATTTTCCCTTTGCAAGGGTCGGCAGCTTTGCCCATGGAATGTTAGCCATGTATCTCTCCAAAAGCTCAATTTCTCCGAGGCTATAAAGATGGAAAAAGAGAGAAGGAAGCTAGCATTTGTTCAGTGACAAATCTATGTCAAGTGCTTTACAAATTTTAGCTTATTGTCTTACAAAAATTTCCCTCTAGATTGGCTTTTATTATTCCCTTTAAAAAAAACCCCAAATGCTTAAAGTTAAGAAGAGGTGGGGAGTTTATTTTAGGTTACAGTGAATGGCAGAACCAGAATTCGGATAGTTCAGCCATCCTCCAAAATTTGCATGATCCATCGAGATACTACGTTGTCTTTAAATAAAAGTTTGCCAGTGACTGAGATGGGAAGCCAGGTGGCTGAGTGCAGAAGAAGAGATCATGCTTCTTCATTAGTTCTTTTAAAATAATCAACTAGATTTAAAGTAAATAAAGATAAAGTCAGGGCCATGCACGGTGGCTCATGCTTGTAATCCTAACACTTTGGGAGGCCAAGGTGGGAGGATTTCTTAAGCCCAGGAGTTCAAGACCAGCCTGGGCAACATAGCAAGACCCTATCTCTACAAAAAATACAAAAATTAGCCAGGCATGGTGGAGCATGCCTGTAGTCCTAGTTACTCAGGAGGCTGAGGTGGGAGGATTGCCTGAACCCAGAAGCCCGAGGCTGCAGTGAGCTGGGAGCACGCCACTGCATTCCAGCCTGGGCAACAAAGCAAGACTCTTCTTCTTAAAAAATAAAAATAAAAAATAAGTAAAAAGAAATAGAACCTTCCTGGCTTTGCACTGTGTTGCTACCTTAATATAAGCCCCAAATCCATCAATTTATGCAAGTGTTTGCACCCTATAATTAGATTTTTTCCTTTTAACTAAGTTCCTAAAGTGTGGGCACTTAGTAATTGATGACAGTTATTATTCTGCATCATAATAATGAAAAATTTGAAAAACCATAATTACTGAAAGCAGTGGTTTTTCAACTACCACCTTTTGGGAATATGTGTGTGTTTCTGAATGCTTATATAGGAAGCTTTTAAACTTGCAAGTCCCTTCTTATGTCAACAAGCCACATGTGCTTCTTTGAGGATACCAAAAGCAGGGCATAGCCCACGGAATCACAGAATCTGAGCCAGAAAGGACCCCGGATAGCTCAGTTCTCAGATTTTCCTCATGGTGAAACCAAGGTTAAGTGTGTTCTTCATGTCCAGAGCCAAGACTAGAAGTGAGCTCTCTTCAATCTTAGTGCAAGACTTTCTCTGACGCATCTTTCTTTATTTGCTAGATGCTGCTCTGCAGCTAATGCAAGAGGCCCCAAAATTCATAATGGCATCGAATGGTATCTGTAGACTAAATATTCTACAAGTCTGTGTTTCTTCTTCCTAAAATATATGTAGATGTTACTGTGATTTTTAGTGTTCATTGAACAATTCAGCAACTTGCTGAGCACTTACATGAACAGGGACTGTGCAAATTGCTCCACATACAGTAATGAGCTTAATGACAAAGCCAACACCTTCATGAAGTTTATATTCTGATGAAATGAGACTGACAATAGATGGTTAAACAAGCAAAGCTAAAGCATTACAGTTGGCAAAACATTCTATGAAGATACATAAAACAGGGTGAGGTTAAAAAGTGCAGGCAAGTGAGGTTTGCTCTTTTTTATTGACAGGTTCAGCAGAGGGCTCACTTAGCTGAAAGGGTAATGTCTGAGCAGAGACTTGCAGGAAAAGAGGGACCCAGCCATCGGGATGTGTCTTGGGAAGGGGAATTAAAGGAAAAGGAAGACCTTGGATGTCAGTTTGCCTGGACTGAAGTGAAAAAGAGAATTATATATATCATAGACTACATATGATAAGTCTATGTGTTGAGGAAGTTAAAATTTATATGAAAATTCTAATTCTTAGGAAAAACATCTCCTAATCAATGTTAAAATTTTGATCTACAGCTTCTGATCTGCTCCAATATTATATATTGAGGACATTATAATTTATATGGAAATATTAATTCTTAGGAAAAACATCTCCTAGTCAATGTTAAAAATTTGGTCTGTCTTTGGCTCCGACCTCCAATCCTGTCATCAACCAAAGCATTTTTATCTTCCTTCTGTTATAGAAGCTTCAGAATAGCAGGGATCTTGCCTATTCTGTTCATTGTTTTATCCCCTCTGCCTAGAAGCATTGTCAGTGCCTAATAAGATGTTGAAAATACCTGTTGATATAACATAAAATGCAGATAGCCCCATACATTTATTGCAATAAGCTTTTTTCCCAAATAATGTGTCCATACACTTTAAATATTGAAAAGTGCTATTGTAAAGAAAGAGATGAGCTATAGAATCTTATGATCTAGAGAAATAGTATTAATAACAGACTATTTCCTAGGGTTTTTGTGAGACATAGATATGGTAGTAATACAAACTGAACACCTCATATAGGGTTGGCAGATATAAAGTGCTCAGTAATGATTCCTAATGGCTACATTCCTCTTGCTCACCAGCTGTTTCTCTTTACAGATTCTGCTTTTGGAATGCATCTCTGATATGAGCAAGTAAACATTGAGCAGAGAAATATGAACAATTGTTCAGTCTTCTAAAATTCCAACCACTTTCATGATCTATTGAAAACAGAATTGGATAAAATTGTGCACAGCCACCTTATTCTAGGGTCCTGGCATGAACTTGAGCCCTGTTCCTCCTTCTGTCACAATATGTCAGAAATCCTGTGGAGACTTTCCCTCTATAGATCTTTCAATAACTGACAGTTCAAAGATGAGTCAAATAATTAAGACAAGTCTATTTGACATAATCAAGAAACATTGCTTTGGGAGCTGGGGAAAAGATAGTATAGCTGCCCTCTTACATAGCAAGCCTGTTGAATTACAAATGAATGAACCAATGGTAAAGAGAGAATTCAGAACTTGATGCTAAGTGCCTGGTCCACACTGGGCATTTTGCTAGATGCTGTGAGAAATGTGGTAGTGAAATAGGATGTTGGAATCAAGTGGACAGAAGAGACAGTTACTAACAATGAAAGAAGTGTGTGTGGGGACAGAATGAATGATGAGGAGGCTGAAAATGGATTGGAATGGCTGAGGGAATTAGGGGAGGTTCAGTGAGGAGCTGGCATATTAAGTGTGTCTAGAGGAATGAGGAGAATTTTGTAAGAGGAATTCTAGCAAATGCAGCACTGTGGTCTGCAGGTTAAGAGTTAAATCTGGGGCACCAGTAAACTTTAGCTCTAAATGGAGTCTACCACATTCTTAGACGTCTGACCTCTTAAGTTTCAGCTTTCTTGTCTGTGCAATGGAGTGGGGTTGGAAAACAGGCTTGGCATAAAGATTAAATGAGATGATCCACATCAGGGACTTGCACAGGCTTCAGACCTGGAAAGGACTCAATAAATATTAGCTACTATTGTTATTATTATTATTTTCCATTTTAACCAGATGCCAATTTTTGTGCAATGGCGTAAGACCAGAGAAGCCAGGCAGAACTCAGATGACAAAGAGCCCATTCTGGATTTGAGTGTGTAGTTAAATTCTGCCCAGTAGGGTACAGAGGAAGGAACACCCTCATGTTGAGTGCTCACACGGCTCCAGGTGCTGCAGGTTTTGGAAGGAACAAATGCAGCCCTACCTTCTAGGTACTTAGCTTAGTGAGATTCAGGCAACAACCCACATCATTCTGAATGCAAGAAAGACTGTGATTAGGTTCTCTAAAAGGGGTGCAAAGATATCACGAGAGCATAAGTGGGAATCATCAATTTCACTTAAAATACTAAGAAGAGGTGACATTAAAATGCATCTTTAAAAAAGAGCTATTAAAAAATGAGTCCAAACCTGTTTCTGATTCTAGAAGTGCCATCAGTTTCCTGGCTGTGACATCTGGGTGAATTGCTAACCTCCCTAAGCCTCAGCTTTCTTATCTATTAAACAGGGATAATATAATACCTATTGCTTAGAGCTGTTGTGGGGTTTATGGAAGATAATCCATGTAAAGGGGCTTACCCAGGACTATGCCAGGAACTGGTTCAATAAATCACTGCTATATATTAGTATTATTTCAAGACTGTTTTATAGAATACAAAGCACTTTCTTACAGATTATCTCGTTTGATCCTTAAAACATCCTTGTAACATTGGCAAGATGAACAACTATCATTCTGCTTTAACTGGCGAGGAAACTGAAGTTTGAAGAGATAAGTTTATCAAATCACAAACAACCGGTATGGGTGCTAGTAAGGGCTCAATGCCAAATCCAATACCCTGAACACATCTCCCCTCATTTTTCTCTGGTGAACGCCCTCAGAAGATGTAATTGTTATATTGGTTTTAAAGCTATGGTTTCTTTTTTTTTTTTAAATCAGAATCAAATTGTTTTATTGTTATTGGGATGTGGTCATTTCTTCAGTCAAATCTGCTTATGGAAGTAGGTAGGATCAGATTAAAATCTAAATAAATTGAATTTGCAATAATTATGTGGAAAATCATAGCTGAAAACAATTTAGAAGATTGACTTGGTTCACTACAGCAGTATTCACATTAGCTAAAACATGGAAGCAATGCAAGTACTGATCGACAGATGAAGGGACAAGCAAAATGTGGTGTATACTTACAAGGGAATATTACTTAGCCTTAAAACAGAAGACAATTCTGACACATGCTACAACATGAATAAAGCTATGGTTTCTTTATAACTTCAGTGCTTCTTTCATTCAAATGAAACCTCATGGAAACCCCTAACTTAGGCAATAGTAAATAGAACTGCTCTGTTGAAAGACTGAAGACTGTAAGATTCTCTCCTTTCCTTTTCCCCAATGGCTCCATAGAACCCAACTTGAGAAAATAAAAAAAGAAATAAACAGACTTTAAGAAACAGACTTAAAGGAAAGTTCTGGATTTGGAGTGTGGAGAACAGCACAGGCAAGGGCTTTGTGGCCTGTAAGTTCATGGTCTTTTCACAAGCGCTCAAAGAGTCTGATGCTTCATTCTTGGCCGGATGAGCTTGCACAAGGCAGTGTGGTTGTCTGGAAGTCTAGTGGCCTGAGCCTTATAGAGTCAGAGTGCATGATGTTTCCTAGCTGTGGGACCCTGGGCATGCTTCTTTTTTTTTTTGTTTTAAAGATGGCGTTTCACTGTCGCCCAGTTTGTAGTGCAGTGGTGTGATCTTGGCTCATTGCAGTCTCACCTCCCAGGTTCAAGGGATTCTCCTGCCTCAGCCTCCCAAGTAGCTGGGACTACAGGCATGTGCCACTGCCCCCGGCTAATTTTTTTGTATTTTTAGTAGAGAAGGGGTTTCATCATGTTGGCCAGGCTGGTCTTCAAGTCCTGACCTCAGGTGATCCACTTGCCTCAGCCTCCCAAAGTGCTAGGATTATAGGCGTGAGCCACTGCATTTGGCCTTGCTTCTTAAATTCTCTCTGGCTCATCCTCTCATTCACAGTATGCAAGTAAAAATAACATTGACCTCATGGGTTATTGTGAGAGGTAAATTTGATAATAAACATAGCATTTTGAAATATGCTTGCCATATAGTAAGTGCTCAAGAATCATTTATTGCAAATACTTTCACCTTTTAGGGCCTCTCATTTCTGCAGAATAAGAATAATAATTTGTCAAGCGAGTTTTTGTCAGACTTAAATGGGGTAATGTATACAAAATGCCTGGCACAGTGCCTGGCACATGACTAACTAAATAGAAGTCATCATAATGAGAAGAATAGTGAAAATGATAATTATCTGGGTGACTTTACTCTTTTCTCTGAATCCTAACTTTCCCCATTAAAACACATCCTGTCTTGTGTTCCCAGTTTTCTCTTCTCTCCACTGCCCCTGCTCACACATGAAGGATCTTTGCTGTTTCTGACGTCAGTCCCTGGACCCTTTCCACAGGAAAGGCTCATGTCCTCCAATTACACCAATACCATTGACCCAGGCCCTTTGGCAATCCTGGCGCTTTCCATATTAATTTGACATCTGCACTTCACCTTGAAAATATGCTAATTGCAGCAGGGATCTGAAGACTGTATGAAACACGGGTTTGCAAGAGTCTATGGTGTGCTAGCGATAATTGCAAATTTAAATCCCTTTGAGAAGATGTACAAAAACCTCTGACCACTCCCATCAGCCCAGAAGAAATTAGAATCTCTGAAATCAAGTGAAATGAACCAAGTGAAAGGAGAAAATATCATTTCTAAAGAAAAAAGCTCTGAACTTTATTATTTAAAATCTCCCTAAAAACGTTTGATTCAGAAACAGTGATTTTTAGCCCATTCATTTACATTAGGCAATTAATTTTTCAGAATTAGTATTCTGAAAAAAAAAATGGATCCAATCTTATTTTACAGAGACAAGTTTAATTTAAAATATAAGTAAATAAAAAGGAGAATTGTAGGCAAAAGTTCATTGTGTTTTATTATCATCAAAGGAACACTAATTTAAACTAAGCTGGCAGTGCCATTGAATAAGAAAAAATATAATCTTAAATTTGAAGAACAACTTTATTGAGGTATTTTTTATGTATCATAAAATTCTCCTATTTCACGAGTGCAACTCAATGAGTTTTAGTAAATTTACTGAGTAGTACAACCATCAACTTAAATCAGTTTTAGAGCATTTTCACTCCCCTAACAAGATCATGTTTATTTACAATTAATCCTCATTTCTACCCCCGGTCTCTGGCAACCACTAATTTACTTTCTGTCTCTATAAATTTGGCCTTTATGGACATTTCATGTAAATGGGATCCTGTAATATGTGGCCTCTTGTGTGTGGCTTCTTTGACTTGGCATAATGTTTTTGAGCTTCGTTCATAATGTACTATGTGTCAGTAGTTCCTTTTTATTGCTGGATAGTGTTTCATTGTATCGATAGACCATGTTTTGCCTATCCATATGCCAGCTGATGGCATTTAGGTTGTTCCCAGTTTTTGTGTATTGTGATGTAATCTTATTTTTACAAGACCAAATGTTTTACAGTCTGGTCCTCTGTTGGCTCTTCTCTCCTGAGCCTAAACAACATGGGAAGTTATGGAACAGAGCAGAAGGCAGCACCTATTACAACCCATGGCTTCCGAAGTGTCTATCTTCCTCAGCTTTCTTTGTTCCACTCTGTTTAATATACTACATCAGAAGAAGAGCAGCATTTTCGAAGCCTAGTTCAGGTCCGTAACTATAAGGAACCACAGATGATTTTAATGGACAATGGGGAAGGCAGAGTGCTGAATGTTCTGTGGTGCAGGTCAAATCCCCCACCCACATTTTGCAAAACTTCCTCTGTCAAAATTTTCTTCTCATCCCAATTGAGGCCATATGTTGAAAGTAAGTGGGTGAGGAACCCCCCAGCTGAGATTATTCATTTTGTCTATTCTTGCCCACATTTTAAATATAAATGTGAACCTATCATGAAAGTGCCAAAAGCTCAGTTGGTTGTACTTTCATGGTTTACGCTTTGCTGCAGCAACATTATTCATCTTGCCCAGGATGGCATAAGAGAGAGTATTTAAAACCCCAAATATCTCCAAAGGATCTCAGGCAATGAAATGATAAAGAGATAGAGGTAGAGAGAGAGAAGCAAATAGAAAATAGGAATGAATTCAGCTGTAGATATTTTCAATTGCATGGTCTGCATTTGATAGAATCCATTTACTTCTGAGCAGCCAACATTAGCCAAGTGCCTATTACATGTAGAATGCAGAATCCTCAACCATTAGCTGGGGGTGCAAAGATAAAAATGTTCATCCATTCGATTGCTAACAATATTTATTGAGTAACAATTTTGTTCAATGCACTCTAAGTACTAGGCATTTAAAAGTGCGAACCAACTTGGTGCTTGTCCTTGTGGACCTAGCAGCCAACTGGGGAGCAAGATAAAGAGTCAATAAAGAAATATACAAAAGAACTACATAGCGATAAATGCTATGAAGAGATAAGAAACCAGGATATTGAGGAGGAGGGTAAGGAGAGGGTGACCTCTGAGAGGGTGACATTTAAGCTGAGTTCTAAAGGAAGGGAGGAAATAGAGTGAGAGAAAGAACATTCCAGGCAGAATCAACAACAAGGACAAGGGACCCTGGAGGAAAGGGACACAGCATCGTTCTTACCCTCAAGGATCTCACATGCTCCTAGGGAAGATGGACAAAGTAGTATGTGAAAAAAAAAAACAACATACATGGGTTAGGTACTGTGTGGACGAGAAGAAGTAGCTCAGAATGATCTTTTGTGGGTCATAGGAAAATAAGAGTTTAATGGCTGAACTGATGAATGAATAAGTTACTGAATGGACAGATGGACAGGTGACTGAGAGACTGACAACACAAGGATGCATAAATTGAAAGAAGCCTTTTTGATAGATGGAGAGAGAATGATTTATTTATACTCCAAGGATAGGATTGTGTAAGAGAGAAGGCATATAGGATGGATGGGAAGGAAGGGAGAGAGAGTTGAAAGTATTTTCCAGTCTTATGCTTGTTTCCCCCTTAGGGGCTAGCTCTGAGTGGCTTCTTGCATTCTAATTTGAAGAACCCTTCTCTACACAATTCAGGCATGAAATGAGAGCATCTTCCACCTCTGTGACAGCTGTCTGGCGAGCAAAGGAAAATTAATTAACTGGCACGAATGGCCTGCAGGTCAGATTTTCCACATAAATGACGCATAAAACAGTTGTATCTTTTAAGATTGGATTCATTTTGAGAGAGTAGGGGAGGCAGAATATATGAACCCAGAGTAATTCAATGAAAATGATCTTTATCTGCAAAGCCACTTATACCTGAATTCACACATACGACACACAAATATGTTTGTTGACCTTTTTTTCTTTCTTAGCTTTTGAGCAAAGGCCTTGTCTTAGAAGATTAACAAGAGAGGCAGTAGACATTATGTCCAGTGCTGCTGGATTGCACCGCTCTGGGTTGCAACATCCTTCTGTGTTACGCCACATGGCAGTCCTGACAACTGTATACATTATGTGATAGCCTCCGTGGGCCAAGGCCAAATAGACTATCAGTATCAAAAATCATTCGAACCATTCACAGTTGGCCAATTTCCAACCTGATGGATTCTCTACATATCTAGAGAATAAACAAGGGTGGTCCTTGGAAACCTGAACTTTTTGATTTCCCTTCAGAATTATTTGCTGTCATTCCAAGAGGAAATGAATATATTCCATCAATACAGGAACCCCAGAGTGCAAATGCAATTTCCCACAGCACAAGCAACAACTCCAGAAAAGGCTCTTAAGCTTCCCACTCATGGCCAGTAAAATTCTTTTGTCTGATAGCATTAATAAAAATGACACATGGAGCATACGCTCAAGTTGCAAAATGGGACATTTCTGGCTCTTACTTTGTTTAAATTATTCTCTTATTATATTTTATTCTTTCAGATCAAAATGAAATTAACATACATGGAGGCCACTGCATAGTGGTTACCATAACAGGCCACAGCCCCAAATTACTTCATTTTGCTCTCTGTAAGCAGAGAGCAATTGTTCTCCAACAGGCAGAGATTTCTGGGTGGACTGTGCTGATGCCCAGTCCTGAGATAAAAGAAGGGATAGAGGTGGGAAGTGGAGTCAGAGCATGCAGATTAAGCTTGACTCCTTTGCATGGCTATTGCCTTCTAAACCTTATTTTTTCTTTCTCTTCAGTTTCACCCACCTCACAATGACTTCTGATTTGTTTTCAAAGCACAGGATCTCTTCTTGTGCAAAGCACTCTTGTACCCTTCCTTCCCTGCCCTAGGTACCTGCTGGGGTCTTTCTTCCTCTTTAGCATTTTGCACTTACTATCATTGCATATGAAAAATTTATATAAATTGAAATTATTTTGTTAATCTCTCATTTGGGCTCTGTGATTCACAAAAATAGGGGCTGATTGTGAAACCACCTTTGCAAAAACTGTAACAGTGAGAAAATTATGGCAATGAAGGAGATCTGATCTGGCCAACTCTCATGTTGCCTTTGGCCTTCAAGCTGCCCTTAATGATTCCTGGGCTTAGGCCAAGCTAACTTTGGGAGACATTTAGTTTATAGTTTAAATGTTAATAGCCCTTCTCCCAAACTCAACCGCCTTTAGTAAAGCTAGTGAGAGACCACCAGGCTAGGATGGTAGACGAGCCTGAATTATACTGAAGTATGGACATAAATCATCACCAGCCATTATTCTGGAGGTCACAAGATAATGCAACTCCCTCAATTACTCCTGCAGGTAACATCACAATTGTAGAACCTAAGATTGCCCTTTTGAGATATCTTTTCAGGTTTTTGCATGTCTGATGACCAGTGGCTCCACCTGGAACACCAACCACTCCTGTGGTCACCCACCCAGAAGGAACTCAGTGCCCAAGAGAACCATTTCCCACACCCCTATGATTGCACCCCCAGCCAATCAGCAGCAAGCACTCATTGCCTAGCAATTCCCACCCCTTACTCCCAAACTACCTTTGAAAAACCCCTAACCTCTGAGCCTTTGATGAGATTGATGGGAGTAATAACTTTGTCTCCTATGTGGTGTGGCCAGCGTCTTGTCAATCAAACTCTTTATTTACTGCAATGCCATAGTCTCCATGAATTGATTTTGTTTGTGCAGTGGGCAGGAAGAACCCGCTGGGTAGTTACAATTGTGCAGATTGTTTTCTCCTGTTATTCCTATCCATATTGTAGCCACTTAGAAAATGAATAAATATGTAGTAACACCCAGAAATTTGTCCCCATTCTAGCAATTTTCACTGAATCTAAACTTTTTTCTCCATCTTTATTTCTACTTAGTCTACACTAATTTTAACATGTTTCTGGTATTTCTTCAACTGATTTCCTAGAAAAATTAATTTTAATTTTAGTTGAGATTCAGGGGCATATGTGCATGTTTGTTATATAGGTAATTGTATATTGGTGGGATTGGGCTTCTAATGTACCCATTATGCAAATAGCGAGGATTGTACCCAATAGGTAATTTTTCAGTTCTCCCACCTGTTCCCCTTTTGAAGTCCCCAGTATCTATTATTTTTGTCTTCATATCCATGTTTACCTATTGTTTAGCTCCCGCTGGTAAGTGAGAACATGTTTTTTTTTCTCCCAACCCCGAGTTAGTTCATTTAAGATAATGGCCTCCAGCACCATCCACGTTGCTGCAAAGGACATGATTTCTTTCTCTTTTATGGCTGTGTAGTATTCCATTATGTATGTATACCACATTTTCCTGGGAAAAATTTTTTCAGGTACTTTTAGGTAGAAACTCTGTGACCTTTGCCTGGATTCCTGTAGCAGCCAGCCTTTACTCTTAGGGTAAATGTAGCTTTCTCTCCATGTATCCTCTAAAATGCCTGCAGATTAATATTTCTAAAACCGTAATCCTTACCCTGCTTCACACAAAATCAAAACCAACCAAACAAAACTTTTAATTTATTTCTGTTGCCTTAAGAGAAAACTTGGGCTGGGTGTGGTGGCTCATGCTTATAATCCCAGCACTTTGGGAGGCCGAGGCAGGCGGATCGCTTAAGTCCAGGAGTTTGAGACCATGAGACCAGCCTGGGCAACATGGTGAATCCCCGTCTCTACTAAAAATACAAAAATTAGCTGGGCATGGTGGCAGGCGCCTGTAGTCCCAGCTACTTGTGGGGCTGAGGTGGGAGAATTGCTTGAACCCAGGAAGTCAAGTCTGCAGCGAGCTGAGATCATGCCACTGCACTCCAGCCTGTGTGCCAGAGTGGGATCCTGTCTCAAAAGGAAAAAAAAAAGAGAGAGAAAACTTAAGCTCCATAGATAGGTAGTATGGGTATTGGGTTAGAATCCCAGTGCCATCCTAACTAGTTCCATAAATTTTCAGCTGTATGAGCCTTGGATAAGCAATTTAGTTTATCCAAATCTCAGTTTATCCATCTGAAAAATGGGGATAATAATAGTAGCTGTCTTTCAGATCAAGTGTGATAAAGCATGAAACGTGTAGAACAGGGGGTATGGCTTTTAACTATAATAAATGTTGTGGGTAGTGACTATCTGGGGCTGGTGTCGTGTACATGGTGAAAAGAAATTACCAAGTCATAGGTAAAGAAAGGCAGATTTATTAGAGAAAGTAGGAAAATACATTGTATTTGACAATAGGCAAGTCAGCAAGAGAGGAGCTGACTGCAAGGAGAAAAAGGCTTGCTGGGGATTTTATAGGACGGTGCTTGTGCTGTGTGCTGAAGGGGGCTTTGAGCAGTACTGATAATGCCAAGGTTGCAGTGAACTCACTTGCATTTTTCTATCAGCCAAGGTGTCTGGTGATAGCTGGGTACAGGAAGATTGTCAGTTATTTGCGCAGGAGGGCTATGTGTCCTGGACCATGAAGAAAGGCAGACTTACTACTTATCTGCTTCTTTTTTTTTTGGCTTTCCCTTGGTCCTGCCAGCCCAACTCCTTTTCCCTAATTAGGACCCCACAATTAATATGTAATCCTTCATTTCATCGTTTATTGTTTCTTTTCTTTCTACCCCCATTTCTTCTTACTCTGTTCCTACTTTCCCCTCCTCTTTAAATTCATTCATTCACTTATTCTTTCATTCAACACCAGCAGTTACAGGATTAGTATATCATAGACTTTTCCATGATGAAGAACTTTGAAAACGTTTCTCTGTAGAAATTCTACAGAAAACTGTTAGGCGGGATCTAAAATTTGTGCTCTTGCTAATGACTGTGGTACCTGTGCAGAAAAACCTTATAAACACTGGTAGGATTACAGGATCAGAAAGGACAGCAGGTCGCCCTCAGATATCAGAAAAGAGATTGCTGGAAACAAATCTATGGTCTCACTCCTTGGAGAGCATGCTCTGATTTCAAAGGACCAAAGCTTTGGTATGATGAGTTAGCATTATAGCCTTGTCATTTCTGCCTTCCTTTTGTGAGTTCATTCCCAAACTCAGAATGAGCCATTTCATGCAAATGATTTTGCTTCCAGGTTTGGGGGCTCCATAAGTTTCCATTGTTTTATGGAAAACAATAAATTTTATTCATTTCTTCTGTTATTTATTCAACAAAGTGTCATGTACCTATTGATTGCCCAGGACTAGGGGTAAAGACAAATGAGATGTATTTGTCCCGAGGGGGACAAATGATGGGGGAAGGTTGTAATGTGGATGGAAAGCAGATGCTTCATGCTTTTTCTTTTAGCATATGTTTATGCAGTAGTTCCAAATCAGCTGACTCACTTGGGAAAAATATCACATTTATGTGCCAATGCAGCAATCTACCTACAATAACCTAAAATTATAAGTATTAATTATATGTTTGATCTCACATGAATCAAGAGGTATTAAGGTTTTTCTTTTCCTGATTTTCTTGGCAATGTCTCCTGACCTCACCCTGATTCTCTGTGTATGAACAGTGATATGGTTTGGATCTGTGTCCCCACCCAAATCTCGTGTCGAATTGTCATTCCTAGTGTCGGAGGTGGGGCCTGGTGGGAGGTGATTGGATCATGGGGACAGTTTCTCATGAATAGTTTAGCGCCATCCCCCTGGTGCTGTTCTTGTGAGAAAATTCTCACGAGATCTGGTTGTTTAAAAGTGCGTAGCATCTACACCCTCCTTCTCTTGCTCTTTCTCTAGCCCTGCGAAGTGCCCCTCCCCCTTTGCCTTCTGCCATGATTTTGAGTTTTCCTGAGGCCTCCCCAGAAGCTGAGCAGATGCCTCTATGCTATCTGTATAGCCTGCAGACCCGTGAGCCAATGAAACCTATTTTCTGTATAACGTACCCAGTCTCAGCTATTTCTTTATAGCAGTTTGAGAATGGACTAATACAGACATGATGCCAATTATAATAATAACAGGCCAGATAACAATGTAGGCGGAGCTGAGGCTCTAGAGCCAGAGAGACCTGGGTTCAAAACCAGTTCTAAACAATGCGTTGCTGGACAAGTTACTCAACCTATGCAGAAGATGTAGAATGGACCCATCTTAGGGCACTGTCAGTGCTGTGAAGAATAGGTGAGATAATGTATTTGAGGCATTCAGCCCAGAGTTATTGCATGGTAGTTACTCACTCAATGGAGTCTCTCCCATTTTTCCTCTCTTACAATGTAGTACTGTGCCATTCATGGCAGGGGCTTCACTTTAAGTTGCTGTGGCCTTTATCATGTGGTGCTGCTTCTGTCCCTGCTGGGGCAAGAATTGAATGCTCTCACATCTCACCAGGGTTTTCTTCACCTTGGGGGTCTGAGCCCTGTAGATTCACCCTGAGGCTGTGGATTCCTGGGAAAGGCATAAAGAGATAGCTAAAGGAAGGGATAGAGTGAAGCCTCCCCACTGTTCCTCTCACTGCAACTCCACACTCAGAGGCCCTGCCTTATGAGGAGCTCTGTGGAGATGGCTTCCTCAGACCCTTTCTAGCTGTATCCCTGGCACAGAGTGAATCAAATGTGGCATACATCTTCCAGGACACCTTTAGCCTGCTTGTGCAAAAAATGTTGAATCTTAATAGCATGCATCTTCTTGATGATTTTAAAAATTAAACGTATCTCCTCTTTTTGCTCCCATCTACTGTTTTACTTCATTAGGAATAAAGATGTGCATATCTCATGAAAGAAAAAAATGCAGACCATTATATTTAGAGTGTAATTTTAAGTGTGCACCTTGTGTGTGCATGTGCATATCAAGATGCATATTTTGGATGACTACCTGGGGTGTGGGGCTGATATATACATTTTTTTTTTTTTCTTTGAGGTGGAGTCTCACTGTGTCACCCAGGCTGGAGTGCAGTGGCGTGATCTTGGCTCACTGCAACCTCCACCCCCCAGGCTCAAGCGATCTTCCCACCTCAGCCTCCCAAGTAGCTGATAGCACAGATGCATACCACCATGCCTGGCTAAGTTTTTGTATTTTTGGTAGAGACAGGGTTTCACCATGTTGCCCAGGCTGGTCTCAAACTCCTGAGCTCAAGCGATCTGCCCGCCTTGGCCTCCCAAAGTGCTGGGATTACTGGCATGAGCCACTGCGCCCGGCCTGATATATATACCTCTGGTGTGACATATCTGGTCTGGCACACATGATGGTTGTGCCTTGGGTGTGTGGGTGTGGGAGGCATGTGTATGCAGGTGGCATGTCATGCAGTGCTCAGTGTGTTTGGTATGAATGTGTGGAGGGCATGTGTATGAATGTAATATTGTGAGTGTTAGTAATCCTGTGGTAGGCACTGTGTACATGCCTGTGTGGGTGACACTGCCATGCATGTGTAGTTGTAATAGACATGTGGTGCCATGAGTGTGAAAGGTATGTGTGCCCCTGCATCCACCTTTTTATCTGTTAGTTTTGCATCTTCCAGCTGCAATGCACAAATATGTTATAGCCTAAAATAATTCTTATAAACCAAAACATTTGGTCTCTGCAGCTCAGCTGTATGGAAATTGGCATCTACTCTGTGGCAGGGTGTTGATTGCTAAAGGTGAGGCTTTGGGGAGATTCCCAGCTATCTGGAGGCATGTTGAGATGACTCACCTGTGCAGATGGAAACACTCCTGAGATCTTAGTGTTTCACGTTGATCACAGCCCTTGCTCTGCTTTTTGACTTTTTTCACATCCTAATAATAGAACCATCAGGATCTTATTTAGTCTTTGTATTGACTCACAAGCCCCAACTTTCATAATTTGCAAAAAGAACTGGAGAGTTGGCAGCAATTAAAGATATGTTTTTTAAAGCCCCAAACAGCTTAGATGTATTTTCTCAGGAATAATGTCATGTTAATTTGAGTGTCTGCACTGCCCACAACTCCATACTTGGCCTACACTGAAGTGCTTTGTGCCTTAGCTGGGAGGGAATCAATGTGGGATTTTTTTTTTATTATTATTGTACTTTAAGTTCTGGGATACATGTGCAGAACATGCAGGTTTGCTACATAGGTATACACGTGCCGTGGTGGTTTGCTGCACTCATCAACCCGTCATCTACATTAGGTATTTCTCCTAATGCCATCCCTCCCCTATCCCCAACCCTGCTGACAGGCCCAGGTGTGGGATGTTCCCTGCCCTGTGTCTGTGTGTTCTCGTTGTTCAACTCCCACTTATGAGTGAGAACATATGGTGTTTTGTTTTCTGTTCCTGTGTTAGTTTGCTGAGAATGATGGTTTCCAGCTTCATCCATGTCCCTGCAAAGGACATGAACTCATCCCTTTTTTATGGCTGCATAGTATTCCATGGTGTATATATGCCACATTTTCTTTATCCAGTCTATCATTGATGGATATTTGGGTTGGTTCCAAGTCTTTGCTATTGTGAATAGTGCTGCAATAAACATATGTGTGCATGTGTCTTTATAGTAGAATGATTTATAATCCTCTGGATATATACCCAGTAATGGGATTGCTGGGTCAAATGGTATTTCTTGGTTCTAGATCTCTGAGGAATCACCACACTGTCTTCCACCATGGTTGAACTAATTTACACTCCCACCAACAGTGTAAGAGCATTCCTATTTCTCCACATCCTCTCCAGCATCTGTTGTTTCCTGACTTTTTAATGATCGCCATTCTAACTGGTATGAGATGGTATCTCATCGTGATTTTGATTTGCATTTCTCTAATGACCAGTGATAATGAGATTTTTTTCATATGCTTGTTGGCCGCATAAGTGTCTTGTTTTGAGAAGTGTCTGTTCATATCCTTCACCTACTTTTTGATGGAGTTTTATTTTTTTTCTTGTAAATTTATTTGAGTTCCTTGTAGATTCTGGATATTAGCCAGTTGTCAGATGGATAGATTGCCAAAATTTTCTCTCATTCTGTAGGTTGCCTGTTCATTCTGATGATAGTTTCTTTTGCTGTGCAGAAGCTCTTTAGTTTAATTAGATCCCATTTGTCTATTTTGGCTTTTGTTGCCATTGCTTTTGGTGTTTTAGTCATGCAGTCTTTGCCCATGCCTATGTCCTGAATAGTATTGCCTAGGTTTTCTTCTAGGATTTTTATGGTTTTAGGTCTTATGTTTAAGTCTTTAATCCATCTTGAGTTAATTTTTGTATGAGATAATTTTTGTATGAGTTAAATTTTGTAAAGGGGTCTACTTTTTGTTTTCTGCATATTGCTAGCCAGTTTTCCCAGCACCATTTATTAAATAGGGAATCCTTTCCCCATTGCTTGTTTTTGTCAGGTTTGTCAATGATCAGACGGTTGTAGATGTATGGCATTATTTCTGAGGCCTCTGTCGTGTTGCATTGGTCTATATACCTGTTTTGGTACCAGTACCATGCTGTTCTGATTACTGTAGCCTTATAGTATAGTTTGAAGTCAGGTAGTGTGATACCTCCAGCTTTGTTCTTTTTGCTTAGGATTGTCTTGGCTATATGGGGTCTTTTTTGGTTCCATATGAAATTTAAAGGAGTTTTTTCTAATTCTGTGAAGAAAGTCAATGGTAGCTTGATGGGGATAGCATTGAATCTGTAAATTACTTTGGGCAGTATAACCGTTTTCATGATATTGATTCTTCCTATCCATGAGCATGGAATGTTTTTCCATTTGTTTGTGTCTTTTATTTCCTTGAGCAGTGGTTTGTAGTTCTCCTTGAAGAGGTCCTTCACATCTCTTGTCAGTTGTATTCCTAGGTATTTTATTCTCTTTGTAGCATTTGTGAATGGGAGTTCACTCATGATTTGGATATTATTGGTATATAAGAATGCTTGTGATTTTCGCACATTGATTTTGTATCCTGAGACTTTGCTGAAGTTGTTTATCAGCTTAAGGAGATTTTGGGCTGAGGTGATGGGGTTTTCTAAGTATACAGTCATGCCATCTGCAAACAGAGACAATTTGACTTCCTCTCTTCCTATTTGAATATGCTTTATTTCTTTTTCTTGCTTGATTGCCCTGGCCAGAACTTCCAATACTATGTTGAATAGGAGTGGTGAGAGAGGGCATCCTTGTCTTGTGCCAGTTTTCAAAGGGAATGTTTCCAGCTTTTGCCCACTGGCTGGGGGTTTGTCATAAATAGTTCTTACTATTTTGAGATATGTTACATCACTACATAGTTTATTCAGAGTTTTTAGCATGAAGGGGTGTTGAATTTTATCGAAGGCCTTTTCTGCATCTATTGAGATACTTATGTGGTTTTTGTCATTGGTTCTCTTCATGTGATGGATTACATTTATTGATTTTTGTATGTTGAACCAGCCTTGCATCCCAGGGATGAAGCTGACTTGATCATGGTGGATAAGCTTTCTGATGTGCTGCTGGATTCAGTTTGCCAGTATTTTATGGAGGATTTTCGTATTGATGTTCATCAGTTATATTGGCCTGAATTTTTTTTGTTGTTGTGTCTCTGCCAGGTTTTGGTATCAGGATGATGCTGGCCTCATAAAATGAGTTAGGGAGGAGTCCGTCTTTTTCTATTGTTTGGAATAGTTTCAGAAGGAATGGTACCAGCTCCTCTTTGTACCTCTGGTAGAATTCGGCTGTGAATCCATCTGGTCCTGCGCATTTTTTTGGTTGGTAGGCTATTCATTACTTCCTCAATTTCAGAACTTGTTATTGATCTATTCAGGGATTTGACTTCTTCCTGGTTTAGTCTTGGGAAGGCTGTATGTGTCAAGGAATTTATCCATTTCTTCTAGATTTTCTAGTTTATTGGCATAGAGGTGTTTATAGTATTCTCTGATGGTAGTTTGTATTTCTGTGGGATCAGTGGTGATATCCCTTTATTATTTTTCATTGTGTCTACTTGATTCTTCTCTCTTTTCTTCTTTATTAGTCTTGCTAGCGGTCTACCTATTTTGTTAATCTTTTCAAAAAACCAGCTCCTAGATTCATTGATTTTTTGAAGGGTTTTTTTGTGTCTCTATCTTCTTCAGTTCTGCTCTGATGTTAGTTATTTCTTGTCTTCTGGTAGCTTTTGAATTTGTTTGCTTTTGCTTCTCTAGTTCTTTTAATTGTGATGTTAGGGTGTTGTGTTGATTTTAGATCTTTCCCGCTTTCTCCTGTGGGCATCTAGTACTATAAATTTCCCTCTAAACACTGCTTTAGCTGTGTCCCAGAGATTCTAGTACGTTGTGTCTTTGTTCTCATTGGTTTCAAAGAACTTCTTTATTTCTGCCTTAATTTCATTATTTACCCAGTAGTCATTCAGGGGCAGGTTGTTCAGTTTCCATATAGTTGTGCGGTTCTGAGTGAGTTTCTTAATCCTGAGTTCTAGTTTGATTGCACTGTGGTCTGAGAAACTGTTTGTTATGATTTCCATTCTTTTGCATTTGCCGAGGAGTGTTGTACTTCCAATTATGTGGTCAATTTTAGAATAAGTGCGATGTAGTGCTGAGAAGAATGTATATTCTGTTGATCTGAGGTGGGGAGTTCTGTAGATGTGTATTAGGTTCGCTTGGTCCATAGCTGAGTTCTAGTCCTGAATATCCTTGTTAATTTTCTGTCACATTGATCTAATATTGACAGTGGGGTGTTAAAGTCTTCCACTATTATTGTGTGGGAGCCTAAGTCTCTTTGTTGGTCTTTAAGAACTTGCTTTATGAATCTGGGTGCTCCTGTGTTGGGTGCTTATATATTTAGGATAGTTAGCTCTTTTTGTTGTGTTGATCTTTTTACCATTATGTAATGCTCTTTATAGGTTTTTATCTTTCTTGGTTTAAAGTCTGTTTTATCAGAGAGTAGGATTGCAACCACTGGTTTTTTTTGCTTTTGATTTGCTTGGTAAATCTTCCTCCATCCCTTTATTTTGAGCCTATGTGAGTCTTTGCACATGAGATGGGTCTCCTGAATACAGCACACTGATGGGTCTTGACTCTGTCTCATTTGCCAGTCTGTGTCTTTTTTTTTTTTTTTTTTTGATGAAGTCTGGCTCTTTTGCCCAGGCTGGAGTGCAGTGGCGCGATCTTGGCTCTCTGTAAGCTCCGCCTCCTGGGTTCACGCTATTCTCCTGCCTCAGCCTCCTGCGTAGCTGGGACTACAGGTGCCCACTACTGCACCTGGCTAATTTTTTGTATTTCTTTTGGGTAGAGATGGGGTTTCACCGTGTTAGCCAGGGTGGTCTCTATCTCCTGACCTTGTGATCCACCCACCTCAGCCTCCCAAAGTGCTAGGATTACAGGTGTGAGCCACTGCGCCTGGCCTAGTCTAATATTTAGCCCATTTACCTTTAAGGTTAATATAGTTATGTGTGAATTTGATCCAATCATTATGATGCTAGCTGGTTATTTTGCCCATTAGTTGATGCAGTTTCTTCACGGTGTCGATGGTCTTTACAATTTGGTATTTTTTTTTGCAGTGGCTGGTACTGGTTTTTTCCTTTCCATACTTAGTGCTTCCTTCAGGAGCTCTTGTAAGGCAGGCCTGGTGGTGACAAAATCTCTAAGCATTTGCTTGTCTGTAAAGGATTTTATTTCTCCTTCACTTATGAAGCTTAGTTTGGCTGGATATGAAATTCTGGGTTGAAAATTCTTTTAAGAATGTTGAATATTGGCCCGCACTCTCTTCTGACTGGTAAGGTTTCTGCAGAGAGATCTGCTGTTAGTCTGATGGGCTTCCCTTTGTGGGTAACCCGATCTTTCTCTCTGGCTGTGCTTAACATTTTTTCCTTCATTTCAGCCTTGTTGAATTTGACAGTTATGTGTCTTGGGGTTGCTATTCTCAAGGAGTGTCTTTGTGGTGGTCTCTGTATTTCCTGAATTTGAATGTTGGCTTGTCTTGCTAGGTTGGGGAAGTTCTTCTGGATAATATCCTGAAGAGGGTTTTCCAACTTTGTTCTATTCTCCCCCTCACTTTCAGGTACACCAATCAAACGTAGGTTTGGTCTCTTCACATAATCCCATATTTCTTGGAGGCTTTGTTCATTCCTTTTCATTCTTTTTTCTCTAATCTTGTCTTCACGCTTTATTTCATTAAGTTGATATTCAATTTCTGATATCCTTTCTTCCGCTTGATTGATTCAGCTATTGATACTTGTGTATGCTTCATGAAGTTCTCATGCTGTGTTTTTTCAGCTCCATCAGGTCATTTATGTTCTTCTCTAAACTGGTTATTCTAGTTAGCAATTCCTCTAACCTTTTTTCAAGGTTCTTAGCTTCCTTACATTGGGTTAGAACATGCTCCTTTAGCTCAGAGGAGTTTGTTATTACCCACCTTCTGAGGCCTACTTCTGTCAATTTGTCAAACTCATTCTCCATCCAGTTTTGTTCCTTTGCTGTCAAGGAGTTGTGATTTTTTGGAGGAGAAGAAGGCGTTCTCGTTTTTGGAATTTTCAGCATTTTTGCACTGTTTTTTCCTCATTTTCATGGATTTATCTACCTTTGGTCTTTGATTTGGTGGCATTCAGATGGGGTTTCTGTGTGGACATCCTTATTGTTGATGTTGATGCTGTTCCTTTCTGTTTGTTAATTTTCCTTCTGTCAGGCTTCTTTGCTGCAGGTCTGTTGGAATTTGCTGGAGGTCCACTCCAGACCCTGTTTACCTGGGTATCACCAGCAGAGGCTGCAGAACAGCAAAGATTGCTGCCTGTTCCTTCCTCTGGAAGCTTCGTCCCAGAGGGATACCGCCAGATGCCAGCTGGAGCTCTCTTCTATGAGGTGTCTGTCGACTCCTGCTGGGAGGTGTCTCCCAGTCAGGAGGCACAGGAGTCAGGGACCCACTTGAGGAGGCAGTCTGTCCTTAGTAGAGCTTGAGCACTGTGCTGGGAGTTCTGCTGCTCTCTTCAGAGCTGGCAGGCAGGAACATTTAAGTCTGCTGAAGCTGCGCCCACAGCTGCCTCTCCTGCAGGTGTTGTGTCCCAGGGAGATAGGAATTTTATCTATAAGCCCCTGACAGGAGCTGCTGCCTTTCAGAGATGCCCTGCCTGGAGAGGAGGAATCTAGAGAGGCAGTCTGGCTATAGCGGCTTTGCCGAGCTGTGGCAGTTTGAACTTCCTGGTGGCTGAGGGGAAAACCGCCTACTCAAGCCTCAGTAATGGTGGACGCCCCTCCTCCCACCAAGCTGGAGCATCCCATGTCAACTTCAGACTGCTCTCCTGGCAGCGAGAATTTCAAGCCAGTGGATTTTAGCTTGCTGGGCTGTGTGGGGGTGGGATCCACTGAGCTAGACCACTTAGCTCCCTGGCTTCAGCCCCCTTTCCAGGGGAGTGAATGGTTCTGTCTTGCTGGCATTCCAGGTGCCACTGGGGTATGAAAATAAACTCCTGCAGCTAGCTCGGTGTCTGGCCAAACAGCCGCCCAGTTTTGTACTTGAAACCCAGGGTCCTGGTTGCCTAGGCACCCAAGGGAATCTCCTAGTCCGCAGGTTGCGAAGACCATGAGAAAAGCATAGTATCTGGGCTGGAGTGCACAGTTTCTCACGGCACAGTCCCTCATGGCTTTCTTGTCTAGGGGAGGGAGTTCCCTGACCCCTTGCACTTATCAGGTGAGGCAATGCCCCACCCTGCTTCTGCTTGTCTTCTGTGAGCTGCACCCACTGTTTAACTAGTCCCAATGAGAAGAGCTGGCTACCTCAGTTGGAAATGGAGAAATCACCCGCCTTCTGCATTGATCTTGCTGGGAGCTGCAGACACCAGCTGTTGCTATTCGGCCATCTTGCCAGCCACCAATGTGGGATGTTTCTACAAATCCCCTTGAGGAGGCATTTTCCCACAACATCAGCACCATGCCCTACAGTGACTGTAGTGTATGTCCTGAGTGATACCTTTCCATAAACCTTTCTTAACCACATTGGGGCTGGGGGAGAAATCTGGTTCTTAGTTCCTGCAGCCTAATCATTGCACATGTGGCATCTAAACCCAGATTCATAATGAGGTGTGAGGTCTTCTCCATCAGACTGAGATATCTGAGGGCCAGACTTAGGGGCATCCATCTTCAGTTCCTAAGCACTGTGCATTCTTTACTGTAGAAGAATAAATGTTGGACTTAGGAAAGAAGAAAGGTAAAAAGGGAGGGCTTAAAAATAATGATAGCCATCACAATTATGCTTACTCAGGGCCAGTCCCTCTAAATGCTTCATGTTATTACCTCACTTAATTTATTTATTAACTCTATTGAGTAGGTTCCATCACTCACCCCAAGTTACAGATGAAGAAACAGAGGCATGGTAGGGCCAAATGACTTGCCTGGCATCACTCAACTTACTAATGAGGCAGGCTTTGAAGCCAGGAAGTCCACTCTAGATACCAACCTTTAATCATCCTAAATATTGCCTATCTAAGTTTTACATCCTGCCCCAACAGACGTATTGCTGCTTCTGTGACACAGGGAGAGGGGACTTCAAACTCCATCCATGTCATTTGCCTGAATACATTCTGCCCCCCGCCCATTTTTTTTTTTACTTTATATTAGTACATTTTTTTTTTTGGTGGCAAATACTACATGTCAGATTTAATCTTGCTTAAGATAAAAGGGAATGTATTGGCTTATAAATAGCGTAGTTCAAATATAGGTTAGACTTCATGCATGATGGAAGTAGGCAGGACTTCATAACGTTATTGGCAATCTGTCTTTTTCCATCTTCAAGTTCTGCTTTCTTCTGTGGGTAATTCATGGTTATGTGGATGTGGCACAGTGGAGCAAAAATAGCCACTAACAGCTCTAGGGATAAATGAGTGGAATTTAGCAATTCTAATGTAAAGTGGAATGACTTTCTTTTCCTTGATGATTCCTAAAGAAGTTCTAGAGACTAGTTTTCATTGGTTCAGCTTGGTTCATGCCCATCCTGAACCTATCACTGGCAGGGTTGATGGTGTGTCCTACTGGCAGGACCACCCCCTTCTGTGACCCATAGGAATGGCAAGGGAGGGAGCTCCTCTTAAACCACAGGGGCTGAGGATGGGGAAAGGATTTGCCCCATGGACACACTGGGCATGAGTATTAATATAGGTCCATCAGGGCGTCTCTCCTGATCTCTCTCCCTGACTTATCTCTTTCCATTAACCAACAGAAATGGTTGTGGATCTTCAGTTATTCAGGAATATGTAGATTTGCACTATTTCTAACCCTCTGGGCTCCAGGACATCATAGAGGAAAAAGCATTGTCATCAGATCCAGAGTTCTCATGTTATACCAGCCAATGTTTCCTCATAGTTAGAGTAGACCATGCTGGGCCAGAGATTGACAGATTCAATGACATCTTTGCCCTACAAACAAAGGCCTATTTGAATTTGAAATGAGGATTAGCATTATACCTGTGAATACAGTCAGAAGGACAAAGGAATCTGTAGGGTCAAAGTAGATGTGACTGTATTCACAAGAGGAGATGGTTCAGATTGTTTTTAAAAGAAATAAGTTACAACAGAAGAGTGAAGGAGCATTTATACACAATGCTGTATTTCCAGGCAATTATGGATCAAACAAAACTGCACAAAACTAACAGTATGTTGGAAACATCATTCTTCCTACTCTCACTTTCCATACATGTACCTGAGGGAAGGTCCTAAAATTCACATGTGACTATGTCATTCTCTGGCTGAATGATTTCTCATTCCCAAGAAGCTAAAATTCAAAGTCTTAGACATAACAAAAGAGCTAGGCTAAAACCTTTAGAGACTGTAAGCACTGAAAATATTATAGTACTTACTTCATATGTAATAAAAGATGAAAACTATGCTAAACTGAAAAAGTTATCATTTTTCCCATGGCGGCTACTTGTGGATTTTGTTTGTATTTGTAGTATCAAATTTTCTTTTTCCATCTTCTCTCTTGAGTGCCAGAGCATTTGCTGAGTCTCTGTGTAGTTTATCTATTATTACTTCCCTGCTTTTCAGTCTTAATGTGCATACTGATCACATGGGGATCTTGCTAAAATGCTGATTCTCATTCAGTAAGTCTAGGGTGGGGCCTGGGAAATTTTTATTTCTGACCGATGATCAGGGAGTCTTTCCAAGCCCAAAGTCCTGGAGATTCTTAATCACCAGGGGTCCAGGAATCTATATTTCACCAAACATTCTCAGCTGGGTTTGAAGATTAATCAAACATGAAAACCAATAAATGAAAGAATTCATTTTTTTTCGGTACCAGATGCAGCAACAAATAACCCCACAATCAAGTATCGTAACACAGGGAGTGTTGTTTCTTACTGTCAACTCACTGTGGGTCAGCAGGATCAGAAGAAAGGGGGAACTGCTCCATGAAGTTAGCCAGGGACCGGGCTCTCCTAATGGTTCTGGGGACCCCTAAACTGCGGCATCTCAGGGGTCTGATTAGGAAACGGAAAGAAAGAGTGTGTGCAGTGTCCCATGAAAGACCTTAGCAGTGACACGCTGGAGCTGGCTCTGCCGGCTTGTGAGAGCTAATTGCTAAATTTTTAGGAATTTTGTGAGCTGGTTTTTAAATATGACTGTTATGAAAAATTAAATTATATAAATCTATGAATAATAAATCACATTAAAAACAAAACATCATTTCCTAATTCTACTACTATATTTTACTATTATCTATGGTCTTGAGGTTATTTACATCTATTGTATCTGTAGAGCAGAAATACAATCATCCCTTGGTATCTGCGGGGCATTGGTTCCAGGACTCCCACAAATACCAAAATCCACAGATGCTCAAATCTCATATGTTAAATGGCATAGTATTTGCATATAACCTACACATATCCTCCTGTATGCTTTAAATTGTCTCATACAATGTAATACTATGTAAATTATTCTAGTGTATTGTTTTTTATTTGTATTTTTAAGTTCTTGTATTTTTATTTTTTGAGTTTTATTTATTTTTTTGAGACAGAGTCTTGCTCTGTTGCCCAGACTGGAGTGAAGTGGCGTGATCTTGGCTGACTGCAACCTATGCCTCCCAGGTTCAAACAATTGTCCTGCCTCAGCCTCCCAAGTAGCTGGGATTACAGGCGTGCGCCCTCATGCCTGGCTAATTTTTTGTATTTTTAGTAGAGATGGGATTTCACCATGTTGCCAAGGCTGGTCTGGAACTCCTGAGCTCAGGCAATCTGCCTGCCTTGGCCTCCCAAAGTGCTAGGATTACAGATGTGAGCCACCATGCCTGGCCTTTTTTGGCGTTTCAGATGTATGTGTGTGTGTGTGTGTGTGTGTGTGTGTGTGTGTGTGTGTGTTTGTGTGTGTGTGTGTGTATATATATATATTTGATTTTCAGTTGGTTGAATTTACGGATGTGGAACCCACGGATACAGAAGGTCAACTGCACTGCTTAATACATCTCTCCCAACTCCGCAGTCAGTGATGTTACACTGGTACCTTGAAATCAGCCATGGTGAAAGTATTTACATAATGGAAAATTAGCAAATGCTACACACATGACTCCTTCCAGCCCACTTCTGCCTCCCCAACAGCCAATACTGGTCTTAGGGGTCTAGGCCTGGAAGTGGCATATATAACTGTGACACATATTCAATTGGCCAAAACTCAGTCATATGTCTTCACTTTGATGTAGGCTCTGAGGAATCTAGTTTAGTAGTGTCGCAAGGGCTACAGACATTGGTAGGCATTTGCAGCCTTGTCACAAAAGGTAACTTAACCATTGAAATGACTACTTTCAAGGACATTGCTGTGAGCAACTTATGTAGGTGTATGTGAGGAGGTGGTATAGCTCAGAGGTAGAACATTGGACTGCAGATCAAGAAGTGTGTGTATATATAACTTATATAGGTGTGTGTGTACAATATATATGTAATATAGTGGTTATATTTGTGTATATATGTAATATGTATGTACATATACATATATTGGTGTGTGTGCATATATAGATACACACACATATATAGAGCCACTTATGAAGCTTCATAAAACTGTCATATAAAACTAGAATTGGGGGTACCCTATGAAGAAAGGCCCATGGTAATACTATGTTTTAATATGTGAATATTGTATTTCTATTTGTCATGTGCATTGCCAGCCTAAAATTCTCCTTCTCCTCAAGATCTGCAATTTTATATTGATCTTACATTTGTGAATCAGGGCATAGGATGTCAATGAAAACACCTGCTTAGAGGATAAACATATTTAAATACCAACCTTTTACTCTGATTGGTTTTGAAAGTTCTACTGATTAGATATGGGTATTTTAAATAATATCTAAAAAAAGCCATAAGAAATCAGTTATATAATTAATTCTCAACTCATTCATCAAAATGCTATAAATTCTCACATTGTAGTAACATATGTGGTCAAACTGACCTGGGTCTCAGATGGTCTTAGGTATGTAACAACATTTTAATATGGATTGGGTTTTTATGTTGTATTAACAATTTTAATTTTGTATTTGTTTATTATTTATCTTTGAAGCTTTTGGGTGATGTTGAGTTATAGTTTGGTCAGTACTAAAATGGATTATGCCTCTAGGAGTCTCCTTCTTTTTGAACGTCCAGCAGAAGAAGTGAACACAATGAATAATATGAAGTGGAAACAAAGCGCCTCTGCATTGCTGGTTGGACAAAGGCTCAGTGCTCATCAGAGCAGCATTTTGGGAAAGCAGGTTTGGAGCATATATCTTAGGTTTAAGGCTTATGCAAGACTGCCAGTTTCTCTGAATCCCAAATCTAGACCACAGGAACTTACTATAAACTCTGTGGGTTGATGCAATATATGGGGGAATGAAACAATGATGAAGAGACTCTGAGATGAGTCTCTTGGTCAATTTACCAACCCACTTACACTGAGGAAGGACATGAAAGATAAGCGTGAGGTACACCCATGTGAATTACTGTTCAGTGCAATAGTTATCCTGCCCATTAATAAACACAGCCCAATTTGTGTCCTAGAAATTGACAAAATATTTTAATAACCCCTTCTCCTTGTGAAGGAGCTGGGAGAGAAGTTGGGAGAGGATGTTTTACTCAGTCACCAAACCATTGTTTCAAAACTCAGTAGCTGAAGATTTGGAGAGAATTAAGATATTTCCTCTTTTTTTTGGTATTCATTAATTACTGTCTAACTGCTTTCCACATTAATCATCATATTGGTAAAATACATAAAAAAGAAAATTTTCTTAAAAAATGGAAACCTGTATTTTACCTCTTGTGGCAGCCATAAGACCGTACCTTACAGATCTCCAAATGTAATTGATATGTTTTGGCTGTGTCCCCACCCAAATCCCATCTTGAATTGTAGCTCCCATAATTCCCATGTGTCGTGGGAGGGACCAGTAGGAGGTAATTGAATCATGGGGGCAGGTCTTTCCCATGCTGTTCTCGTGATAGTGAATAAGACTCACAAGATCTGATGGTTTTATAAAGGGCAGTTCTCCTGCACAGGCTCTCTTGCCTATCGTCATGTAAGATGTGCCTTTGCTTCTCCTTTGCCTTCCGCCATGATTGTGAGGCCTCCCCAGCCATGTGGAACTGTGAGTCTAATGGACCTCTAACCTCTTTCCTTTATAAATTACCCAGTCTTGGGTATGTCTTTATCAGCAGTGTGAGAATGGACTAATACAGTAATTGACCAAGGGTACCAACTATTGTGCTTTGAAATCCATAGCAGCTCCTGTGAACAGAAGATGTTTCCCACCAGCTGCTCCCAGCCCATGAATGAGTGTGATAGGACACTAAGGCAGGCCCATTCCAGGAAGACATGGGACTCCTCTGATGATGACTTTGGCTTGAGGACTCCCCAGTAGCCTTGCCAAAACTTCATATGACAGGGCAGTCTAGGATGCCTCAACCCAATGTCCCCTCCCACTCTCCTTCATTTGGGATCAGATTGCATAGTGTGCTGATGGTTTTCCAAGGTTTTCTAGGTCTTTCCTCATTTTCTCATACAAAGATATTTTCCTTGATAACATCCTTGAATGTTTAGTCTTGGATTAACACATTCTTTTAGAGTGATAGTTTTTATGAAGAGTAACTTTAACCTGAGAATTTAAGAGGGACTTGCAAAAAAGTGATTTCCATAATTTTATTTAAAAATACATAGTTTATGATGCCTTTAAGAAAGACTAATAAAAATTGTCTAAATTTTCCTTGTGGTTTTGCCTTGTTATTTAGTTACAATTTTCCACATTAAGGAAGTTGTTTCACTCGAAATCTGTTAAGTTTAATGAGTTGCCTTCAAGGACTGTTTAGTTTAAGCTTTATTGGTTGAAAGTACATTTTCTCAGAGGCCATTTTTTCAAGAAATCATTGATTTGGAACAAACTGAACAATGGAATTTTCCACAGCTTACTTAGCCTACAGTGAAGTAGCTAAGACTTTACTAGGCATGGTCAATCTATCTCTTGGTCAATATCTATCTATCTATCTATCTACCTATCTATCTATCTGTTTATTATTTTAAAATATTGGTTGGTACAGTCTGGCAAATGTAGTATCTTTAGTTGGATTATCTTAATTTGGGATATGTTCAAGACTGAGTTGTTAAAGTAAATCTGAATTATTCCAAGGAAGAAGTTCATCTATCTATCTATCTATCTATCTATCTATCTATCTATCTATCTATCTATCTATCTATTATTTTAAAATACTGGTTGGTACAGTCTGGCAAATGTAGTATTTTTAGTTGGATTATCTTAATTTGGAATAATGTTCAAGGCTGAGTTGCTAAAGTAAATCTGAATTATTCCAAGGAAGAAGTTTATCTATCTATCTATCTATCTATCTATCTATCATCTATCTATCTATCTATCTATCTATCTATCTATCTATCTATCTATCTGTTAGTTTATTATTTTAAAATATTGGTTGGTGCAATCTGGCAAATGTACTATCTTTAGTTGGATTATCTTAATTTGGGATAATGTTCAAGACTGAGTTGCTAAAGTAAATCTGAATTATTCCAAGGAAGAAGTTCTATCTATCTATCTATCTATCTATCTATCTATCTATCTATCTATCTATCTACCTATCTATCTATCTATTATTTTAAAATACTGGTTGGTACAGTCTGGCAAATGTAGTATTTTTAGTTGGATTATCTTAATTTGGAATAATGTTCAAGGCTGAGTTGCTAAAGTAAATCTGAATTATTCCAAGGAAGAAGTTTATCCTATCTATCTATCTATCTATCTATCTATCTATCTATCTATCTGTCATCTATCTATCTATCTATCTATCTATCTATCTATCTATCTATCTGTTAGTTTATTATTTTAAAATATTGGTTGGTACAATCTGGCAAATGTAGTATCTTTAGTTGGATTATCTTAATTTGGGATAATGTTCAAGACTGAGTTGCTAAAGTAAATCTGAATTATTCCAAGGAAGAAGTGCATACGACAATGAGAGTGGGTGTTGCTGTGGTAAAATTCTTCCTGCGCAGAGTTGATTAATGGTGAATACATGCTTGGCTAAGAGTGTCCTGCTCTCAGGTGGTCTCTGTAGATATGCTTACCCAAGTTCTAATGAAGCTTGAAATTAACATGGCTCTGTCAGTTTAATTCCTGGTGTCTGCTGGAGTCCTTGCAACACTGTCTTGTCAATCCTAAGCAAGGGGCCAGTATGTTTCTAGCAATGTCTCTTGCTGCTGGGAGTTTTGTTAGAAGAAAAAGTAATGTCCATATATGTAGTTACATGTAATTTTCTTCTGCCTGGTATATTTATAGTGGCTGAGCAAAATTAATGTGTGCGTGTGTATTTGTGTGTGTGTGTGTATTTGTGTGTGTGTGTGTGTGTGTGCATATGATGATTCTTAGAGCAGATACATCTCAGTAAATACTAAGTTGTTGTTGTTGATGATGATGATAGTCTGTGCATAATATATAAGAGTTCATTAACCATATCTGCATGTGTTGTTTATTTCGATCCTAATTGTAACTCTGAGAAGTAAACATAATTACCCATTTTACAAATGAAGAAGCTGAGAATCAAAGAGTTTAAGTGAGTTGAAAAAATCCTACAGCTAATAAGAGAACATAAATCAGGAAGACATGACTATATTTCCAGCTTATTATCGAAAGACATCATTTCTGTTTTGATATAGCTTTGATTGTGATTGCAAAGTATATTCAAATAGACATTCTATGGTTTCGGATGGCCAATAATTGTTATAAAGTTTGAAGTTGAAAAATGCTTTTAGTGTTTATAACATGCTAATCAATGATCAGTTATTTTTATGTATATGATCTCACTTGGTCTTTATGATAACAGTTTGAGAACAAATCATTTCTATTTTTACAAAAACTAGGAGGTTTTCTAAAAATGGCCTTCTCTTCAATGTTTTCAGAAAATGTCAAATGTAAAGAACAAACGACTGTGGAAGATTAACTGCGTGTCAATATAGGTAATTTTATTATATCATTGATCCCCTCAATCCCATGAGGTAGGCAGTATAGGTCATGATATCCCTAATTTTAGAGATTGAGTGTAGAAGAGGTAACCTGTCACTCTTGGATGGGGATGCCAGGAAACAACTCTGGCTAACTTATGAAAAAGGGATCACTCACTGACAGGATATTGGGCAGCTCTGTATTCCACTAAGACTCGTGAAAGGAGAGTTTTCTCCAAAACAGGAAGAGGACTCAGTCCTCAAATTAGAACTTATTGACAACTGCGATAATTTGCCAGGGCATCATAGATAGAAGTGTATTGGATGCTCAGTTCTCCCTTCTCCCTTTTACTTAAAAAAATTTAAACTCCAAAACACATGTTTACCCAATTTCAAAGAGGAAAATCTCTTGCTGTTTTTTTTTTTTTTTTTTTGAGATAGGGTCTCATTCTTATCACAGTGCAGTGGCGCCATCTCAACCCACTGCTACCTCCGCCTCCCCAGGTTCAAGTGATTCTCCTGCCTCAGCCTCCTGAGTAGCTGGGATTACAGGCACGCAACACCATGCCTGGCTAATTTTTGTATTTCAGTAGAGACGAGGTCTCACCATGTTGGCCAGGCTGGATTCGAACTCCCGGCCTTAAGTAATCTGCCGGACTCAGCCTCCCGAAGTGCTGGGATTACAGGCATGAGCAACCACGCCCTGTTCCTGCCACCCCCCAACACCCCCACCTTTTAAAAAAGGAGAAACTCAAAAGATTGATGTGCCCATTATCAAGTATCTGTGAATACCTACAACTTGTGAAGTTTAGCTTTAAGTTTTGTGATGAGTACAAAGAAATGAAATATACCTTTGTTTAGCTTCCTTCAAGTTTCCCTTCGCGAGTGCTGTGCCGTGCAGGGTGGGCAGCACTGAAACCACTATAGTGGCCGAAGCAGGTGTTGAATGGCTGAAACATTTTGGCAGCTAGTCATGCACTAGATTGGAGAGGTAACTAAACACAGAGATGAAGTTAAACTATTAAATCCCAAATGATATGAATGACTACATGGCTGAATGAATGACACAGAAAAACACCAAACCAACAAACCCATAATCTGTATTTAGGAGACAGATTATAGAGACCTCGAGTGCCAGCCCAAGGATGAATAGATGAATGCTGTAAACCATGCTTATTTTGTTAAAAAAAATTCTGTAATGGTTTGCTCTCTTGCACCACAAAATCCTTTTTCATTAATAATAGACTTCATTATTTAAATTTACTGCTGTAAATTTCAAATATCAAGCCTCTTGTGAATTATTACGGTTCTCTAAATAATAACAGCTAATACTTATTAATGAGGATTTAAGATATGTAAATTATGTGATTTATTAATGTAATCCCAATACAATGCAATAAGTAATACATGTGAGTCCACATCACTGTGATGATATTCTCAAAGCATTCCACTTCCTTGGTCTTTCTTCATTATTATGAAATAATTGATCAGTTTGTCATATGATATATAGTAAACTTAATAGTGACCCTGCCTGCCAGCAAAAACTTATATTTTACTTTTTCTACCTGTTTCCCCCTTTCCCCCATATCTTTCAACATCGACGCTATGAAAATGAAATGCCATTCAAGATGAGATGCCATGTAGAATAGCATTATAGATTTGTCATCTAGCTAAATATCTTATAAAGTAATAAATACAACACTGCTACCCTTTTAATCTTTCTTTAATTTTTATCCAACTCTGGATTTGAGTGTAAAAACAGGCTGGTTGTACATAGAGCTAAAAATTGGGATGTAAAAATTTCCAATGAAATTATGACAGTTTTTTATATGGAGAAATATTTTAAATGTGTAAAAATAAACATATGTTATTTGATTCCAACATTGAATTACATCTGCTTACGGCATATGATTCATGCGTACTGAATGCTGCTTTTGGCTTGGGTGATTATATGAAAGAATTTTGCTTATGTAACAGGGATATCGGTCTACTTAATAGGAGAATTATAAACGACTTTATCCAAGGAAAACACCTTAGGATGGAGGAAGAGTGGGCTTTAATAATGTAGGCACACATTTCTGCCAATGATATAAATGTCCTCTTTTTTGTTGGAAGCTGGCCATGAGCAAAATTTGTTTCACATGACATTACATACCTTATTCAAATTTGCAGCCATAATCTTGTCAGAGTTGATTATCACATGATTGGAGCAGTAAAAAAAAAAATGAATTGGGGTTTAAACTTTTATGAAAAAGCACTTATATTGTGGAATAAGACTTTTTAATGGAGTATAGACATTAAACAGACCTTATATTAGGCTCTGAAATTAATGGGTCACTGTATAACTTTCTAGTTTTCATAGCTTGATAAGATTAATGCTTGCTTATATAGCAAATTCAATGGCTCATTTAATTTCATATGAATGTTTAAAGTCAAATTGCGTTTGGATTAAGTCTAAACTCATTATTCATTTTAATGTCTGAAAGAACTTTCATTTTTCTTTCATTTTATTTAATCAAGTGCATCATCATTAAGTAAAGGCTAAGGACCTAGATAGCTAAAAATAATGTGAAAAGGAAATTTATTAATTTATATTGAAAAGGGACTTATTTGTTATGAAATTTATTTAATAGTATACCATGCTTATGTATGGTGCTATTTCAGAGAAGATGAGATATTTATAGGCTTTTTATCATGCTTTAAAGCCCCATATTGAAAAGCTGCCTGTTTTGCTGCCTATTATTCAATGTGCATTCTTTGAGCAAAAATTACCATTGACTTTTATTTACATATTTTTAATTCAGTCTCTTAGTCTACAAACATTTATTCAGAACCTACAATCTGTAAATCACTGACCAAGCACTATCAGGATTCACTGATAAAAACCATTGCATATCTGACTTGAAAGAGCTAATGCATCCCAATAGAAGGGAACTTTACTTCAGAGGTCTGTGGAGTTCTCATCTGTATGATGAGGGGATTTTATTCAATGATGTCTACAGTCCCCTTCCATCCTCAAGTTTTGTAATCTCATGGCTATATCATCCTGTGGGTTACGGACAGAAAAGGGGAAAAAAATAAATTGACCTTCAAATTTACAATATTGGTCATATTAATACATCAATTATAAACAGAGACAACTATAATTATTAATTTCAGTATTCCTTTGAAATGTATAAAGCATATTGCCTTCTAGTTTATCATTTTATGTTGTACAAGTAACCATTATGATCTTCAGTTTGGATAACAGTTGTAATATGCATTTATTGATCATGTACTATATTTCTAGGATTTTGCTGAGTCCTATGAGAGCAGGAATGTGTTGGTCTCTCTTGGTCACTGTATTAGTCTGTTCTCATGCTGCTAATAAAGACATACCTGAGACTGGGTAATTTATAAAGGAAAGAGGTTTAATTGACTCACAGTCCCACATGGCTGGGGAGGCCTCATAATCATGGCAGAAAGTGAAGGAGGAGCAAAGTCATGTCTTACGTGGTGGCAGGCAAGAGAGAGAATGAGAGCCAAGCAAAGTGAGTTTTCCCTTATAAAACCATCAGCTCTTGTGAGACTTAATCACTACCATGAGAACAGTATGGGGGAAACAGCCCTCGTGATTCAATTATTTCCCACTGGGTCCCTCCCACAACACGTGGGAATTATGGGAGCTACAATTCAAGATGAGATTTGGGTGAGGACACAGCCAAATGACGTCAGCCACTGTACTGTCCACATGGCCTATAATAGTGCTTGGCATGAGGTGAGTGATCAATAAATATTTGTAAAGTGAATGAACAAAATAGTGAATGAAAGAGTGAAGGAACAAGTGAATGAATGTTCTTATTTCCTTTACTCTTCATGAATAACTGAATGCAGTAGGTATTTTATATGCATTTTATAAATAATGTAACTGAAATTTTGAAAGGTTAAGTGGCTTTCCCGATTAATACAGGTAGGACAATATGGCGGAGTTGGAACCTCAGTTACTCTTTGTTCTTTCCGTCTTGATGCACACCAGAGATGCTGATTTTAAGATCATAGTGGTTCTCAACTTTGGCTATATATTTCAATCACCTAAACTACCCATGCCTGGATTCCACTGCAGACCAATTAAATCAGCATTGCTGAGAGGTTGGACCTGGGCTTATGCATTTTTAAAACTTTCTCACAGTTCTAATGTCTGCTAGGGATTTGGTTCACTATGATCACAATCTCGACAATTGTATGAATAAAGACTATTAGCCTCCAAATTCCACTATTTAGAGACTGTAATTTTTCTCTATGTAATGCATTTGAGTTGGGATACCATAGCACCAGGATAAGAAGCTAGACAGCCAATGAAGTCTATTCACTAAGGCTGATTGGCCCCTCCTACTCACAGGTCTTGTGGTACAAGAGTTAAAATTACTAATTGGTGTATGTTTTAGCCTTACTTTCTCCCTATCTCCTTTCTTTCTTTCTTCTGTTAAAGAAAAAATATTCTGACGCTTGTTAAAAGAAGTCAGAAAGACTTTTTTCAAGACTATTGCAATAGGGGAGAAAGATCGAGCTTAGTTCCAAATACAACAAGGATAAATGAGGATTTACGGCCAATGAGCACAGCAAGAGGGTCGGTGGTTGGAGAATTCTCAAGAGGAGACATAGGGGATAGTCAGATGCTTGCTAGACTGGCCTAACAGGTTTCTTGCTAAAGAGAGGCCAAGGACTTAGACATCAAGGGTGGAGTATGGAGTATGAGGGACTTGATCAGATATCAAGAATGGAGAATTCTCCCCAAATTGACTTAGTAGAATTCTTGCTAAGGGCAGGCCAAGATCAAGGCTAGTCGAGATAAGCAGCCTAACTAAAGTACGGTCAAGGAGGGGGAGTTTTTCTCTTCTTTTTTCCTTTCTCCCTTCCTTCCTCCCCACCCCCACTTTTTTCTCCTTTTCTTCCACTAGTATTTTCTGTGCAAATCTAGGAGGAAAGACGTAAAACTTTGCCTTCAAAGAATATGATTTAGTGCAGTTCCTTCTGAATAGTCAAATCTACAAATGGTGAATCTGAGAATGCCAGAGATATATTGTAGTAGATTTCTCACCTGGATTGACCATCTCTCCCTAAATCGTAAATACACTAAAGCCGCTGGTTCAGAGTTAATCTTGGCTCTTGACATCTTAAAATCTCCAATACACCTGTTTGTAATCAACACCTGGAGCGCTAGAGATTTACTGAATGGGAATCCACAGGGAATGGAGTTGAGAACTTTGTATTCTTTTTTCCAGGCACTTGCAGGTGATTCTTAGGAACAGGTCAGTGTAGAAAACATTAGTAAAACTCAGGGGTTCTTAAAAATATGATTCCCAGAGCAGTAACACCTGGAAACTTGTTATAAATGTACACATTTTCTGATCTCTTTCAGAACCACAGAATCAGAAACTCCAGGGTGGGGCCCAGCAATCTGTATTTTAGCAAGCCCATCAGATGCACACAAACATTTGAGAATCACTGATAATAGAAGATAGTTTTGTATTGGGTCCTAAGGAGATAGGAGCATATCCGGTGCTCACACTTTTCTGAGATCCAGAGGGTTAAAGCAAAAGCAAATCAGCATTGCAGTTGTGGCAGTGGGAAGTCAGGGCGTGTATAGAAAGAAAGAAACTCAACAGGAAGGAGAGCTGTGGAAACTATCTAGACATTGTTCCTCTGTGGGCAGGGAAAGAACTTGAGGCACCATCTACAGGAGTTACCTAGCAAGTGTGCTCATGTCTGTGGCTAGGCTGAGTGTGTTAAGAGGATGTTGATTTAGAGATGGTTTGAAATTAAATAACAGGATTATTTTAGAAGCAGAAGAGATCCAAAATACGGTGTGGCAATCAGCTAGGAAGTTGGTTATGGAGTGGCACGGCCCGTATATCTGTAATACAGAATTTCTTAAACAGAAGAAGAAGAATAATTTTGTGACATTTCTTATGAGAATTCTAATTCCCCTTCATCTCTTCCTACATAAAGAGTGGCACAACGTGCTTTTTTTTTCCTCAGGTATATTGGCTTAGAGAAACATATTAGATAATGAATTATTCAGGGTGATTTCCTAGGCTGGCGGAGAGGCGCACCTGTCTGGGATGCTTATAGATTTGATTAGATAACATTTGTCAGCTGCATCAGCCGCAGGTAACTCCTGACGAGAATTTATTTCCCTGTAGGTAGTGGAACGAAGCGATGTTCCAAATTTCATGGGGCTGCCGAAGAGGCTTGCAGGAGTGTCACGCCTAAGAGGCTGTACAACAGTTGTCAGGATAATCAGACTATTTGCAATCACCATTTTCTGCTCTTTTTTCCCCCTTAAGTACCTAAATGGAAATGTAAGATAGCCAAGAAGAGAAGACACATGTGTGTGCTATACATAGATGATTTCCCGTCAAAATGTAATCGATTTATAGTTTTGTTGATAAATTCCTGTGAGTACTTGTCCTCTCTTTCCCTCTCTTGTGTGTCTTTGGGTGCAACTCTTGAATTATGAATACACAATGAGCCTTGCTGTTCCTGTCAAAAGCTTGTCTTCATATACCAAATTATAATACTTATACCCAGGAGATTTTCCATTTTGTGTAAAATGTCTTTTATTTTAGAAAGGTTTGCATTTTCTGAATATTTCTTTTGGAATTGCTTAAAAAATATATCTCCCAGAAAAGCCCAACTTTATTTATTGTGTTGGGTAGGAACCTCTGTGGTTTTGCTCTTAGCATCATCAATGAAAAGGTAGAGCTTAAATCACAGTATGTGAGAAAGTATTTGAGAGACAGAGTGCTTGGATTCAAATCCAGCTTCCCCACAGACAGGCCCTGGGAGACCTTAGGGAGGGTCCCTGGCCTTCCCCAGATGGCACCAGTGGCTACTTAAAACCAATGTTGTTGTATTAAATAGAATAATACATGCAAAGTGTTCTGGCTCAATGTTAATAGCTTTTCGTAAATGATAGTTTAAAACTTTGGTAAAAGGTAGCAAGGTAGAGTGGGAAGAGTGTGAGGTGGGGATTTGGAAAAGCTGGCTGTAAAATCTTTGTAATTTCCCTCTAGTCCACAGTTTTGTTATTTGTGCTGGGAAGGGTTTGAATTCAGTGGTTTCTAGGAGCTGCTCCAATGCTTGAATCTCACCATTCTATTAAAAGGACCCTAGGCCTACTTTGAGGAGAGAGAGAGAGAGAGAGCAAGAGAGAGAGAGAGAGAGAGCGAGTGCACACCTACTTAACTAGCTGTTTCCTTCCTCCTCCCTTCTTCTCTCTTTTACTTTCATTTTTCTTACTCTCTCCCCCCAGCTGCCCATTACCTTCATATGTCAATTGGCCCTTTGTGTCCACAGATTCTGCATCTGAGGATTCAATCAGCCTCCGATGGAAAGTATCAAAACTACAACAATAGAAAATACAGTATTAACAATCATTTACATAGCATTTATATTGTATTAGGTATTCTAAGTAATCTAGAAATAATTTAAAGTATACGATAGGGTGTGAGACCGTCTCCTATCAGGGACTTGAGCATCTGGCAGATTTTGGTATCCTTGGGAGGTCCTTGAACCAACCTTGCATGGATACCGAGGGACAACTGTACATGTCTTTCCTTCTCTCCTTAATGTGTCACCCCAACATTTATGACATCAGAGAGAAGCGTCAATATAGAAAATTGAATTTCTTCCTAAAAGAACTGGTTCAGCAACCCTTTGTTACCAAGCCAGAAATTTCCACATTGTGCCTGGAACCATGCCATTGACAGACATTAAGATGACAGCAACTACTTGAGTCCATGAAATCAGGGTTTGTTGGGACTTTTGGATTTGCATCAGGGCTGAATAAGGTTGATTCAGTTTGGAACTTCAAGTGGAGCTCAAAGTGCTGTGGTCAATTCGGGTTGTGAAAACATAAATCTTAGATCTCCCTCATCCTAAGAGAAAGGGAAAAAAACCCTATCACTTATTTGGTGGATTCTTAGTATTAAGCCACAAGGGTATTGTTTAGATAATTATGTTTAAGTGTGTGCATTAGTCTGTTCTCACACTGCTATAAGATACTGCCAGAGACTGGGTAATTTATAAAGGAAAGTGGTTTAATTGACTCACGGTTCTGCAGGCTTAACAGGAAGCATGGCTAGGAGGCCTCAGGGAACTTAAAATCATGGTGGAGGGCAAAGGGGAAGTAGCACGTCTTACATGGTGGCAGGTGAGAGCGTGTGAAGGAGGAACTGTCAAACACTTTTAAAAGCACCAGATCTCATGAGGACTCACTCACTGTCACGAGAACAGCATGGGGGAACTGCCCCCATGTTCCAATCACCTCCCAGCAGTTCCCTCCCTCGACACATGGGGAGTATGGGGATTACAATGAAAGATGAAATTTGGGTGGGGACACAGAGCCAAACCATATCAGTGTGAGTGATTTGTAAACAAAAAATATGTGCACAACCACAGATGATTGGCTAAATACCAGAATTGTGGAGCCATTAAAACATATGCAGTAGAAAGAAAACTAAGTGACTTTGAAGGATGATTAGGTAGGAAGTTAAATGGTATGTGCCACTTCCATGTCAACTGAAAATGTGTCTGTATATGAGACTGTAGGTGATGAAAAGTTAGTAGGAATTATCTCCAAACGCTGACAGCTTGAACAAATTGATTGCTACACTTTCACTATACAAACTTTTAACTTTAAAAAGAGGGGTGGAAATGTTTGCCTTTATGACAAAGACAAAACAAATGCCAGACTCGGAGGTGCTGAACTCACACTCGTCAAGGAAATAATTTTGCAGACAAATCTGCACTGGATAAAAGGACATAGAAGGCAGCTCTATTCTTCAGCCAGATATCGCCCTGGGATTGAACTGACTCACTTTCCCAGTTCCCCTCCTCTGAGCTCCTTGTTCAGTCCCCTGACCTTCTTTTATTTCTCTTGGTCAGAACTGAGCTACAGAACGGTGGATTCTGCCTTGAGCTTTGAAAGTGAGTCAAGGAGAGAATTAAGCAGCAATTCCAAGAGATAAACACATTAAGAAATATTGCCTAAGACTAAAAAAATTGCCCCCAGATTTTTCTCAAGTGCTGCAGAAATGAAAGCAGAAAATTGCTCTGTGCCATTTCTGGGGCCCACTGCTATTAGAGACAGATGATAAACCTCACCAAATTGGCACACCAGGCAACGGCTGGAGCAGATAGACACAGCTTGCCCTTTTTAAACAGAGCGAACATGGCAACAAGCTGATTGCAGCTAAATCAGACCCTCCCTCTGAGCTCTTTCTGGAGGCCATCCGTTGAGAGGAGTAAATATAAATACGTATGTGGACGCATCTCATGTTCCTTTACTTAGATCCCTCCAAAAAGGGCAGACAGGATCTAAACAGCTTAAGCTTCCTCCTTCCTGCTTCACTGGAATGTGGTCTCAAATTACCCTGACTTTTAGGCAGATTTAGGGTTTCAGAGTCTCCCAGGAAGGCTCAGTATGCCCTCCGAATCAAACCTGAGTTTTAATCTTAGCTCCAACGTTTATTAGCTGAGTTATCCAAGCAGGTCCTCCCTTCCCTGGTCCTTAGTTTGAGGGATAACATGTATTACATTTTTGGTGTTACTTTCCCACCATTCCTGCAAACTAAGTGAGTTATTTTGCTTCTTTTGTTTTTGGTAGTTGGATCTCCTTTAGTAAATGTGAAAAAGGGGTTGAGAGAAGGAGAGGCAGAGAGCCCAAAGAAAGAAGACACAGAGAGTACAATAAAAGACCTTGAAAAGGTGGAATCATAAAGAGGTGAAAGAAAAGGGGAAGGAGAAAGAAAGAGGTAATAATAGGGTCTGGGGAGTTTGAGAAAGTCCAATGAGAGGGTATGGAGTGGCCACAAAATTCCCCAAAATAGGAATTGGTGGTGGAGAGTTCAGAAACACTAGTTTCAAAGCATAACGTATAAAGTTATACCTATGTTTGATATCCCTCAATTCCAACGGTTCTGGCAGTACCACACAGGAATTGCATGTGCATAACTGGGCTTTCCTAGGAATAAAAGTGACAATTTTCTTCATCGGGCACACTCCATTGGTATAAATCAAAATGTCTTAGATCAAATTTGTACCCCTACGGCATAATGTAAATGATGAAGGGAAGGGACCTCATTTTGTCATTTTCTTTTCAAATATCGACTTGTATTAAAGAAAACATTTTTCTCAATCACAGGTGCAGATGTGAAGGATGAGTGACATCTTGATGTCCTTTCTTTGATAAGTCCCCTCCCTTGGCAGCTTCCAGTACACTTTTAGGAACAAACTTCAATTTATCTTTTACAGTGTGGGTCTGTGTCTTGGAGCCAGCAAAGCTGCATTTAAAAGTGTGCTTCCAGCTTGAGATTCTCAGAGGGGTAGCAAAGCAAAGAACATAACATTGTCCTGAATGTCTGGAGAGCTCATGTGGGGGCTGAGCCATCAAATGTAACTCTTACCATCAGGATCCCTTGCATTTCAGTTTCCAAAACATTTCTTTCTTTTTTTTTTTTTTTTTTTTTTTTGAGACAGAGTCTCACTCTGTCACCCAGGCTGGAGTGCAGTGGCGTGATCTCGGCTCACTGCAACCTCCACCTCCCGGGTTCAAGTGATTCTCCTGCCTCAGCCTCTCGAGTAGCTTGGGACTACAGGCATGTGCCACCATGCCCGGTTAATTTTTGTATTTTCAGTAGAGATGGGGTTTCACCATGTTGGCCAGGCTGATCTCGAACTCCTGACCTCAGGTGATCCACCCACCACAGCCTCCCAAAGTGTTGGGATTACGGGTGTCAGCCACCGCTCCCGGCCCCAAAACATTTCTTATAATCACTCACTCATTTGATCTCCATCCATAACAATCCAGTGTGATAACTGGGGCAGGAATATTTGCTCCAGTCTTATTTTACTGGTGAGTAAAGTGAGGCTTAAAGAAGTGAAGCAAATTGCTGGAGATGAAGGCAGATACTTGAGTCTGCTGACTTAAAACTATAAATGTAAAATTCTTAATACACTGAAAGGCACATAGTAGGTTCTCAATACTTTTTAATCTTCTTACCATATTGGCCACACCATATATATTTATATATATGAATTGTTGAGCTATCACTAGCCAGTATTTAGTGACTTTCTGTTTCGTTTCTGTGTTAAGTCTCTGTGATAGTTTCAGCAGCCCCTTGACAGAGAATTGACTATGTTAGGGATGTTTCAATAGAGCCTGCTTTCCCAAGACCTTGTTGTTTTCTAGCTTTCCCATGGATATATTTTATGTGGCAGTTTTTGAAATGAGGGAGCTTTTGAAAAAGATAAAGGTGCCATCATGGAGGAACTCAGACAGGATTCCCGGCATTGCTGTGCCTCTCCAACATCCAGATCATTGAGAATCACAATACTGGTTCTCCAAGTGCTAAAAAATACCAGAAACCCTTACAGAATCTCTGCATTTTTTTTTAATGGTGGGGGTGGAGTTCAAAAGTTTGAGGCCACCTAGAATTCAAGCTTTCTATGTGGAACAAGTTTTCTATTGTTATAATGTAGGAGTACCTCACATTTTAGAAACTAATGGTGTTTGAGAAAGGAGTAGGGGGAGACTATTTCTTTCCTCATCTGAGCAACCAGGGCACCATTTTATGGAATTTGTTATTAACAAGAATGTCATTGCTATGGTCATCTTCTGCTGCTGCTTCTTTTCCACTTTCTCTTCCTCCTTCTAACCCTCCTCCTACTCTTCCTACTCCCACTTTCCTCCTCTCCAATCGTCTATTTCTCTTGTTGCTTATATTAATTTTTAACTGATAAAAAATAACATTTTTTAATTAAAAAATAAAACGTATCATGTATAAAAGTCGTTTTGAAATATGTATACATTATAGAATGGCTAAATCGAGCTAATTAGCACATATGTTACCTCATATACTTATCATTTTGTTGTGTGAGAACACTTAAAATCTCACCACAAACTCTTAGCAATTTTCAGGACTACAATACATTGTTATTAACTATAGTTACCTGTTGTACATTAGATCTCTTGAAGTTACTTCTCTTATCTAACTGAAATCTAATATTCTTTTGTTTGCTTGTTGGTTTTGAGACAGGTTCTCACTCTGGTATTCTTTAACTAACATCTCTCCAACACCCACTCACCCTCCCCAGCCCCTGGTAACCACCATTCCACTCTCTACTTCTACGAGTTCAACTTTTTAATATTCCATATATTAGTGAGATCATGTGGTATTTGTCTTTCTGTGCCTAGCTTATTTCACTTAAAATAATGTCCTCCAGGTTTATCCATGTTACAAATCAGGGGTCCCCAACCCCTAGGCCACCAACCAGTACTGGTCTGTGGCCTGTTAGGAACTGGGCTGCACAGCAGGAGGAGGGTGAGCGGCGGGTGAGTGAGTGAAGCTTCATCTGCATTTATAGCTACTCCACATTGCTCACATTACTGCCTGAGCCCTGCCTCCTGTCAGATCAGCAATGGCATTAGATTCTTACAGGAGTGTGAACCCTATTGTGAAATGTGCATGCCAGGGATCTAGGTAGCACACTCGTTATGAGAATCTAATGCTTGATGATCTGTCACTGTCGCCCATCACCCCCAGATGGGGCCGTCTAGTTCCAGGAAAACAAGCTCAGGGCTCCCACTAATTCTACATTATGGTGAGTTGTATAATTATTTCATCATATATACAATGTAATAGTAATAAAGTGCACAATAAATGAAATGTACTTGCATCATCCCCCAAAGCATCCCCTCCCCCGCCTCCCCCGCCCCCTGCCGCCACCAAAACCAGTCCGTGGTACCAAAACGGTTGGGAAATGCTGTTGAAAATAACAGGATTTTCTTTTTTTTTTTAAAAAGGCTGAATATTATTCCATTGTTCATATATACCACATTTTCTTTATCCATGCATCTGCTGATGGACACTTAGGTTGATTGCATATCTTGGCTATTGTGAATAGTGCTGCAATAAACATGGGAGTACAGATATATCTTTGACATACTGATTTCATTTCTTTGGATAAATACCCAATAGTGGGATTGTTGGATCATAGGGTAGTTCTGTTTTTAGTTTTCTGAGGAACTTCCATGTTATTTTTCATAGTGCCTATGCTAATTTATATTCCCACCAACAGTGTGCAAGTCTTCTCTTTTGTCCACATCCATGTCAACACTTCTTTTTTGTCTTTTTGATAATAGCCATTCTAACAAGTGTGAGGTGATATCTCATTGTGGTTTTAATGTGCATTTCTCTGATGATGTGATGTCTGGTATTTTTTATATACCCATTGGCCACTTGCATGTCATCTTTTGAAGAAATGTCTATTCAGATCCTCTGTCCATTTTTAAATAATTGGGTTGTTTTCTTGCTATTGTTTGAATTTTTTGTATATTTTTGATATTAACTTCTTTTCAGATGTATGGTTTGCTCATATTTTCTCTCATCTCTTAGATTGTGTCTTCATCTGATTGTTTCCTTTGCTGTGCAGAAGCTTTTAATTTGACGCAATCCTAGATTTGCTTTGGAGCTTTTTACCTGTTTTCTTCTAGTAGTTTCATAGTTCCAGGTCTGTTTGTTTTTTATTTTTTTTGAGATAGGGTCTCAGTCTGTTGCCCAGGCTGGAATGCAGTGCTGCGATCATGGCTCACTGCAACCTTGACCTCCTGGGCTAAGGCAATCCTCCCACCTCAGCCTCCCAAGTTGCTGGGAGTGCAGGTACACACCCCTGCACCTAGCTAATTTTTTGTATTTTTTATGGAGTCGGGGTTTCCCTATGTTGCCCATGCTTGTCTTGATCTCCTGAGCTCAAGTGATCTTCCTACCTTGGTTTCCCAAAGTGTTAGGATTACAGGCATGAGCCACCATGTCCAGCCAGTTCCAGGTTTTACATTTAAGTCTCTAATCAATTTTGAGTTAATTGTTGTATATGGTGTGAGATAAGGGTTGGTCTCATTACATTTTTCTGCATGTGGATATCCAGTTGTATCATCTTTTTTTTTTTTTTTTTTTTGATAGGAAATTTTGCTCTTGTTGCCCAGGCTGGAGCGCAATGGAGCGATCTTGGCTCACTGCAACCTCCGCCTCCCGGGTTCAAAGGATTCTACTGCCTCAATAGAATCTCCCGAGTAGCTGGGATTACAGATGCCTGCCACCACGGCCAGCTAATTTTTGTATATTTAGTAGAGATGGGGTTTCACCATGTTGACCAGGCTGGTCTTGAACTTCTGACCTCAGGTAATCCACCTGCTTCGGCCTTCCAAAGTGCTGGGATTACAGGCATGAGCCACCGCACCCAGCCTTGTCTTTTGTTTTTAATACTGAGAGAGTTAACAAAATAGTGAACACTAGTTTAGAGATTCATTATTGTAGTAGCAGTGTCAAGAGTCACTTGTAGTGGCATCAGCTGTCTGGTGACTGTTTTCGTTGCATGTCAGTGGTGGAGACGTCCCCAGACTATCCTACCAAATGATGTTGGCTGTGTTTTATAGCTATGTGGCTTCCCTTGGTTCCTGCCCATTTTCTTAGCTTTGTTCTCAACTTTCTGTTGATTCTATGAAGTATAGTATATACTTACAATAAGTTCTTTTCTGTGTTTAAGTTAGAATTGATTCTTGTTGCATGTAATCAAGAAAACTGACAGGTAGAGTGACTAACAGCAATTTCTGTACTTTCCTATCTGCGTATCTTTATTTGACTTACCCTACAAGGACTGATTTACATTCCAGCTCTTGAATGGAACCTTCCCAGACTAATTCATTTCCACATTGATTTTGTGCTCTCTGAGTCTGTGTGGCCTTATACTACTTAACATTTTATCATGTGATAACTGGTAATTTTTTCTAACTGAATTAAAGTAATTTATTTCAAATTCAAAATTCCATCAAAAGCTCCTCAAGGGTAGGTTCTTTTTTTTGTCCTTCCAATTCCCATTTTTTTCCTTTTCCTCTCTCCCTGGTGAAACTTTTTATGAGACTAAGCACAGCAAAGGTCAGGTCAGAAAATACTTGTTTTTTTTTTTTAATTGATATATGTCATAGTGCTTTGTTGATTAACAAAACATTAAATCAAGCTTGTGTAGTCCTGTGTTGAAACCTTCTATGTTTGGGTTTATATCTGAACAAGGATAATATAAGAAACTGACAGGCTTGAGTGTGAACTTTGAAGCCAACAGACTGGACTTGACCTTGGAAAGCTTTAACATTTTCTAGCTATATGGCTTTAGACTGGCTTTAATTTGCTTGCCCATAACATGGTTTGTACAACATTTTTCTTGCAATCCAGGATGGAAAGAGGATTAAGTAAAGTAATACTAATAAAGTCAAGCACTTGAGGCTTGTCAAGTCAAGAGCTTAGTAAATTCTGGTCCTCTTTGTTGGTGAATGTATTTATCATCCATCTGATGTGTCTCATCAGAAAATTAATGACTTCATAGAATGAGTTAATAGAACTAAAATATTAAAAGCAAGAGAGGTGAAAGTTCTACTGTCCATCAGCCCTTCTTGTCTACCTACAGTGTGCATTTCTGGGGTCCTTTAGGTAGGATGTTGACAGACTAGAACATTTTCAGGGGTGAGGAACCAGCATATTAGAGAATTGCCCTGTGGAAAATGAGTCTCGCTTTATGTTGGCCTAGAAGTAACATCTGCAAACAGCTTTTTTTGTGGGGGTATATGAATGGTTATCTTCTATTCTGCCATCTTGGTGACATCACTTTTTTTTTTGGAGACGGAGTCTCACTCTGCAGCCCAAGCTGGAGTGCAATGGCAAGATCTTGGCTCACTGCAACCTCTGCCTCCCAGGCTCCCATTCTCATGCCTTAGCCTCTTGAGTAGCTGGGACTACAGGCATGTGCCACCACACCTGGCTAATTTTTTGTATTTTAGTAGAGACAAGGTTTCACCATGTTGCCCAGGGTGGAACATCACTCTTTAGATGCTTTATTGTTTCCTCTTTCATGTGTAGGTCTGTGACTCTCCTAGAATTAATATTGTCTATTGTTTGAGGTAGGGAGTCAAGGTTCCGTTTTTCTTATTTTCATAGGAATATCCAATTGACTCAGCCACATGTTCAAAGGCCATTCTTTACCTATAGAACTTCAGTGTCATCTTTGTCCATATTTGTGTGGACTGGTTTCTTATCTCTCTATTTTATTGTAGTCATTTTTTTGTCTGTTCTCAAACTAATACCTCACTGGTAAGTCTAACACATGTTTTAATATCTGGTAGTGTGCATTTTCTAGCTTATTTCTCAAGTACTGATAATCTTATAATAAAATGAATTTTATGATTAAACTTGTATGAGTCAATTTTGATTGCCACCAAGAACCTTGATATAGGAATCAAGTCCTCTTTAAACCAAAGCCTAGACCTAATCGTCAGCTCAAATTCATCTCTGCTACTTGAAATAAACATTAATATTAGTTGATGAGTTAGTGTACTTAGAAAGATCTAATGAAAGATACTCTGGTCCCCTAGGAACCTTGTGGGTCATCATTTGTAGGAGAAATAAGGTCGTGTGTGTGCGTGTGTGTGCATGGGTGTGTGTATGATTTAAAATATAAGTTTCATTTTTTTTTAACCGAGACTCAGAAAATTCAATCAGCAATATCCAGGTTAGTTTTCTCATGTAAATGATAGACATGATACTTGTCACTTGTATATGATAAAATTAGCCACTTATTTAAAATACTTCTCATAAGTAGATGTTTAAAAATATTCACTAGTGTTCATTTATTTTATTTTATTTTAAATTTTTTTTGAGGTGGAATCTTACTCTGTCACCCAGGCTGGAGTGCAGTGGCGCGATCTTGGCTCACTGCAACCTCCGTCTCCTGGGTTCAAGCAATTCTTCTGCCTCGGCCTCCCGAGTTGCTGGGATTACACGTGTGTGCTACCACACCCAGCTAATTTTGTGTTTTTAATAGAGATGGGGTTTCCCTATGTTGGCTAGGCTGATCTCGAACTCCTGACCTCAGGTGATCTGCCCGCCTTGGCCTCCCAAAGTGCTGGGATTACAGGTGTGAGCCACTGCACCTGGCCTGATGTTCATTTATTGCATCCACTTATGTGAATCTATGTACAAAATCTCTGATGTAACAATACAAAGTCAAACAAACCAGGGAATTAAGGCCAGGTGAAATCAATGCCCATAGTTTTTGTTGCTCTAAAGTGGGTGGAAATCTCTTCAGCCAATTGAAATAAGTTACCCATTGCAGATTCTGGTTAGGACTGACACAAAATTAAGTTTTTCAGGTATGTTGAAGAGTTAAGTACTGGTAACATTTATGTTCCAGATGAGTGATTTCCAAAATGCTCTGGAGAGCTCTAGCATTCTCTAGAAAGCCTCAGAGATTGTCAAAGAGAGGAGGTGATGGAAGGGCCCCAGCAAGCCTGACTCTTGCTCTGTCAGAGCTCTTCATCTTCTCTTTAAATTAATGCCTGAATCATGTCATTCAAACCACACAGTGTGGCTCATGACAGTGGACTCAGTGACCAAAGTTGATTTATCTTCCTTCTCATTTGTGCAAACCCAAGTGTTGTGCTTCACTGAGTACTCATCTCTACCGTGTGTACCTTGAGAGGGTCTATGATTGGTATAGTCTTTGGTTACCCCTCATGATGGGGTTCAGTCAGGTGAGGATTTACTGTAGGCTGAATGACATCTTCTCCTTGAGTTTGGTCTTTGTTGATTTGCGAGCGCACCCTGTTCTTTTTTCCTACTTTGGCATTGACTCCCTCTCTCCGCAGAGTTGGATGTTGGTGTCTCTTAGGAGCTCAGTATGTGATTCTAAATTCAGATGATCAAATAGCTAAGAAAGTGCTAATAGCTTATGCTTTCATGAAATATGCTTTTTTGTTTTCTGTACATAATTGCCTTTGTATTTTTCTCCCCTTATCCCCAACTGACAGTGTTTTAATTAAAAGTTGAGGGGAGAGAACATAAGGAAGTCTGTGGAGGCACATTCTTGCTTTTTGTTTAATCCTATTCTGCCAAACAATGCTTTAAGCCTTCTGGTAAGCAAGTAGAGAGTCAAAAATGAGAAAAAGCCCAAAACAGCATGTTTTTTAAAAAAGATTTTGCTTATTCTCATCTTTTAAGAAAAGACAGAATTCAAATGCTTTTGTTCTCTCAATTCTATTGCTTCAAGAAATGAAAAGAAGCACTGAATCCTCTTATTCCTGAATCAAATAAAAATAGTCCAATCATATATGTTAACACACATATATATATATAAACATTTATATTTATATATAATATGTCATGTGTAATTTTTGAATTGCAGTTTCAGTAAGGAACCTAATTTAAATCAAATATGAAATCCAAGCCTGAATCCAGTTGATTAAATTAAAAACAAAGGCATATCCCATAAACTAAAAGTTTTACAGTTCTACTAACTACCCAGTTGCTTCTTGTGATTTTTCTCATTCTTCTAAAATTCACATTCCGCAAATTGTTTCCTAAATGGATGCTTCTTTATATTACTGTTCATAGGAATACACATTTTATTTCCTCCATCAGGTGGTTTTCTCTGTTCAATTCTGCAGAAAAATAGAAGCTGCAAGATAACTAGAAAAGAAATTTATTTCTATCCTCACTGTCATAACCTTACTCACTTTTAGCTCTTCTCTGCAAGTTATACACATCTCTGTCTAGTGTGATCTTCTTCCTGACATTATTCCTGATCTGTGTTTCCAAGGATAGAAGGAGACATACACAGAAGCCATGTGCCTTCTCCTAGAAGTATATTAGGTTGACTTTTGTCACGTGTTTCTTTTTGTGATTCAGGGTCATTAAAGGATTCTTTAGCCTAATGTTTATTTCCCAAAGTTGAGTCAGTCCATAAATAGTCTGCAAATAATCAGGCAAGAGATGGAAGAAATAAAAGCTATTTTAAGAATTTCCTCTTTCTGTGGATACAGATATTATTAAAGACTTTACTAGATTTCACCATCATCTATTTTGGGGACTCTATTATTTGCATACGAATTGTTCTTTTGACATCAGTCCACGGTACAGTTAAGATACTTGGTGATCTTGCTACCAACACAAGAAGGCTATTTCTTTCACACCGTAGGGAAAGTCAGTTTACTAGATAAAAATAACAGAAATAGAGATTATGAATGAATTGTTTCAGAACTTTTTTTATTCTAAATGCTTATAAAATGATTTGGACTGGACGCAGTGGCTCACGCCTGTAATCCCAGCACTTTGGGAGGCTGAGGCGGGCAGATCACGAAGTCAGGAGATTGAGACCATCCTGGTTAACACGGTGAAACCCCGTCTCTACTAAAAATATAAAAAATTAGCCGGGCATGGTGGCATGCACCTGTAGTCCCAACTACTCAGGAGGCTGAGGCAGGACAATCGCTTGAACCCAGGAGCAGAGGTTGCAGTGAGCCGAGATAGCACCACTGCACTCCAGCCTGGGTGACAGAGACTCCGTCTCAAAAAAAAAAAAAAAAAAAAAAAATTCTTGTTGAACTTCTCTATTGCTCAATGATGTAAGAGATAGAACTGAAATGGGCATGGGGGTTCTCTTTAAAATTAATCTTTCTGCAGGAATAGAAAGCCCTAAATCTCAGTCAGTAAGCACACATCTAAAAAATTGTTCACAGGAAAAAAACTGAATTGCAAGAGATGAGGATGTATCAAAAGGACTGACCGGCAGTAAGGCTGAATAGAAGAAACTTGTCTTGGGTTCTCACTACCTTATTTCTGGGTTACATACTATACTAGTCATTTGTCTATTTGTCATAGATTGATTTCCTGACCATTTCTGCCCTGCTGTGCATTCTGCTTCACTTCATTTTTCATGATTCTTTTGCTCTTGGTTTCTAGGCAGGTTTGTCAGTGGAGGCATGAGCACAGAGCCAGATGCCAAGAAGAGGGAGAAGCCAAAGATTACTCTTCTCACTCTGTCTTAGGGGTTGTCTTTGGTACCAGGTACATCAGATTCAAGGTTCAAGCTTCTGGTGATTGGACCTCTGTGCTTCCATTTTCATCAGGTGGCTTCAGCTGTTGGACTCCAATAACATTGTCACATTTCTTTGTCCCTCCAACTCCTGGTATCTTCCTGTTGTTTCTAATGTCTGACTTGCTTCACAGTCTTCTATTTGGCTTCTTAGCTCTTTCATTACTTATCTAAACAATTCCCTGTATTGAATTCCCTCTGTTTGAAATACTTAGAGTAGTTTCTATTTTCTGGCTGGACCTTGACTTATAGACTCTCTCTTCCTTTCACTACTTTTTTCTTTTCTTTTTTTTTTTCTGTAAGAACATAATGTTTCTTGATTGATACCTGCCTGTCAACATCACATTCTTTATTCATTTTAAAGCTATTTATGGGTGTTTGTGTGTCTGATGACTTCTAGAACACATTTCTTTCTTTTTTTCTTTCTTGAGATGGAGTCTCACTCTGTTGCTCAGGCCGGAGTGCAGTGGCACGATCTTGGTTCATTGCAACCTCCACCTCCTGGATTTGAGCGATTATCCTGCCTCAGCCTTCCAACTAGCTGGGACTACAGGCGTGTGCACCCGGCTAATTTTTGTATTTTTAGTAGAGACGGGGTTTCACTATGTTGGCCAGGCTGGTCTTGAACTACTGACCTCAAGTGATCCACCCGCCTCGGCCTCCCAAAGTGCTGGGATTACAGGTGTGAGCCACCGTGCCTGGCCAGAACACATTTATTTCTTAAGAACAAAACAGGTAAAGAACACAGGATTCAGATTGCAAACCTAACAGGTGGCTGGACAAGCCAGTTGCATCTGACTCTCAATTTTCTCTGCTGAAAAATGTGAAAATTCCCATTAAGAATTATTTTAGCTTACATTTTTAAAAGTAAAAAAAACATTGCTTTTTTCAGACTAAATGATAAATGCCACAAGCTTGGGAGTCCTTTGTTTATTCTTACTTAGCAGCACTATTACTGTCTTAGTCCTAGTAGGTAATCATTTTAAGGTGAAATTTGGAACAAAGGAGCTATTGAGGCATTTCAGATAAATATGTAAGCTGTTTCTGGCTTTAACTTTTATTCTATTTGAAGTGGGGGAGATTATGGGCCTTTTCCCTAAATCGAATTGATGGGTACTTCCTGCCTAGATGCTGGTCAGAGGCATTTTAGAGGAAGGCAGATGAAATTCTTTTTATCCTATTTTCAAGACTGTTAAGTAGCCATTGCCTGATCTAAACCCTGGAAGGGACATTTAAAGTGAAGATATTTATTATTTGTATTAAGAAATATCCCTGTATTCATCCACTCCTCAATACCTTAAAGCCCCTAATTCCTGATTCTCCAACTTTAGTAACATGAAAATCATCTTTAAATAATTTGAAATGTTCAGAATCTCAAGCTTCAATCACTGAGGTTTAGATCTAGAAGTTCTAGGTGGGGCCTAGGAATCTGCATGTTCATGAATTCTCTGGTACTACAAATGCAGATTTTCTGCAGATGACAACCACTCTGTACAGTAGGACTTAGTTACATTCCTATAGAGAGTATTTCTCAGAAAGGCCCAGATGCATTTGCTAATTAATTTACCTTCAACGTTGTTGTTGTTTTTTCATAGTCTGCCTAACTCCCTGTTCTCTCAACAGCTCTAATTTTCACAATCAGCCTCTTTTAAAGACATTCCTATTTCTATATAGTGGTCATTTGAGGAGCTATGGGGGCAACTGCTAAGGAAGTTAGCATTAGATTAGCCCCTGAAATGTTGTATTATTCAAAGAATGGTCTGTCTTATATGAAGGATATAAGACAATTTGGCCAGGCATGGTGGCTCATGCCTGTAATCCCAGTGCTTTGGGAGGCTGAGATGGAAGAATTCCTTGAGGCCAGGAGTCTGAGACCACCCCTGGCAACATAGTGAGACCCCACCTCTACAAAAAATGAAACAATTAGTTCGATATGGTGGCACATGCCTATAACCCAGCTACTTGGGAGGTTGAGACAGGATGATAGCTTAAGCCCAGGAGTTTAAGGTTACAGTAAGCTATGATTTTGCCACTGCACTCCGGCCTGGGCAATAGAGTGAGACCCTGTCTCTTAAAAAAAAAAAAAAAAAGAGAAAAAGAACATAAGACAATTCGATTCTTTTGAAAGCCCTAGACTAAGGAACAAGACAAGAAAAGTAAATGAGCTGTATAAACACATAAAGGCAAGAAAAAACTAGCATCTGCAGATGACATAATTTATCAATAAAATATAAGAGAATTGACTGAAAACTTTTATAAATAATAAATGAGGAAGATGACCAATAAAAATATATTTACAAAAAATTTTACAATTATGATTGTTGGACTTGGACTTAGTTGGCTGCATGTAATTTTTGCAATAATGTTTGCCATAATTATTGACACACTTGTAGTGATAAATATTTGTTTCTTTTGTTCATTTATCCATGCACCTATAAATTTATCACAGGTTAATGCCCAAAACAGATCCTGAGGTAGTGATTAGTGGTGATGCAATCAGCATGCATTCATTTAGTAGTTAAAGGGATAGGGAAAAAGGAAGTGAATGAGGTGCCGATGGAGGGCATTCAAAGGAAAGTGACCACTGATTGACAATAAACCACAAGTGATACAGCCAACTGTTCGGCAGATTCAATTGCTCATGATCACAGAATGCTTTTGGAGCGAGAAACTGTGCTTTAGAATAATACTTTGGAGGAATAAAGGATAAGATAATTTATTCATGGTCTCATGTACTGTCTCTCATTGGTCATTTTTAAAAATTTTTAATTTTTGTAGGTACATAATAGGCATATATATATATAGAGAGAGAGAGAGAGAGAGAGTACATGAGATGTTTTGGTACAGCCATAAAATGTATAATAATCACATCATGAAGAATGGGGTATTCATCCCCTCAAGCATTTATCCTTTGTGGTACAAACAATCCAAGTATACTCTTAGTTATTTTAATGTGTACAATTAAGTTATTGGCTGTAGTCACCCTGTTGTGCTATCAAATAGTAGGTCTTATTCATTCTTTCTATTTTTTTTTTGTACCCATGAATCACCCCCACCTCCTCTCTCCACTACCCTTTCAAACCTCTGGTAACCATCCTTCTACTCTCTGTGTCCTCGAGTTCAATTGTTTTGATTTTTAGATCCTACAAATAAGTGAGAAAATGAGATGTTTGTCTTTCTGTGACTGGCTTATTTCACTTAATGTAATGCTGTCCAGTTCCATTCATGTTCTTGCAAATGACAGACTCTCATTGTTTTTATGGCTGAATAGTACTCCATTGTGTATAAGTACCACATTTTCTTTGTCCACTCATCTGATGATGGGCATTCAGGTTGCTTCCAAATCTTGGCTGAGTGAAGAGTGCTGTGACAAACGGACTGCAGATATCTCTTCAATATACTGATTTCTCTTCCTTTGGGTATATATCCAGCAGTGGTATTGCTCTGCCATATGGTAGCTCTATTTTTAGTTTTTTGAGGAACATTCAAACTGTTCTCCATAGAGTACTAATTAACACTCCCACCAACAGTGTATTAGGGTTCTCTTTTCTCTAAATCTTTGCCAGCATTTGTTATTGCCTGTCTCTTGGTTGTAAACCATTTTAACTGGGGTGAGATTATATCTCACTGTAGTTTTGATTTGCGTTTCTCTGATGATCAGTGATGTTGAGCACCTTGTCACATGCCTGCTTTTTGTTTTTTTCTTTGAGATGGAGTTTCGCTCTTGTTGCCCAGGCTGGAGTGCAATGGAGCGATTTTGGCTCACTGCAACCACTGCCCCTCAGGTTCAAGCGATTCTGCTGCCTCAGCCTCCCAAGTAGCTGGGATTACAGGCACCTGCCACCATGCCTGGCTAATTTTTTGTATTTTTAGTAGAGATGGGGTTTCATCATGTTGGCCAGGCTGGTCTCGAACTCCAGACCTCAGGTGATCCATCTGCCTTGGCCTCCCAAAGTGCTGGGATTACAGGCATGAGCCACCATGCCCGGCCTCACATGCCTGTTTGTCATTTCTATGTCTTCTTTTGAGAAATATCTTTTCAGATCTTGTGCCTATTTTTTGATTGGATTATTCGATTTTTTCCTATAGAGTTGTTTGCACTTTTGGTACATTCTAGTTATTAATCTCTTGTCAGAGAGGTAGTTTGCAAATATTTTCTCCCATTCTGCAAAGTTTGTGTTATCAGGAATTAAATCCTCCAAACTTGCTTTATTTATCTCTGTTGGCAGGCAGTATAAAAGCCATATCCAATATCCTTTGGTGTGGCAGTTTGAGTCCAAAGCAATAAGGCAGAGATAAGGCAGAGATTACTTTTAAGACTAGTAATTTTGCATCCCATTTACAATATTTTTTGCCTACCCCAACACCATAAAGATATTTTCTTATTTTTTATGAGCTTAATGTTTTATCATTCACTCTTAGATCTACACTTTAGATAAAATTAACTTTTGTATTTGGTGGGAAGTAGGGGGTCAGTTTTAAAGTCAGTATATCCAATTGACCCAGCCAATTATTGCAAAGGCTATCTTTTTCTCATTGCGCTGCAATTTCACTTCTGAACTTTTTAAAAACACAATCTTTCATTGGTCTTTCAGTCTTTCCTTGCCCCAATAACTAACTGTCTAAATTGCGTATTTTTATAAGTTTTGATGTTTAATAGTGTAACTGCATGTTTCTTCTTCAAGATTGTTTTGACTATCCTTTGCTTCTCTGTAAAATTTTAGAATTGACTTTTCCATTTATACAGACACATGGAAACCAGCATACATACATTTACAATTTTTATTGGAATTGCATCAGATCTAAAGATAAATTTAAAGAAGACTGAGAAGTTGAGATTACTGAGTCTTGTGTCTATGAACATTTCTTTTCATCATTTAGTTCTTCATAGTTCCTTTCTCAATAATGGTTTTTAAATTCCAGCATAAAGGTCCTATATACTGTTCTTAGCTATATTCGTATTTGTTTTTGGGGAAATAATGTTTTAATTTGCATTTTTTGGAAAATAATTTTCTTTTGTTTGTTTCTGGTGCTTAGTAATGCAGTTGGTTTTGGTATTGACCTAGCCTCCAGGAATTTTTGTTAAATTCACTTATGTCTAATATATTTTACATGGAGTATTGACATATCTGTGTACACAATTATATTATCTGTAAATGATGACATTTTAAGTTCTTTTCTATACTCTTTTTAAAAAAATCTTAAAGCTGTGGCCAAGCCTTTTTCCATTCTTAAATGTTGAATAGAATTGATAAGAACTGTCATTGTTTTTATCATTTTTGATTGTCTTATTCCATTTGGGCTGCTATAACAGAAATGCCACAAGCTGGATAATTTATAAAGAACAAACACTTATTTCTCATGATTCTGGGGACTGAGAAGTCCAAGATCAAGGTACCCGGCAGATTTGGTGTCTGGTGAGAGCCCCTTCCTTATAGATTGCACCTTCTGTCTGTGTCCTCAGTTTGTGGAAAGGACAACAGGTTCTGTCTGGTCTCTTTTATAAGGGCATATATTTTATTCATGAGGACTCTGCTCTCAGGACCTGATCACCTCCTAAAAATCCCACCTCTTAACACTATCACTTTGGGGATTAGGTTTCAACATATGAATTTTGGGTGGACACAAACATTCAGTCCATAGCACTCTTATTGGGGAAATATTTCAATATTTTATTGTGAAGTATTAATTTTTTTTATATGAAAATGTATGAAACATGAGGTACAGTTTTTAGGTACGATAGATTAAGAAAGTTAATTCCATTTCTAATTTGCTGTTTAGTTTTGCAATCATGAAAAGTTTTTAAAGTTTATTAAATGCATTTTTGGCATCTACAAAAATGATCATAGGATTTCCCCCTCATTTTATTCTCTTAATTTGGTGAATTACATTGAATTTTCTTTCCTTTTTTTTTTTTTGGTCCTAGGAAGCCTTGCTGAGAGTACCTGAATTTTCAGTGCTAAATGAATCTTGTTTGTTTAGAAGAAACACAATTTGGTTGTAATATATTTTCCTATATTTATTCTGTCCAGAATTTTGTGTCTATATTAGTAAAAAAAGATCTCTCTTTCTTCTCCAGGTTTTGATGTTAAGCTAATGCTGATATTGTAATATGAATTGGAGATTTTCCTCATTTTTTTCTTCCATTCTATGAAAGAAGTTATAGAATGTTGGGGTTCTTTCTTCCTTTAAAATTTAGAAGAATTCACCAGGCAAATCATCTGTGTTGAAATTGTATTTGTGGGGATAATTTAATAATGGATTCAAGTTAAAAATGTTTTAATAGAGATGGTGTCTCACTGTATTGCCTAGGCTGGTCTCAAACTCCTGGGCTCAAGCGATTCTCTGGCTTCAGCCTCCCAAAATGCTGGGATTACAGGTGTGAGCCACTGCACCCAGCTTAATAGATTTAATTTTAAAAATAGATATATAGCTGTTCAGATTCCCTACTTCTTCCTGTATTTCTTTTATTTAAGTTGTATTTATCTAAAAATTTTTATTTCATCTACATTTTCAAATTTATTAGCATAAAGATGTTGATAATATCTTTTAAAAACAGCTTTATTAAAGTATAATTGATATACAAAGAAGTGGACGTATTTAATATGTACAATTTGATGAGTTTGGACATAATGCAAATACCAAGAATACCATCCCCACAATCGAGGTAATAGACATATCCAGCACCTCCCAAACTTTCCTTGTGCTTGTTTTTTAAATTTTTTGATACTATCATCTTATTATCTTGTTAATATGTTTAGGAACTGTAGTGGTATTCTCTTGTTCATTACTAAACTTGATGGTCTGTGCAAATCTGTGCGTTCTTTCTCTCTCCACTAATAACTTTTGTTAGGAGGCTATCAATTTTATTATCTTTTCAAAGAAACAATTTTTATATTTGTTGCCTTTTTCTTTGGTATGTTTGTCTTCTATATTAATTTCTGCTTTTATTTTTGCTTGCTTCCTCCCCAACTCCTGATTTTCCTAGGGTTTGGTTTTCTATTCTTTATTTAAAACATTTTTTGAGATGTATACTTAGCTATTCCTCTTTTTTAATACACATATTTAAGCTGCATCCAAATGTTTACGGGTGTGGTGCTCTGTGTGTGTGTGTGTGTGTGTGTGTAGGTGTGTGTATGTAATATCTAGTTCATTTACATTTACCATAATATTAACTGAATTACTATTTGTTTTCTATTTATCTTACCTCAGCTTTCTTGCCTTTTATTGATTAATCACTTTATAAATTATCCTTTCATTGTCATCACTTATTAAGTTGTCAACTTTACTGTTTTTTTGTGGTTCCTCTAAAAATCAAAACACACATCCTTAACTTCTTCCAGTGTGATATAATTTAGTACTTTTACCACTTCTGAAAAAATCTAGGATTTTATCACACTTTAGTCCTATTTATCTTCTTCTTGCCTGTATTATTGTTAACTTACATTTTTCTATATATATTAAACACCACAATGTATTACTATTATTGTTTTGGACTCAATATTTATTTAGATTCCTCTACTTTTTTAAACCACTGTTTTGGTTCTTCCAACTTGAATTCCCATGTTTCCATGTGGGATAATTTTCTTTATGGCTGACCATTACCCTTTAGAAGGATGCTTATTATATTTTATTTAGTGTTTCTAGTTTTTTAAGGAATTTTTACAGGATAATCCATCATATTTCCAGAAATAGAAATTACTTCTTCCTTTTCATTGGACTTACTTTTTCTGCTGCAGAATTCCTACCTTAAACTGGACAAGTGCCTAGATTTTTTTTAAATCCTGCTATTACTTTCAATGAAAATTCAGTAAGTTAGTAAAATTAATTGTTTTGAGCTAACAAGCTCAATAAGACTTCACTTATTTTTTGTAGCATGTAGTGTTGCTTAAGTATGCAGGAAATTAATTTATTTAAAAATTGTTGGAAACACATGGTTAAGTAAGGCTTGCCAAAACAGAATATACTAAAATCTAAAACACTTCATTTCTTAATCAAATATAACATTTATTTTTTTTATAGTTGTAAAGTTCTTTTCTCCTAATATCCTTATAACTGCTTTGAATTTTCGCTTAATACACTGTGCTGCTTCATTTCTGTTTGCTTTTGTATTTTATTAATTTTGTCCCCTGAAACATCACCTACTTTCTTGTCTGGCAGATTTGTAATAGTAGCAATTGTTGTTATTTTCTTTCTTTCTTCGTTCCATTAGAGGGGAAAAAGGAGAGCCCAGGAAATGTTACCTGACAAAACCGTGTTTTGAGTCTATAATAGCATCTACCCTGTTACTTCCTGAGATACTACACACAGGGTCATGGTGTCAGAAATGATGTCAAAAATCTCTATTAGCAAAAATCCCTTCTGCAACCATAATATACTAACTTGGAAGATTGTTATGCTGTTTCTCCCCCTCAGGCTTCATTTGGCATGTGAAATTTATAAACATTGCTGCTGTCTCAGGTCTGCATGTTAGAAAAATACATGTCTTTGAAGAATCTGACAGACTGGCCAAAACCAAATTTTATTTCTATTATAAAACAAGTCTTGTCTGTTTGGATTTATTATATGTAATTAGGGGCTTAGTGGAGTCTAATGAAGGCTGTCTGTACATCGCCACTGTTGCAAAAACGTATCTTTGACGATCAATATTTCGTGTGTAGAATAGAATTAATTTTGTGTGTTAGATATATTTTGGTATTCAGGGATCGTCAGACCTTTGGTTTAAGGAAGTTTGATGGGGTTACCGTGGACTCCATTGTTCAAATGAAAAGTTCAGAATAGAGAGTATAATGGAATTTGGAATCTATTCTATCTGCTTTTGAATATGGCCCAGCTATTATATTAATACCAAGACAGATAGGACAGAGCTGGCCCTATGTGCAGTTTTTCTTACTCTGAAGCCAGCTACATGAAGAATTTTTATGTTTTGTTTTGGAAAAGCAGGTAGATTATTTTCTTGGTTCATCTTTGTTTCGCAGAGGTAAAATTAGAGGCTTCAGCCTCCTGCTGGCAGAACAAGCTCTCAATTTCTCGCTGTCGAAATTCAATCTGATTTCTATCTTTTTCACTAAAAAGCTGTCAACAGCAAATAAGCATTCCCCATCAAAGAGTCACATTCATTTCTGAGGTATACAAATTCCTCTCATGGGAGAGAATTCAAGTAATTTAAATTGTTTCTGACTTTTAATTTCTTTCTTAGGAAATGGGAAATGATATTAGCATAGACTCTAACTACAGGCCAAAATGGAAGAAGAAAAGGCATGCATGGATACTCCCTAGTGTGACATCTCCAGGACCTTTAAGCCTCAGAGTGCAGCATGTTTACAATGCATAAAACAGGATTTGTATCTGCATTCTCATTTGCAGCTAGTGATCTAATCAGAGCTATCACTGCATGCTCTTAAAATGCATCAACATAGACTCATTTTTTAGTGGCAGACTTGCTATAGGAGTGTGTACTGCCAGCATAACAGAGGAAATGCTTTTGAAATTAAATGTATTTTTCTTTCTTAGAATTCTTAGAGTTTAGTTTGGGAAATGGCCTTCTCTTTGGAAAAAGATGAAATTCTAGGTAACATACTCTGCCATATAAAGCCATTTTACACAGTGGCTCTTTCTTTCCTGTTTTCTTATTTTTGCTTTATTTATTTTTTAAAAAATTTATTTAAGGTAAGGGTTTAATAAAGTACATTGGTTTATAGCTGTGCCTTTATGATGAGCAAATGTATTACTTTGGTTATAGAACCTCTTTAAATAGGCTTGTAAAAATGTGAGCATTTTGGTTTTAAACTGTAAATTTCCTTCTTTTATTTTCTTCTGCCAGTTTATGCAAACATTCATAATCTCAGAATCTCATAATTGGGATAACAAGTGGTAAGCACTGTGTACACGTGCAAATGAATAAGCTACCAATCACAGTTAGAGAAAATCTCCCCCGCTGTACAAATGCATTTGATAGTATTTAGAGAAGAAGCAGCATTTAAGAAGATTCAGAGTGAACTAGAAGTCTACTGCAATAGTTATCAGATGACTTCCAGAACTTTTAAAGTCCTTATACCCTTCTTAGGAGAGCTATGATTAGTCAAGGTACCACTTAAAATGAAGATACCTAGAATTGAACAAAAATTGCAAATTGTGTTTCATCACACAGGATAAAATGCAATCTTTCTGTCTTATTTGATCCCGTGTAGGGGTGTGTGTGTGTGTGTGTGTGTGTGTGCATACAAATGTGTGTGTATGCTGGGTTCTTTTATTTATTCAGTATAATTTTTGAAGACCTAGGAGGTTTCTGGCAGTGAGCTAAGCACTAGATGGTACTGAACAAGCATGAACAAGGCTGAATCTTGTAGTACTGAGTAGGGAGGACATCATTACACATGTGATGCATTTTAACCGTGGAGAAGTGAAGGACATTAAAAGCAGCATGTAATAGGTATAACTAATCCCCAGCTGGGGTTAGGTGTGTAAACAACCTATTGATGAGGAAGCCTCAGGTGGATAACTGTGAGACCATTTGTTCAACAGGTACCTGCAGGAGAGGCTGAGTGGAGGGGCAGTGAAGGCAGTCCTGAGCCTCCCTTTCCTGTCCTGAGGAATTCAGCACTGGCCCTAACTTGCATGTCCCATTCAGTATAATGGAAATCCTACAGTTAACCAAACCCACCTTCTTAAAAGGCAGGTTAGCTACCGCCTGGTTTTAGATGATCCCTAATGTTGAATTTCACATATACCACCAGTACCCTATTAGTACAGGAGTTATTAAGAAATTATTTTTAGGCAGCTAGAAAGGGTAAAAGATCTCGATGGAATTTTCCTTTAATAAAAAGCAGCCCCAAATCATTTCTTCTCTAACAAAAAGCAGCCTGAAAAGTCAGGCATAGATATGCAAACCAGGAGCTTTTATATGTAAATGTGGACAGCTGTACCTGGAAGCCAGGTACATTCAATACAGCCTCCCCTGCCCTCTTTTCCTTGTCACCAAGTGTGCTGGCATCATGGCAGCCTCCAGGTAAAACCACGTGTACAGGTATCATGGCCCCCCACCAGGTGGAGGCCACATTTGGGTAATAAAAGACTAGGGTGGGAGGGCCAGTCTTTTCCCCGGGTATGTAAATGAAACACCTGGTCAAACCAATCCCCTGAGCCCTATGTAAATAAATCACCACCCTCTCAAGTCTCTGTATAAAAACGATTGTGTTTGGCCACAAACTGGAAACCCTCTTGGGCAGTCCGCCTTCTCAGCATGAGGAAGTCTTTTCTCTCTCTGTTCTTTTTCTATTAAACTTTCTGCTCCTAAACCCATTCCTCGTGTGTGTCTGTGTCCTAAATTCTTTTTCAACTGTGGCAAAGAATCAGGGTATATCCCAGACAACAGAGCTGTTTCAATATGACATATGCACAAGAACTTGGTAAATCCAAACTGTCTTCATCTCATTCCGTTTTGAGTGATGTTTCATTACGCTTTATAGATTAGGATTCTGAAATGTTAAGGTCTCTAGAATTCTCCCTGGGAAATGGTGTTTAGTGAGGCCTTAAAGGGGAAGAAGAAGCTGTGCACATGAAGAGGGACCGAGAGAAAGAAAGAATTCAAGGAAGGTGGACTAGCATGCGCGAAGGCCCTGAGGTAGGAAAGGGCAGCTGCTTTATTCCTTTTTATTCTACTTATTTATTTATCTATTATTATGATGTTATTTATGTATTTTAAAAATTCTATTTATGCTGTATTCAAATAGGTCAAAGGAGGGACAGAGAGAGAGGAGGAGGTTGGCTTGAGATGAAGCTAGAAGAATGGGCAAACTTCACTTCTCTTTGTTCATTTGTACCCCAAGTTGTATTCATCCCTTTCTGCCCTGCTGTGGTCTCTGCAAACTTGACCCTTGCAGACTGCAACGCCCAGACTCCTTTGCTGGCTGGTGGATTGTTGGATTTGGCTGAGAAGATGCAATGGCAATACACTGAAGTTTGGAGGGAAAGTTGGGTTGAAGTGTGTCTCTTCTGACTCCCTCCTTGCCTTGGTGACCTTTTAAAATTTTTATTTTAATTAAAAATTTAAAAAATAATTTCTGTTTTAGATTCAGGGGGTATAGGGTAAGTTTGTTACCTGGGAATATTGTGTGATGCTGAGGTTTGGGGTATGATTGATCCTGTCACCCAGGTACTGAGCATCGTACCCAATAGTTTTTCAACCCTTGTCCTTCCCCGCTTTTCTACCTCTAGTAGTCCACAACGTGTATTGTTGCCATCTTTATGGCCATAAGTACCCATTGTTTAGCTCCCACTTATAAGTGAGAACATGTGATACTTGGTTTTCTGTTCCTGCAATAATTTGCTTAGGATAATGGCCTCTAGCTGCATCCATGTTACTGCAAAGGACATGATTTCATGCTTTCTTATGGCTGTGTGGTATTCCATGGTATATATGTGCCACATTTTCTTTATTCAATCCACTTGGTCCCTGTTTTCAGGCAAGAACTGCATCCTACCAGTTCCCTCTGGAGACCTCTCCTTCATGGCTTCAGCTCTCATTGGGCTCCTGGAACATACTAGCTTTGGCTTTAGGGATATTAACATCTTCATATTATTGTAGTTCCTCATTGCCCCACCATCTTTAGTCTGTTCCCTAAACTATGCCTATACTCCTGTAAGCAGTCCCTAAATCAAAATAACTTCATTTGAATAATATGTAATCTGTTTTATATGTAGATCCCAATTCATTCAGATGGGTTTTAAGGCTTTACACCTGAGGGTATATCTCTTAAATTCAATAAAAGTACCACTTTTCTTAATTCATTCAAGATTTTTGACTCCCTCCTGTTGTAGCCTATAAAGAGATGGAAGCTTAGACAGCCTCATAATTGCTCTTATTCTTCTTTCTGGTATGACTCGTATATAAGGCTGGCTAAAGGCAAACTGCAAGGTTGGAGGAAGAGCTTCCATGCCTCCTGATTCCCTCTTCTCTCTTCCTATCTGGAAGGCCATTCCTGACCTGTTACATTGCTATTGTGTGCTAAGCTAAGGAAATTAAAAAATTGATGCTGAAAGTGACAGACATTTCCAGACTGGCAGCCAACACATATGATATACAGCTCCATAATAGAATATATGTGGTTTATGATGAATTAGTAAGTGATTCCTTTTTTCAGGGGAGGAATCTTACAAGATTCTTGGTGCTAATAACTAGGTTCAGGATATGGTATCTCAAATGTACCTCACTTGTAAGGTAAGTCACAAAAAATTTGTTACCATTTCTAGTTAAACTATTGAAGCTTGCAAATAATTACCTATGGATTCATGGTTATGCTGTAATAATAGAACCTTTCTTGAATTCTGCAATGCTCTCTTGAGGCAGAGAAAAAGCAATTAAGATACAGCTAATGTGCAGGGAATTGTACAGAACCCCAGTCTGCTTTGTCTATGTCACAGCAGTGAATCGGAGTGGTGAGTCAGGTATTTAGCACTTTGGAATAAAAAGACCAAGAACTACTGCCTACATATTTAACTATAACTACAGGCATAGTTTCTCATTTTGTGAAAAGTATGCAAAGAGGTCTTATTGTATTTTTGTGGGGCAGAGTAGATGGTAAAGAATAAAAATCATCCATAAACCATTAATGTTTGCATTTAGAAGCTTCAGGAGTGTGGGGACCTAGTTTGTTTTCTTCACTGCTGTGACCCCACTGAGTAGGCTAATACCTGGCATATATCACAAACACACTAAGTATTTGTGGAAAGAAGGGAGACTTGGACAGTCTCCTTTTGCAGGACGCACATAATCTCTTCCTCCTCAACCTCTCTGCCTAAGCTGTAAGATATGGGCATAAGAGAATAGATTTTAGAGGCCAAGAAAGCTGCTGGTATCCAAATCTGCCCCTCATTCGATGTGCCATCTCATGTGATTTAACTAATTTTGAGATCCTCAATTTTTTCATCGATTCTTCTGTGAAATAAGCTACCAATATTTACTTCACCATGTTATGAGTCAAATAACATGAGGTATGTGGAAATACAAGTAAGAAGCATTAGGTAGATGACATCATTATTATTTATGTCACCATATGAGTTTATGAGCAAACTGTGTATTTGTAACCTCTGTAGCAGGAGAAACTGACAGATGTTTCCCAATACTGATAGGGTCATTGGGATGGAAGAACTAACTGTTCAGGCCAGTCTTGTGGGAAAGTGACGATCTGAGAAACAGAGATTTATACCAAGACCAGGGCCTTTTTTTTCCTCCTGTATTTTACTAAATATGGGTTAAAGTTGGTTCTGATTAAAGGAAATAATATGTTTTATTAGTTTGGTTCAAGTAATTCTTCATTTCAGGGAAAAAACTCAAATTATTTTCATGAGAAGACGCATAAGAGACTGGGGAGAGCCCTAAGAACTAGGAACTCTAAGTCTCAACTTCTTAAGTGCTTTGCTGAATCAAGTTTTTCATCTGTAAAATGGGTATAAAAATTCCTGCCTGCAAAGGACATGAACTCATTCTTTTTTATGGCTGCGTAGTATTCCATGGTGTATATGTGCCACATTTTCTTTATCCAGTCTATCATTGATGGGCATTTGGGTTGGTTCCAAGTCTTTGCTATTGTGAACAAGGACATGGATGAAGCTGGAAACTATCAGTCTCAGCCAACTAATACAGGAACAGAAAACCAAACACTGCATGTTCTCACTCATAAGTGGGAGTTGAACAATGAGAACATATGGGCACAGGGAGGGGAACATCACACACTGGGGCCTGTAGCGGGGTGGGGAGCAAGGGTAAGGATAGCATTAGGAGAAATACCTAATGTAGATGACAGGTTGATGGGTGCAGCAAACCACCATGGCACATGTATACCTATGTAACAAACCTGCACATTCTGCACATGTATCTCAGAACTTAAAGTATATATATATATATATTTATATATATATAAAATTCCTGCCTTCAAAGGATACGAACAGACACCTCTCAAAAGAAGACATTCATGCAGTCAACAGACACATGAAAAAATGCTCATCATCACTGGCCATCAGAGAAATGCAAATCAAAACCACAATGAGACACCATCTCACACCAGTTAGAATGGCGATTGTTAAAAAGTCAGGAAATAACAGGTGCTGGAGAGGATGTGGAGAAATAGGAACACTTTTAGACTGTTGGTGGGGCTGTAAACTAGTTCAACCATTGTGGAAGTCAGTGTGGCAATTCCTCAGGGATCTAGAACTAGAAATACCATTTGACCCAGCCATCCCATTACTGGGCATATACCCAAAGGATTATAAATCATGCTGCTGTAAAGGCACATGCACACGTATGTTTATTGCAGCACTATTCACAATAGCAAAGACTTGGAACCAACCCAAATGTCCATCAATGATAGACTGGATTAAGAAAAAGTGGTACATGCACACCATGGAATACTATGCAGCCATAAAAAAGGATGAGTTCATGTCCTTTGTAGGGACATGGATGAAGCTGGAAACCGTCATTCTGAGCAAACTATCACAAGGACAGAAAACCAAACACCGCATGTTCTCACTCATAGGTGGGAATCGAACAATGAGAACACTTGGACACACGGTGGGGAACATCACACACCGGGGCCTGTCATGGGGTTGGGGGAGGGGGGAGGGATAGCATTAGGAGATATACCTAAAGTAAATGACGAGTTAACGGGTGCAGCACACCAACATGGCCCATGTATACATATGTAACAAACCTGCATGTTGTGCACATGTACCCTAGAACTTAAAGTATAAAAAAAAAAGTGTTAAAAAAAATTCCTGCCTTCTTCCCCATATAGGGCTGATGGGAGGACAATATCAAAGAATGGACTGGAATGCCGTATATTAACCTTTGGAACCCTGTACATACATATTTTAGAGGTTATCTTTCTCCCAACCCCAAATTCGATCTAGTTGATTAGTGAATCAGAATGGCTAATCCTGGTATAGTCTATAGCATGATGGTAGGTGAGGGTATGGGATTTGGCAAACACATGACATCCTACTTTCTTGCAGTATGGCCTTTCAGCTCATGAATGGTGCTTTCCACTGCAGAAGCCATGAGAACCAACATCCTCCATCCAAGAGAAGGACAGATGCCTTACTCTGGAAAAATTCCTGGGGCTTCTGGGGCTCTTAGGCTGAAAGCACAAGAGTTAAACTCTGTTGCTCATGCAGAAATCAATGCCCTGCCTTTGTTTTGTTCTAAGAGTGAGACAGCTCTGTTCTGATTGGAGTGGGATGTGTGAAGCTCTGATAGTCTGTGCCAGGCCTTGCCTGGCCAGCAATTGTGAAGGAAGCAGCTTGATAACCCCAGGTGACTGTGACAATGAAACCCACTGGGGACTTGAAAATGAGAATGTCAGTACATTGCTTCTGTTTATCTATTTCTTAAAGACAGAAGTGGGAAAGGTTTAGAGCAGATATTGTCTTGAAATGACAGAATATTTTCAAAATCCTTTCTTTTGCTGTTAAGCTAGCCCAAGATCTGGGTCTGCCATACACAGAGTGGTTTCAAACACTTTTTGACAATAGGTTCATGTGTTGATTAGAAAATCTCAGTAAATGATGCAGGTCAAAATGGCCCTGCTCCAATTGAAGAGGAATAGAGACCAGTGGTTTGGTCTCTGACTACATTATTTTCCCAATGATTATCATCTCTAAGATGGAATCCTATTAGCTTTGTCCACTCTGCTCAGGTTTTCCAGCCCACCTATCGCTTCATTGAAATGATTTCCTTTCCTGATGGAACTCTCAGGTTGAGTCATGAGGGACTTGGAGGCTCAAGACTATGATGACCTTATCTCTTATCTCCACAGTGCATAGTACACTGCCTGGCAGACAGGGAGGTCGGTGGGCACTTACTGAATTTATCTGGCTTTTTCATCCTGTTTACCATTTTATTACCTGAGTTGTTTCCCATTCTTCTGTTCATCCCTAGAATGTGTCTATTCCCTGAATTCTTGGCTCTTTTAGGTCTAGATTGTCCTGCTAATGTTGAGACTTGCAATAAAACACTAAGATATAATATCTGGGTGGAGAGTTTGAAACCACTGGGGATAGATGGAGGTCCTGAATGCCAAGCAGAACATGACTAGGTATTAAATAAGACTTCTTTCCACAGATTATCATTCAAGCTTGTCTGTGTCCACTCAATGAACATTTATTGAGCACCTACTGTGTGTCTGGCACCCACTATTATAGCTGATGGAAATACAGCAGAAAATAACACAAACATCCCTACTCTTCAGAGCTTACTTTCTAGTTCAGGGAAACAAATACAAACAACACTAAAACATGAACAAAAAACAACAAATAGTAATGCATGCCACAGTGCTAATTAATACGGGGTGATGTAACAGGGCATCTGGGAGCCTCTTTAGATTGTGTGGACAGGAAAAGCCTCTCTGAGAGGATAAAAGGCCAAAAACTGTGTGATAAGAAGGAATAAGTCCTGCAGAGATCAGAGGAAGGGCATTTCAACAAGAGGAAGCAAGGGCCTACTGATGCTTAAGGAGGGTAGGAGTGTGGTAATTGATGAGATCAGAGAAATCTCAAGGGCCCTTGTCATGTAAGGCTCTATGAGCCAGGGCAAGCAATGCAATGTTACTCTTAATGTGATGAGAAGCCTTTGGGTGATTTTTGAAAAATCAAACTTGGCTGGGCATGGTGGCTCACACCTATAATCCCAGCATTTTGGGAGGCTGAGGTGGGAGGATTGCTTCAGGCCAGGAGTTTGAGGCCAGCTTGGGCAACACAGTGAGACCCTGTCTCTACAAATTTTTTTTTTCTTTTTAAATTAGCTGGGCATAGTGGTGCACACTTGTAGTACCGGCTACTTGGGAGGCTGAGGTGGGAGGATTGCTTGAGCCTGGGAAGTTGAGGCTACAGTGAGCTGAGATTATGCCACTGTACTCCAGCCTGGGTGACAGAGCCAAGCCCTGTCTCCAAAAAAAAAAAAAAAAAAAAAATCAAACTTGTTATTTTGAGATAATTGTAAATTCACACGTGGTTGTAAGAAATAAAAGATTCTTCATACCCCACACCCAATTTCCTGCAATGTTAACATTTTACAATATTGCAATGTAGTATCACTACCACATGCATATCGACATTGATATAATCCACCGATCTTATTTAGATTTCCTGTTTTACTTGTATTCATTTGTGTGTGTGCGTGTGTGTGTTTGTGTGTATTCTATGCAATTTTATCACAAGTGGAGAGTCATGTATTCACCACCACAGTCAAGATACAGTTCTATCACCCCAAGGAGTTCCTATGTTGCCTTTTTATAGTCAGACCTATGTCCCTCCCACCCTCTTCCCCATCCTCAACCCCTGGCAACCACTAACCTGTTCTTCATTTCTATAATTTCGTCATTTCAAAAATGTTATATGTATGAAATTTTACAACATGTAACCTTTTTGGATTGGCTTTTTTCAACATCAAGTTGTTGTGTGTATCAATAATTTGTTTCTTTTCATTGCTGAGTAATATTACATGGTACGGATGTACCACAGGTTATTTAATCATTCACCCACTGAGTTGTTTTCAGTTTTTGGTTATTATGAATAAAGCTACTTCGAATGTTTGTATGCAGGTTTACGTGTGAAGATATGTTTTCATTTCTCTTGGATAAATGCCTGAGTGCAGTCGCTGGATTATATGGTAGTTGCATGTTTAGTTTTTTAAGAAAGTGACAGCTTAGTTTCCAGAGTCATTGGGAGATTTTAAGTAGGGGATGATTTGATGTATTATTGTTAGTTTTTGTTAAGACCATTCTAGATGCTCTTTGGGATATAGAGTGTAAGGTTGTCAAATAGAAGCAGAGATACCAGCTCTGAGACCAGGAGGACAAAGATGATGGCTTGGGCTAGAGAGGCATTAATGGAGATGAAGAGCAGTAGACTTGACTTCAGGCAAGCAGTTTACCTTCCCAGAGCCTTCGCTGACTCTTAACATCCACATCTGTGAAAGGATAACAGAACATCCACCTCATAGGATGTAGAGGCCTGAAAATCAAACACACAGAGGGCTTGACACATATTAGGAGCCCAGAAATTAGGAGCTATCATCTCTGAGTTTAGTTTCTATTTTAATATGTGCAGGTTCCCTACTGCCTTTTTTTTTTTTTTTAAATACCTTATGCCTGAATTGCTTAGGGATTTCTTGTTTGTTTGTTTTCTGCTAACTTATAAAAAAGAGGCCAAATCTGTGCCTTTAATAATAGATGCTTCACCTTTACAAAGCTCTCTGGAGAATGAGATTTGAGACAGAATTCCTTTTTTTTTTTTTTGTTTTCATCTTGCTGTGCTTCCAACTGCTTGCAACATTCTCTCTGCTGCAGAACCCCACACTCACAATATTTTTTTACACTTATGCTGATAAAAGGATTCCAGGTTTTATGGAGAATAAAACAGTAACTACAGCTGGTGGGAGACAGTAATCTAGTTAGTCACACCAAGATTGGAATTCAAGTGATTGGAAAACTGAACATGGAACTCAGTGTGTGAGCTGACAACCTCAAGGGCACAATTATGAAGACCTTGTCTGATTCCCTCTGATTGCTGGATTTCTGAGAGGAAATTGGCAATGTAGGAAGTAGTGTATGGAGCATCTACAATGTACAGCACTTCTCACATACTTCATTTTATTTAATTCTCCATCTAATTCTACCTGGTAGTTATATGTCTCCCCATTTTACATGTACAAATTTAAGGCTGAGAGAAATGAAATAATTTGCTTAACACTAGTTGTGTTAGTGGCAGTAAATCTGTACAGGTCTACAGCAACTGCCATTCTTGCCTCCTCAGAAGAAAGAATTCCACTGAAGGTATAATAAGGCAGAGTGAGAGACTGAGGCAAGTTTTAGAGCAGGAGTGAAAGTTAATTAAAAAGCTTTAGAGTAGGAACGAAAGTGATGCAGGATTTTTCTTCTTGGTCACTTTGCAAGCTGGGGACTCCTGGCCAGCAATGCCCCACCTGGGCCTTGCTCGGCCATGCTGTGTGCCTCAGCTTGCCTGTGTTACAGCTTGTACCTGCGTTTGGTGATTCCCAAGCTCTTGTACTGTGCCCAAGAAGAATGAGGATATGCAGGACATTGGAGGGTGAGGAGGGCAGAGAAGAATTTTATTGAGTGATGAAAACAGCTTTCATTGGAGAGGGGAGGGTAGGGTAGGGGGAAGGATGGTTCCCCGGTGTTTCTGGGTCTGAGACTCTTTATGGACTCAGGATGGGGAGTGCATGCTGATTGGTTTGTAATTATGCAAAAAAGGTTAAAGTGAAGACACCACTCAAAGGTGGGCATGACAGTGTAGAAAAACCAATTAGGAAAGGGTCGGTATATGTAAAATAAGTGAAGGGTGGGGACCAATTAGAGGAAAGTGCACCAAATGGGAAGACAAGTTCTCAATCTGGTCTGAGGATTTAACTTGCAGCTTGGCTTTCAGGCTTTCAACTCTCTTCAGCTTGGAAGTGGGGTTTAGTGGGGGACCCACCCCTATCTGTCTAGGCATTGTCTGCCTCTATCAAAAGGAAGTAAAGTACACTTGGAAGAAGGCCAAGGGGGCAACTTTAGAGATCAAGTACATGGTTTGACCTTTGACTTGGGGTCTTATACATTGGCATTCCACATGCACAGTGGCCTGGCAGCACTTGGGAGGGGCTGCATGTGTGGTGTGTTTACTGGAGGTGTTTGCATGCTTGTGTTCTTCCCTTACCAGTCGAGTGTTCCTGTAAGGTCATATAGCAGTTAAACTTTACCATTTTGCCTCTTAGTGCACATGCTTGAACCCAGTTACCCAACTCCTGAGATCTTATCAGGAAGCTGATCACCAGTTTCAGGTTTTTCTATCTATTGGGAGACTGCCTTTCTCTGGTACTGGCTGCAACCAATTATTATTTTAGAGAGACAGTTTAATAACTGCTTGAGCATTACCTGATGGTCATCTGAGAGTCCTGGTTGGCAGAGGAGGGCACTCTCCTGCCCTGCTCATGTCTGCCTGACTCTCTACTGTAACAGTTGCAACACTAGTAATTTGTAGAGTCAAGATTTAAGTGAGTTCTGTCTATGTTCAACATTTGTTCTTTCTTTTATCACGTGCAACGGTAGGTCTGAAGTATCTGAGCCTCTTTCCTACTTTCTGTAATCATGTTAATTAGGACTCTTTAGTCTTGGTGATAGAAACTCAACTCTAAATTGGCTTCAAATTAAAAGGGAATTTATGGGCTGACAACAAAAAATATTAGTTTCAGATGTAGCTAGATCTAGATGCTCAGATAATGTCATAAGAAGCTAGCTTTCTGCATTCCTAGATTCTGCAAATTTCATTTTGCTTTCATATTCAGGCAGGCTCTCAACTCAAAATGGTTCCAAAACACTGATGACTCATTTTAATTTTTTTCACTTTCCAAGTGTGTGGAGAAGGCTTCTTGCCCAATTCCTTTAGAAAAGTTCTGAGATTGACTTTGACTAGATGTGGGCTTATACCAATCCTGAAATAATCACTTTGGCCAAAAAGTGGAACTAAATGATTGCCGAGACCTAAGATCTGGACCCATTTCCCCTGAATATAGGAAATGGATCAAACCATATAAACACAAAAGAGGAAAAGAGGTGGCTTCTTGAGAAAAATATTGAGGTATGATAATCATAAACATGGCAGATGAACATTCAGTAGGTAGAAACAATGAAAGGCCACTATAATACTCTTATTAATACCATCTTACCAAAAATTTTCCCCCTTCCCTCCCACCTCTTATTTCCCCCTTTGTTTTATTTTCTTATAAAGAAACATTTAATAGGGACTTAGGAACAAAAGCCTTATCTGTGTCTCTGGCAGCTAGAGACTAGGTGGTGGATTATGCACCATTACCTACCAGACCCAGGGATTACATACCGTAAAGGAGAGGCACACATACTTCGGAGGGGATAGATAGGAATTTGCCCTAAGAGCAGTATTCAAGGTTTGTATTAGGCCATTCTTGTATTGCTATAAAGGAATACCGGAGACTGGATGATTTATAAAGAAAAGAGGTTTAATTGGCTCATGGTTTTGCAGGCTTTATAGGAAGCATGGTACTGGCATCTGCTTGGCTTCTAGGGAGGCCTCAGGAAGTGTACAATCATGGTTGAAGGTGAAGGGGGAGCAGGACTATCACATGGCACAAGCAAGAGCAATTGATGGGGGTGGTGGCTGGGAGATGCAATACACATTTAAATGAACAGATTTTGAAAGAACTCACTATTGCGAAGACAGTACCAAGCCATAAGGGATCAGCTCCCATGCCCCAAACATCTCCTACCAGGCCCCACTTCCAGCCTTGGGGACTACTATTTGACATGAGATCTGGGCAGGACAAATATCCAAACTCTATCAAGGTAAGTAACTGCCCTTACACAGGGAATAATAGATAAACCGGACATTTCAGAGGCCTTCCTGGAACTGAGGTTAGTCAGAAGCAAACATGGTGGATTAGCGTCCAAGATGGAGATGCTTCAGCCTCTACATTCCTCCCCCTAATCTGGCTCTTACAATCTCATGCACCTTCCTCTTCTGCGGTGGTCTTTGAGACTTTGGGGAGGGTGCTTGATATGTTACAGCTTTAGCAGCAATGCACTGGCAATGGAAAACAGATCAGGCCTAGTGGGATTCCAAATGGGGTAGATTCACAGGCTGTTGAATCATTTCTTGTCTTCAGTTTTCTCAGAAGAACTGAAACAATGAGAGATACATAACGTTAATAATTTGATTAGTAGAAATATAATGCACACAAGGACTAGAATCAAAAGAGAGTTTGTTGCAAGCACAACAACAACAACAAGGAACACTTTTCATTAAGGAGCCAACTAAAAGCGTCATGAAGAAAAGTAAAACTTGGTTCTATTTAGAGATTTCTTGTAGTCAGGAAATAATTCAGGGTTAGCCCAAATTGTAGGCAAATGATAAAAAACTCACACCATGGTCAGGGCTAGAATCTAAATTTTCTCTCTATCTAGTTTCCCCATTTCTACTAAGAATAAATAATAGTAGGAACAATTTATTTGCAAACTAAATTTTGGTTTCATTATGCTTGGCCTGATTATTTGCATCAAGTGTAGCAAGAATAGTGATCAGCCCTATAGGCTCTTTTTAAGTTAGCTTTGCTGGAACTTATAAAAGAAATTTTGGATTCAACTTTTTAAAAGCCTCAAGGCCAGAAGCTAAGCCAAGGATTCACTATTAGCCTATTCTTATAATACCTGTATGAATTCCTTTCTTCAGGAGGTCCTAAAATATCTTGAGGTTCCTGGGTCTGTTAGTAAGTGACATTCTTTATTTACTACAGGTCAGAAGCCTTGTAAGGGAACAATTTAGATGAGGTACTAGGCCAGACTTTCCAAGGGGCTTTTATTAGCTCTATACAGTCAACCTCACTTCCTCAGTCTGGTCATATCTGAACGTATGTCATTCCAGTCAAAGCCTTGGTAAAAGAACCAGTGTCTTCAATTTTGTCCTATTACAAAAGAAAGCAGATTCTTACTGAACTTATGTGAATAACTACATTACCATAAAATAAGAATATTCACAAATAGTTTCCAAAATTCGGAGAACTCAGCTACAGAGAAAAGTAAATTTTGCTCACAAAAGTATACTTTATCCAACTTCTCTAAGCTATAAATATCTCAAAAGAAAAAGGTTTTCTTGACTCTTTTTCGATCAGAGAAGCAGCCTTCCGAACAGGATGTTGTCCATTCACCTTGGAATTGCCATCCACAAGCCAAGCAGCTCTGTCAGGTGAGAGCTGTTTATCAGGCACTGTAGAAACCAGCAGTTCCTTACACAGTTCCAGAGTCAGTCCTAGGGGAAAAAATGCTCCCCACTTGTAAATATCTCCTCCTTGCACTCTCCAGGGAGTAAGTCCCTATGTAAATGATTTCCACCTTATCATGGAACTCTTTTCTTCCTTTCCTTCTATAATGCTCACTAAGTGCACATAAATTATTTTTTGGATCCTTTTTTGTACATTACAAAATAGATGAGAAGTGTTTATTGGCCAGACATAGTTTCTCATGCCTGTAATCCCAGCACTTTGGGAGGCCAAGGTGGGTGAATCACTTGAGGTCAGGAGTTTGAGACCAGCCTGGCAAACATGGCAAAACCCTGTCTCTACTAAAAATACAGAAATTAGCCGGGTGTGGTGGTGCATGCATAGTCCCAGCTACTTGAGGGGCTGAGGTGGGAGGATAACTTGAACTCAGGAGATGGAGGTTGCAATGAGCCAAGATCACACCATTGCACTCCAGCTTGGGTGACAGAGTGAGACACTGTCTCAAAAAAAATGTTTATTATCTTTATTCTCATCTTATACAGTAGGTCATTGAGACCTATACAACAAAATGATCTTTTTTTTCCCTACTAGAATTTGTCCATGGAGGAAATATAGTGAGAACTGGTAACATTCTGTGACATTTATATGTCTAAACAAGAAAGGGATAATCATTTTTGTCCATGAGAGATCAAACCTGGGACTTTGACCTCATTATCACTGAGCTACTAGCTCTTTGGAAATATAAGGCAGTGAATGGTATTAGAGAATCAATGCGCATCCCAAATGTCTAATGTGTTACTAGACTGAGAAGGCCCAGGGGCAAATGTGCCTCATTCTGTATCTACAATATGAGTTATATGTCATTAGGAGCCCTTAGAGAGGATTTATAAAGAAACACACACTATGTAGTTAAAAGGGAACCCTGTTTTTTAATACATTGTTGACTGTTTTTCACATTGAGGGAATTGATGCTTAGTCCAGAGAAGCTATAGATGTGTTTCGGGCATAACAGAATGGGATCTGTGGTTCTTCTGGAAGGGCGATAAATCACAGGCACCATTAGCCTAGCTCTCCTTGATCAAAAGGTGTGTCATGGTGAGCTTAGAAAATGAACCACCATTACCTAGTGTGATTACGAATCTGGGGTTTAACAGGCTTTTTACTGAATCATCTACAGCTTTAAGAGATGTCTTTTTTTTTCTGAGGTTTGTGCTATAAAAAATGTAGAATCACATAAAATATCAAATATTAGCTAATTTTTCTTCACTTTCTATTATAATTAACCTATCAAAAGGCAGCATACTTCTTGTGAACAGTCCTTCATTTAAGATACACTTGAAGTGTATCTTAAATTTACTTCTTAAATCTAAATCTTAAATTTACTTCAAGAAATATTTGTTGTGTACTTTGTGTCTGTCAAGTACTTAAGTTAAAATGGTAAATAAGACACATGTGGCTTATGCTCTCACAAAGTTTATAATCTGGATTGGGATGGGTAAAAGAATAATGTAAGGATACAGGCTGAATCTGGAGTCTCTTACTGGAAAATGGTAAAGTCTTTGGCCTTGGTTTTCTTATCTTAAAGTAAATATTACTTCCTATGGAAATAAAACTAAATAGACAATTACTTTAGAATGCCTGCTATGTGGCAAAAATTAGGATATCAGATTTCTTAGCACTCTTCCTACTTTCTACCATTCTGTCTTTACAACTTATCTTTCTCTTTTTCCTCCCTTTCCATTGATCAGAAACTGAAAGCAAAACTTGCTCTCTCAGTTGGGAGCAGTCACTCTGCTCAGATTCTTCTACAATCTCCCTATACCAGGACTTACTGACTGAGTGAAAGATGCGGCGATGGAGCACAGACATGCCCACCTTAGAGGAAATATATATTTTTCCTCAAAGGAAAAGAAGCATCTTAAATCTAGGGAGCATTAATGCACTTATTTTTTAAATCTAGGAGGAATCTTTATAATCATCTACCCAGATATATATCAGAGCCATCTTGAGGATCTGGTTAAAACACACATAAAATGTCTGATGCAGTAAATCTGGGTTGGGCTTTTCTCTTTAAAAAATGTTCACCACTGTGATATATCCACACAATGGAACATTGTTCAGTGTAAAAAAGAAACAAGTTACCAAGACATGAAGCAGACCTGGAGGAACTTTAAGTGCATTTTGCCAACTGAAAGAAGTCAATCTGAAAAGACTACATACTGTACATTTTCAACTATGTGACATTCAACTATGTGACATTCAACAATGGAGACAATAAAAAGATCAGTGGTTTCCAGGGGTTTGGGTGGAGGCAGGAATGAATAGGTGGAGCACAGAGGATTTTTAGGACAGTGAAAATACTCTGTATGTTACCATAATGATAGATTTGTGCCATTGTACATTTCCCAAAACCCACAGAATGTACAACAGAAAGAGTGAACTCTAATATTAACTATGGACTTAGGTTGATAGAAATACGTCAGTGTTGGTTCATCGGTGGTAACAAATGTACCACATTAGTGCAGCGTGTTGATGGTAGGGGAGTGTCTGCAGGAGCTATGTGGGAACTCTCTGTACTTTCCACTAAACCTGACTGTGAACCTAAAATTGCTTTAAAAGATAAAAATCTATTCATCAGCAAGATGACAGAATAGAATAGGTGTTCTCTAGCTTCACTCTCCACAACATAAATTCCACTAGCAACTATCCACTGGCAAGAATATCATTGCGAATACCCTAGAACTCGAGAGTGAGGCTGAGACAGCCTCTTGAACTATAAATCTGAGAGAAGCCATGTTAAATGGTAAGAGGAATGGCTCTCTTTGACTGCATTGCCCCTGCTTCAAGCTGGCACAGGGCCACACACAGAGAATTCCTCCAGACCCAAGGTTTTTACAGTGGGAGTAGTGAGCTGGAGGTAGACATTCAGCTTTCCACTATTCTGAGACCTTTTTTTTAGTGGAGGCTCAGTCTTGTCTTATCCTACAGGAAACATTGGGAGTACCAGCCAGGCTGGACCACCTATGGTCAGTGAGAAACAAAGAACAAGGGTGGGCTTCACAGTGGTCAGTGCAGATCTTGGCAGTTGCTTTGCATTTTGGCAGCTGAAGGTACCACACCAGACAAACTAGCCAACAAAATCAGGCTGTAGGAAACACGGTCCTTTGGTCTTCTGGCCTTGAATACCTAGCCAGCTTCCCCATACAGCTCAGGTGCTCTTGTTAAGGCTTCCCCAGGTCAAGAGGCAACTGCAGGTTAGAGATTACCCTCAGAGGGAGCACTTCGCCCTGCCCAGCCCTGGTAGCATAGAGGTAATCCAAATAAGTCCTGGTGCTCTCATTAAGTCTTCCCTAGACTGGGAGGCAACTTCAGGTCTGCAGAGGGAACATCTGGCCCTATCCAACCTCAGCTGATGAGTGGCAACTCCATCAAACTTGGTGCTCTACTTAAGCTTATCCTAGGCTGGGATATAAGCCCAAGTCCACACGTATTTGTGGAGCATAGCCTCTGGCCTGCCCTCCCATGTCTCTGAGCAGCAATTTCAGAAACCTCACTCAGTCTCAAAGCCCAGGACATAGCCAACTATGGATTCCAAACAATAGTACTGTCTAGACGGAGAAGACAGCCTGCCTGATTTGAGATGTTCACAGAGTCCAGTTATCAGCTTCACGTAATGGCAGAGTCAAGTCAGTGGTTCCACCAAACCATGGAGCACAACTAGTTTATTCAAGCTCAGAATATAGAAACTGACCCAGTCCAACTAGAGAACCTGACATCAAAGTCTGACTGTTCAGGATTGCTACCAGTGGCTTATTTAGAATGTCAGGGCAGACTAAATACTAAAGGTATGTCACCACTAAAGCACACTTGCAAAGGCCAAGAGGTGGTCATATCCTCAAATGTGCAGGCATTAATGTAAAGATACAGGGATTATGAAAAATCAGGGAAATATGACATTACCAAAAGAAACTAATAAGGCTCCAATGAAAGACCCAGAATAAATGGAGATCTATGAAATTACTGACAAAGAATTCAGAATAACCGTCTTTTTTTTTCCTGTGATAAATAATCTTTTTTTTTATTATTATACTTTAAGTTTTAGGGTACATGGGCACAATGTGCAGGTTAGTTACATATGTATACATGTGCCATGCTGGTGCACTGCACCCACTAACTCGTCATATAGCATTAGGTATATCTCCCAATGCTATCCCTCCCCACTCCCCCCAACCCACAACAGTCCCCAGAGAGTGATGTTCCCCTTCCTGTGTCCATGTGTTCTCATTGTTCAGTTCCCACCTATGAGTGAGAATATAAGGTGTTTGGTTTTTTGTTCTTGTGATAGTTTACTGAGAATGATGATTTCCAATTTCATCCATGTCCCTACAAAGGACATGACCTCATCCTTTTTTATGGCTGCATAGTATTCCATGGTGTATATGTGCCACATTTTCTTAATCCAGTCTATCATTGTTGGACATTTGGGTTGGTTGCAAGTCTTTGCTATTGTGAATAATGCTGCAATAAACATACCTGTGCATGTGTCTTTACAGCAGCATGATTTATAATCCTTTGGGTATATACCCAGTAATGGGATGGCTGGGTCAAATGGTATTTCTAGCTCTAGATCCCTGAGGAATTGCCACACCGACTTCCACAATGGTTGAACTAGTTTACAGTCCCACCAACAGTCTGAAAGTGTTCCTATTTCTCCACATCCTCTCCAGCACCTATTGTTTCCTGACTTTTTAATGATTGCCATTCTAACTGGTGTGAGATGGTATCTCATTGTGGTTTTGATTTGCATTTCTCTGATGGCCAGTGATGGTGAGCATTTTTTCATGTGTTTTTTGGCTGCATAAATGTCTTCTTTTGAGAAGTGTCTGTTCATGTCCTTTGCCCACTTTTTGATGGGGTTGTTTGTTTTTTTCTTGTAAATCTGTTTGAGTTCATTGTAGACTCTGGATATTAGCCCTTTGTCAGATGAGTAGGTTGTGAAAATTTTCTCCCATTTTGTAGGTTGCCTGTTCACTCTGATGGTAGTTTCTTTTGCTGTGCAGAAGCTCTTTAGTTTAATTAGATCCCATTTGTCAATTTTGGCTTTTGTTGCCATTGCTTTTGGTGTTTTAGACATGAAGTCCTTGCCCATGCCTATGTCCTGAATGGTAATGCCTGGGTTTTCTTCTAGGGTTTTTATGGTTTCAGGTCTAACATTTAAGTCTTTAATCCATCTTGAATTGATTTTTGTATAAGGTGTAAGGAAGGGATCCAGTTTCAGCTTTCTACATATGGCTAGCCAGTTTTCCCAGCACCATTTATTAAATAGGGAATCCTTTCTCCATTGCTTGTTTTTCTCAGGTTTGTCAAAGATCAGATAGTTGTAGATATGCAGTGTTATTTCTGAGGGCTCTGTTCTGTTCCATTGATCTATATCTCTGTTTTGGTACCAGTACCATGCTGTTTTGGTTACTGTAGCCTTGTAGTATAGTTTGAAGTCAGGTAGTGTGATGCCTCCAGCTTTGTTCTTTTGGCTTAGGATTGACTTGGCGATGCGGGCTCTTTTTTGGTTCCATATGAACTTTAAAGTAGTTTTTCCAATTCTGTGAAGAAAGTCATTGGTAGCTTGATGGGGATGGCGTTGAATCTGTAAATTACCTTGGGCAGTAAGGCCATTTTCACGATATTGAGTCTTCCTACCCATGAGCATGGAATGTTCTTCCATTTGTTTGTATCCTCTTTTATTTCATTGAGCAGTGGTTTGTAGTTCTCCTTGAAGAGGTCCTTCACATCCCTTGTAAGTTGGATTCCTAGGTATTTTATTTTCTTTGAAGCAACTGTGAATGGGAGTTCACTCATGATTTGGCTCTCTGTCTGTTGTTGGTGTATAAGAATGCTTGTGATTTTTGTACGTTGATTTTGTATCCTCAGACTTTGCTGAAGTTGCTTATGAGCTTAAGGAGATTTTGGGCTGAGACAATGGGGTTTTCTAGATATACAATCATGTCGTCTGCAAACAGGGACAATTTGACTTCCTCTTTTCCAAGTTGAATACCCTTTATTTCCTTCTCCTGCCTAATTACCCTGGCCAGAACTTCCAACACTATGTTGAATAGGAGTGGTGAGAGAGGGCATCCCTGTCTTGTGCCAGTTTTCAAAGGGAATGCTTCCAGTTTTTGCCCATTCAGTATGATATTGGCTGTGGGTTTGTCATAGATAGCTCTTATTATTTTCAGATACGTCCCATCAATACCTAATTTATTGAGAGTTTTTAGCATGAAGGGTTGTTGAATTTTGTCAAAGGCCTTTTCTGCATCTATTGAGATAATCATGTGGTTTTTGTCTTTGGTTCTGTTTATATGCTGGATTACATTGATTGATTTTTGTATATTGAACCAGCGTTGCATCCCAGGGATGAAGCCTACTTGATCATGGTGGATAAGTTTTTGCTGTGCTGCTGGTTTCGGTTTGCCAGTATTTTATTGAGGATTTTTGCCTCAATGTTCATCAAGGATATTGGTCTAAAATTCTCTTTTTTGGTTGTGTCTCTGCCAGGATTTGGTATCAGGATGATGCTGGCCTCATAAAATGAGTTAGGGAGGATTCCCTCTTTTTCTGTTGATTGGAATAGTTTCATAAGGAATAGTACCAGTTCCTCCGTGTACCTCTGGTAGAATTCGGCTGTGAATCCATCTGGTCCTGGACTCTTTTTGGTTGGTAAGCTATTGATTATTGCCACAATTTCAGCTCCTGTTATTGGTCTATTCAGAGATTCAACTTCTTCCTGGTTTAGTCTTGGGAGAGTGTATGTGTCGAGGAATTTATCCATTTCTTCTAGATTTTCTAGTTTATTTGCATAGAGGTGTTTGTAGTATTCTCTGATGGTAGTTTGTATTTCTGTAGGATCGGTGGTGATATCCCCTGTATCATTTTTATTGCGTCTATTTGATTCTTCTCTCTTTTCTTCTTTATTAGTCTTGCTAGCGGTCTATTAATTTTGTTGATTCTTTCAAAAAACCAGCTCCTAGATTCGTTAATTTTTTGAAGGGTGTTTTGTGTCTCTATTTCCTTCAGTTCTGCTCTGATTTTAGTTATTTCTTGCCTTCTGCTAGCTTTTGAATGTGTTTGCTCTTGGTTCTCTAGCTCTTTTAATTGTGATGTTAGGGTGTCAATTTTGGATCTTTCCTGCTTTCTCTTGTGGGCATTTAGTGCTATAAATTTCCCTCTACACACGCTTTGAATGTGTCCCAGAGATTCTGGTATGTTGTGTCTTTGTTCTCGTTGGTTTCAAAGAGCATCTTTATTTCTGCTTTCATTTCGTTATGTACCCAGTAGTCATTCAGGAGCAGGTTGTTCAGTTTCCATGTATTTGAGCGGTTTTGAGTGAGATTCTTAATCCTGAGTTCTAGTTTGATTGCACTGTGGTCTGAGAGATAGTTTGTTATAATTTCTGTTCTTTTACATTTGCTGAAGAGAGCTTTACTTCCAAGTATGTGGTCAATTTTGGAATAGGTGTGGTGTGGTGGTGAAAAAAATGTATATTCTGTTGATTTGGGGTGGAGAGTTCTGTAGATGTCTATTAGGTCGGCTTGGTGCAGAGCTGAGCTCAATTCCTGGATATGCTTGTTAACTTTCTGTCTCGTGGATCTGTCTAATGTTGACAGTGGGGTGTTAAAGTCTCCCATTATTAATGTGTGGGAGTCTAAGTGTCTTTGTAGGTCACTCAGGACTTGCTTTATGAATCTGGGTGCCCCTGTATCGGGTGCATGTATATTTAGGATAGTTAGCTGTTCTTGTAGAATTGATCCCTTTACCATTACGTAATGGCCTTCTTTGTCTCTTTTGATCTTTGTTGGTTTAAAGTCTGTTTTATCAGAGACTAGGATTGCAATCCCTGCCTTTTTTTGTTTTCCATTTGCTTGGTAGGTCTTCTTCCATCCTTTTATTTTGAGCCTATGTGTGTCTCTGCACATGAGATGGGTTTCCTGAATACAGCACACTGATGGGTCTTGACTCTTTATCCAATTTGCCAGTCTGTGTCTTTTAATTGGAGCATTTAGTCCATTTACATTTAAAGTTAATATTGTTATGTGTGAATTTCATCCTGTCATTATGATGTTAGCTGGTTATTTTCCTTGTTAGCTGATGCAGTTTCTTCCTAGTCTCGATGGTCTTTACATTTTGGCATGATTTTGCAGCGGCTGGTACCGGTTGTTCCTTTCCATGTTTAGTGCTTCCTTCAGGAGCTCTTTTAGGGCAGGCCTGGTGGTGACAAAATCTCTCAGCATTTGCTTGTCTGTAAAGGATTTTATTTCTCCTTCACTTATGAAGCTTAGTTTGGCTGGATATGAAATTCTGGGTTGAAAATTCTTTTCCTTAAGAATGTTGAATATTGGCACCCAATCTCTTCTGGCTTGTGGAGTTTATGCCGAGAGATCAGCTGTTATTCTGATGGGCTTCCCCTTGTGGGTAACCCGACCTTTCTCTCTGGCTGCCCTTAACATTTTTTCCTTCATTTCAACTTTGGTGAAGCTGACAATTATGTGTCTTGGAGTTGCTCTTCTTGAGGAGTATCTTTGTGGCGTTCTCTGTATTTCCTGAATCTGAATGTTGGCCTGCCTTGCTAGATTGGGGAAGTTCTCCTGGATAATATCCTGCAGAGTGTTTTCCAACTTGGTTCCATTCTCCCCATCACTTTCAGGTACACCAAGCAGACATAGATTTGGTCTTTTCACATAGTCCCATATTTCTTGGAGGCTTTGCTCATTTCTTTTTATTCTTTTTTCCTCTAAACTTCCCTTCTCGCTTCATTTCATTCATTTCATCTTCCATCGCTGATACCCTTTCTTCCAGTTGATTGCATTGGCTCCTGAGGCTTCTGCATTCTTCACGTAGTTCTCGAGGCTTGGTTTTCAGCTCCATCAGCATCTTTAAGCACTTCTCTGTATTGGTTATTCTAGTTATACATTCTTCTAAATTTTTTCAAAGTTTTCAACTTCTTTGCCTTTGGTTTGAATTTCCTCCCATAGCTCGGAGTAATTTGATCGTCTGAAGCCTTCTTCTCTCAGCTCGTCAAAGTCATTCTCCGTCCAGCTTTGTTCCGTTGCTGGTGAGGAACTGCGTTCCTTTGGAGGAGGAGAGGCGCTCTGCTTTTTAGAATTTCCAGTTTTTCTGCCTTTTTTTTTCCCCATCTTTGTGGTTTTATCTACTTTTGGTCTTTGATGATGGTGATGTACAGATGGGTTTTTGGTGTGGATGTCCTTTCTGTTTGTTAGTTTTCCTTCTAACAGACAGAACCCTCAGCTGCAGGTCTGTTGGAATACCCTGCCGTGTGAGGTGTCAGTGTGCCCCTGCTGGGGGGTGCCTCCCAGTTAGGCTACTCGGGGCTCAGGGGTCAGGGACCCACTTGAGGAGGCAGTCTGCCTGTTCTCAGATCTCCAGCTGTGTGCTGGGAGAACCACTGCTCTCTTCAAAGCTGTCAGACAGGGACATTTAAGTCTGCAGAGGTTACTGCTGTCTTTTTGTTTGTCTGTGCCCTGCCCCCAGAGGTGGAGCCTACAGAGGCAGGCAGGCCTCCTTGAGCTGTGGTGGGCTCCACCCATGGAGCTTCCTGGCTGCTTTGTTTACCTAAGCAAGCCTGGGCAATGGCGGGCGCCCCTCCCCCAGCCTCGCTGCCGCCTTGCAGTTTGATCTCAGACTGCTGTGCTAGCAATCAGCGAGACTCCGTGGGCGTAGGACCCTCCAAGCCACGTGCAGGATATAATGTCCTGGTGCACCGTTTTTTAAGCCCGTCGGAAAAGTGCAGTATTCAGGTGGGAGTGACCCGATTTTCCAGGTGCCATCTGTCACCACTTTCTTTGACTAGGAAAGGGAACTCCCTGACCCCTTGCACTTCCCAAGCGAGGCAATGCCTCGCCCTGCTTCGGCTCGTGCACGGTGCGCTCACCCACTGACCTGCGCCCACTGTCTGGCACTCCCTAGTGAGATGAACCCGGTACTTCAGACGGAAATGCAGAAATCACCCGTCTTCTGTGTCGCTCACACTGGGAGCTGTAGACCGGAGCTGTTCCTCTTCGGCCGTCTTGGCTCCTCCCCAGAATAACCCTCTTAAAGAAGTTTCAGGACCTCCAAGAAAATATAAATTGAAAATTAAATAAAAATTGAAAAACAATTCATGAACAAAATGAGAAGTTTGATGAAGAAATAGAAACAGAAAACTCCTAACCATATAAACATCCTAGACATAAAGAATACAATAAATGAACTGAAAAACTCAATAGAAAGCATCAACTGCAGACTTGATTGGGCAGAAGAATCAGTTAGCTCTAAAATAAGACACTTAAAATTAGCCAATCAGAGGAGCAAAAAGAGAAAAAAAATAAAACAAAGGCTTGTAGTAATTATGGGACACCATCAAGTGGACTCACCTTTATGTAATAGAAATTCCTGAAGGAGAATAGAGAGAAAAAGCCCTAGAAAGCAGATTTAAGGAAATGCATATGCATGTATAAGGAAAACATATTTAAGCACATCTAAGAAAAACGTTTCAAATCTGGGGAAAGATGACAACATTCAGGTACAAGAAGCTCATAGGTCATCAGTGAAATTCAACCCAAAGAGGAGTTCAACAAGACACATTTTTGATAATCAAATTGTCAAAAATCAAAGACAAAAAAAGAATACTGAAGCAGTGAGATATAAGAAACATGTCAAATTCAAGGGACCCCCCATTTGGCTTTCAGTAAACTCTTCAGCAGCAACTGCAGGCCAGGAGAGAGTGGGATGATAGATTCAAAGTACTGAAGGAAAAAAAAACAAAAAACCTGCTAACCAAGAATGCTTTACCTGGCAAAGCTGTCCTTCAGAAATGAGGGAGAAATGAAAGCTTTCTCAGACAAACAAAAACAAAGGAAACATGTAAAAGTGAAAAAATAAATGGTATAAGTAATATATAGTCCCACTCAGAATTCTCTAATACTGTTAAGGTGGTGTGTGAAGCAATCTTATTACTACTAGGAGGGTTAAGAGACAAAACTATTAAAAACAACTGCAGCTACAGTATATTGTTAAAGGACACAAATTTTAAGTTTACATCAAAATCAGAAAACATGGGAAGGAAGGAATGAAAGTGCAGAGTTTTTGTATGTGATTAAAGGCAAATTGTTATCAGTTTAAAGCCTGTTTTAAGGATAAAATATTTTATGTAAGCCTCATGGTAACCACAAAGCAAAAACCTATAGAAGTTAAAGAAAACATGAAAAGGAAGGATTCAAAACATACCACCACAGAAAACCATCAAACCACAAAGGAAGACAAAAAAAGAGAAAAAGAAGCAAAGGGCCTACAAAATGATCAGAAACCAAATTATAAAATGTCAATAATAAATCTTTACCTATCAGTAATTACCTTGGATGCAAATGGATTAAATTATCCAATAAAAAGACAAAGTAGCTGAATGGATAAAAAAAAAAACAAAATCCAGTTCATATGCTACCTACAAGAGATTCATTTTACTAGTGAGGAGACACAGACTGAAAGTGAAGGGATGGCAAAAGATGTTCCATGCAAATGGAAACCAAAAGAGAGTGGGTTTAGCTGTACTTATATTTCACAAAATGGACTTTAAGTAAAAAACTCTAAAAAGAGACAAAGAAGGTCATTACATAATGATAAAGGGGTTAATTTACCAATTTATAATTGTTATTGTTACAGTTGTTACAATTGTAAATGTATATGAACCTGATATTGAAGCATCTAAATACATAAAGTAATTATTAAGTGATCTGAAGGGAGAGGTAGACTGCAATACTATAGTAGTAGGGATTACAGTACCCCACTTTCACCAATGGACAGATCATCTAGACATAAAGTCAATAAGGAAACATTGAACTTGAATTACACTTCAGACCAAATGGACCTGAAAGACATACACAGAACATTCTATCCAACAGCAGCAGAATACACATTCTTCTTAAGCGTACACAGAACATCCTCCAGGATAGATCATATTTTAGGCCACAAAACAAATCTTAACAAATTTAAGAGGACTGAAATCATATCAAGCATATTTTCAAATCACAATAACATAAAACTGGAAATCAATAACAGGAGAAATCTTGGAATATACACACATGTGGAAATTAAATAACATACTTCTACAGAATCAATGGATCACAGAAGATATCAAAAATGAAATAAAAAATACTTGAGATAAACAAAAATGAAAATACAGTACACCAAAACTTATGGGATGCAACAAAAGTAGTCCTAAGAGGGAAACTGATAGCAATAAATGCCCTTATAAAAAATAAGATCTCAAATAAACATGTGAAATACAGCTTCTAAGAGAGAACACTGGAATTCAGCAGGGAAGTGACAGGGAATATCTTAGGCAGGGAACAAAATGGAGGCAAAGCAGCTGACCCTGCCAGGATTGGCTCAGAGCCAGGAGGTACTCTCCATTGTTGGGGAAAAGGTAAGTGAGAGATCCCAGCAGTCTATATTGCCATTGCAAACTCCTGCAATCCTAGCCATGAGAGAGCCCCTTGGCCCTTGCAGGCCCTGAGACTAGTACAGGGAGCTCCCTGGAGTCCATGAACCGATATTGTTCCATAGAGCAAGTTAGTGCTGGGTCCCACACACACCCCAAGACCCAAGCAGTTGCAGCAAAGTGCCATTTTGACATTCTAGTCCCCAAGAGACTACATCCTGCATTTTACAGCCCCATTCATCTCCACATCCCTGGAGTCCCATTGAGACCCCCTCATGTCCACACAGAAGTTTGCAGCATCTTGATGCCACCTGAACCCAGTGATGCAGCCTGATACCTAGCAATTTAGCCCATATGTTCTCCCATACCCTGGAGAATAAGCGGTGCAGTGCAGCAGTGAGGCTGCCCCCGAGACAAAAGAAGTCAAGCCATGTGCTCTCCAGAGCCTGAGGGCTATTGCCATAGACAGGAATCCTGCTCCTTCCAGTGGCAGAGCCAATGTATACCTGCACTCAACTTCAAGGGGCATGGGAACCAGCCTGTCTCACCCATTGCCACCCCTGCAAGCATCCACGCATGTCATCTGGGTACCTGAGGAATGACACATCCTGCCCGCAGCCACCGACAACTGCCTGCACCATTGAGGGGCCTGAGAACCGGCCTACTCTGCCTGGCTCCCTCATTACCAGTGCTTGTGCATGTCATCTGGGGCCTGAGGACAGGCTTGCTCCACTCAGTGCCACCACTGCTGACATCTGTACATGTTGTTTGGGGGGCTGGAGATGTATCTGCCTTGCCTGTTGCTGCTGGAGCCCACCTGCACCATCCAGGAGCCAGAGGACAGGTTCACTCTGACCATGGCCACCAATGTCAGCACCTGCATGTGACGTCCAGGGGTCTGGGATCAACCCACCCTGCCCATCACCACCAGTGCCCATGTACATCTTCAGAGATCTGGGGACAGGCCTGTTCTACTGCTGCTACTAGTGCCCATTTGTAACATCCAGGGGCATAAAAGTGGGTCTGCCTGGCCCACTGCCAGTGCCCACATGTGCCTCCTGAAGTCCTGAGGACCAACCCATGCAATCTACCGCCACTGCTGCGGGCATCTACCTGTGTGAGCCAGCCATGGGCCTGAGTATTGCTCTGCCCAGCCCTCCACAAACACCACTGATGCCTGCATATGCTGCTCAGGGGCCTGAGGGTTGGCCTGTTGCTGCTACTGCCACTGTCACCAGCAATCCTGAGCACACTACGGTAAGCACACCACCCAAGGGCCCAAGGACCTGCCCATCTGGCTTGCTGCTGACACCACTGGCACCTATGCACACCTCCTGGAGGCCTAAGGACTGGCCCACCCAGAACTACCACTGGTGCCCACTTATGCCATCTGGGAGCCTGTGGACCAGCATGCCTGGCCTCCTGCTGCCACCACTGGTTCCTGAGGACTAGCCCACCTGGCATTCCTGTCCCCAGCAAAACCTCACCAAAGTCTTTACTAACAACCACAACCCAAGCCACTGAGGAACTCACAGATATCATTGATGCTGATAACAGCCAAAAAAATCATATGGAGATTATACTACTGCACCCACCCGGAGGCAAAGCCAAAACACTCTCCCCAGCCAACACTATAGACATATCTACAGAAAAAATATTTTTCTATAAAAGCTAATCCATACAAATTGGAAGAGCAATTGTAATACTAGATGTGCAGCTATCAAAGTAAATACACAGGAAATATGAAAAAGCAAGGAAACATGACACCTCCAAAGGAACACGATTTTCCAATAACAGAGTCTAAAGAAAAATAATTCTATGAAATGCATGAAAAATAATTCAAAATAATGTTATTGAAGAAACTTAGTGAGATACAAGTGAATAAGATAAGCAATACAAAGAATAAAGCAATTCATGATTTGAATGAGAAATTCAACAAAGAGATAGATATCATAAAAGAGAACCAAACAGAAATCCTGGAACTGAATAATTCAGTGAATTAAATAAAAAATAAAATTGCCTTTCAGCAATAGACTAGATCAAACAGAAGAAAAAATTTATTCCTTTACACCTAGGCTACAGTGAAGTGGCATGATCATAGCACACTGCAGCCTCGAATTCCTGGGTTCAAGTGATCCTCCTGCCTCAGCCTCTCAAGTAGTGGGTACTACAGGCTGGCTAATTTCTTTTTATTGTTTGTGGAGATGGGATTTTGCTTTGTTGTCCAGGATCTTCTCAAGCTCCTGGCTTCAAGCAATTCTACCATCTTGGCCTTTCAAAGTGCTGGGATTATAGGCATGAGCCACTGTACCCAGCCAGAAAAAATTTCTGAACTTGAAGACAGGTCTTTTGAAATAACTTGGTCATCCAAAGATAAAAAAGAATGAAGAAAGCCTATGTGACATATGAAACACCAGAAAGTAACCAAATATTTGAATCTGGGGGTTTTCAGAAGAGAAGAGATGGGCAAAGGCATAGAAAACATATTTAATGAAATAATAGTTGAAAAATTCTCAAGTCTTGAAAGAAATATAGGCATGCAGATACAGGAAGCTTAAATATTTCCACATAGATGCAATCCAAAAAGATCTCCTCTCAGGCATATTGTAGTAAAAACTCAAAAGTTAAGCTGTCAAAAGTCAAACTAACAAACAAAAAAGGAATTCTAAAAACAGGAAGAAAACTGTCCAGTCACATATAAGGGTATCCTCATCAAGATAATAGTGGATTTCTTGGCAGAAACCTTACAGGCCAGGGGAGAATTGGATAATATATTCAAAGTGCTGAAAGAAAAAAAATGTCTGGCAAGAATACTAACAAGCAAAGCCCTTTTTAAAAAGCAAAGAGAAATAAAGTTTTTCTCAGATAAGCAAAAACTAAGGGAATTCATCACCACTAGACTGACCTTATCAGAAATGCTTAAGAGAGTCCTATATCTGGAATTGCATGATATTCACCATCATAAAACACAAACATATAAAACTCACTGGTAGAGCAGAGACACAAATGAGAAAGAGAAAGGAGTCAAATGTTATCACTATGAAACCCACCAAATCATAAAGGAGAAAGAAAGAAATGAAGCATATATAAAATAATCAGAAAGCAATTAACAAAATAACAGGAGTAAATCATCACGTATCAGTAATAACTAAATATAAATGGTTTAAATTCCCTAATTAAAAGATGAATTAAGAAACAAGACCCAACTATATGCTGCCCACCAGAAACCCACCTCACCTGTAAAGACACACATAGGCTGAAAGTAAAGGAATGAAAAAAAAAATGCCATGCAAATGGAACCAAAAGCATGCAGGAGTAGGTATACTTATGTCAGACAACATAGCCTTTAAGTCAAAAACCAAAAAGAGACAAAGAAGGTAATTATGTAACAATAAAGAGATCAATTCAGCAAGAGGATATTACAATTTGTAAATATATATACAACTAACAACAGAGCACCCAGATATATAAAGCAAATATTATTCAAGATAAAGAGAGAAATAGACCCAAAACAATAATAGTTGGGAACTTCAGCACTCCACTTTCAACACTGGACATTGAACTTAATCTGCACTATAGACCAAAGGGACATAACAGACATTTACAGAATATTTTATCTAACAGCTGCAGAAAACACATTATTCTCATCAGCACATGAAATACTCTCCAGGATGGACTATATGTTAGGCCACAAAACAAGTTGAACAAATTAAAAAAAATCAAAATCATACCCAATATCTTCTCAGACCACAGTAGAAAAAAACCTAGAAATCAATAACAAGAGAACTTTGGACACTTACAAATACATGGAAATTAAGCAACCTGATCCTGAATGACCATTGGATCAATGAAAGAATTAAGAGGGAAAATTCTTGAGACAAATGAAATGGAAACAACATATCAAAACCTAGTGGGTACAGCAAAAGCAGTGCTAAGAGGCAAGTTTATAGTAATAAATGCCTACATCAGAAAAGTAGAAAAATTTCAAATAAACAACCTAATGATGAACATCAAGGAACTCGAAAAGTAAGAACAAACCAAACCCAAAATTAGTAGAAGGAACAAAGTAATAAAGATCAGAGCAGAACTAAATGGAATAGAAAAAAAATTTACAAAGGATCATCAAAATGCAAAGTTGTTTTTTGAAAGTATAAACAAAATTCATAAAGTGTTAGACTAAACAAGAAAAAAGAGATGACACAAAATCAGAAATGAGACATTACAACTGATACCACAGAAATACCCACAATCAGTAGAGACTATTATAAACAACTATATGATAACAAATTGGAAAACCTAGAGTAAATGGACAAATTCCTAGACATGTACAGCCTGAATAGACTAATAATGAACAACAAGATTGAATCATAATAAAAAGTCTCCCCACAAAGAAAAGCCCACAACCAGATGGCTTTACTGCTGAATTCTACCAAACTTATAAAGAAAACATAACACCAATTCTCAAACTATTTCAAAAAATTGAAAAATAGAGAATTCTTTCTATATCATTATATAAGGTCAGCATTACCCTGATACCAAAATCAGACAATGACAAAAGAAATAAGGAAATTTACAGGCCAGTATTCCTGATGAACATCGATGTAAAAACCTTAACAAAATATAAGCAATCCAAATCCAACAACACATCAAAAAGATAATACATGATGATCATGTGGGATCAAGAGAAAGAAATAAAAGGCATCCAAATTGGAAAAGAGAAAGTCAATTGTCCCTCTTTGCAGATAACATAATTTTATGTATGGAAAATCCTTAAGACTCCAACAAAGAACTCTTAGAACTGATAAATGAATTCAGTAAAGTTGCAGGATACAAAATTAATATAAAAATCAGTAGTATTTCTACATATGAACAACAAAATAGCTGAAGAAGAAATCAAGAAGGCAATCTCATTTACAATAACTATGAAAAAAGAAAAACATCTAGGAAAAAATTTAACGAAAGAAAAGAGATGAAAGACCTCTACAAAAAACCTGTGAAACATTACTGAAAGAAATTGAAGAAGACAAATGAAAATGCATCCTATGCTCATGTATTAAAATAATATTGTCAAAATGACTATACTATCCGAAGCAATCTACATAATCAATGCAATCCATATCAGAATACCAATGACATTCTTCACAGAAATAGAAAAAAAAATTCTTGTGGAACCACAAAAGAGCCTGAATAGCCAAAGCAATCCTGAGCAAAAACAAACAAACAGAAACAAAAACAAAACGAAGCTGGAGGCATCACACTCTCTGACTTCAAAACATATTCTAAAGTGATTGTCATCAACACAGTATGTCACTGGTGTAAAAGCAGACACATCAACCAATGGACCAAGATGGAAAACCCAGAAATAAAGCAATGAATTTACAGTCAATTGATTTCTGACAAAGGTGCCAAGGACACACAGTGAAGAAAGGACAGACTCTTTAATTAAAGGTATTGGAAAATCTAAATATCCACATGCAAAAGAGTGAAATTAGATTCTTATCTTACACCATGTAAAAACATGAACTCAAAATGGATTGAAAAGACTTCCTTCACTTAGGAAGCTTAGTTTGACTGGATATGAAATTCTGGGCTGAAAATCCTTTTCTTTAAGAATGTTGAATATTGGCCCCCACTCTCTTCTGGCTTGTAGAGTTTCTGCGGAGAGATCCACTGTTAGTCTGTTGGGCTTCCTTTTGTGGGTAGCCCGACCTTTCTCTCTGTCTGCCCTTAACATTTTTTCCTTCATTTCAACCTTGGTGAATCTGACAATTATGTGTCTTGGAGTTGCTCTTCCTGAGGAGTATCTTTGTGGTGTTCTCTGTATTTTCTGAATCTGAATGTTGGCCTGCCTTGCTAGATTGGGGAAGTTCTCCTGGAAAATATCCAGAAGAGTGTTTTCCAACTTGGTTCCATTTTCCCCGTCACTTTCAGGTACACCAATCAGATGTAGATTTGGTCTTTTCACATAGTCCCATATTGGAGGCTTTGTGAGTTTCTTTTAACTCTTTTTTCTCTAAACTTCTCTTCTCACTTCATTTCATTCATTTGATCTTCAATCACTGATACCCTTTCTTCACATGATTGTATTGGCTACTGAAGCTTGTGCATGCATCACGTAGTTCTCATGCCGTGTTTTTCAGCTGCATCAGGTCATTTAAGGTCTTCTCTATGCTGTTTATTTTAGTTAGCCATTCATCTAATCTTTTCTCAAGGTTTTTAGCTTCTTTGCAATGGGTTCGAACATCCTCCTTTAGCTTGGAGAAATTTGTTATTACTGATCTTTTGAAGCCTACTTCTGTCAACTCGTCAAAGTCATTCTCTGTCCAGCTTTATTCCATTGCTGGCAAGGAGCTGTGTTCCTTTGGAGGAGAAGAGATGCTCTGATTTTTAGAATTTTCAGCTTTTCTGCTCTGGTTTCTCCCCATCTTTGTGGTGTTATCTACCTTTGGTCTTTGATGATGGTGACCTACAGATGGGGTTTTGGTGTGGATGTCCTTTTTGTTGATGCTGATGCTATTCCTTTCTGTTTGTTAGTTTTCCTTCTAACAGTCAGGACCCTCAGCTGCAGGTCTGTTGGAGTTTGCTGGAGGTCCACTCCAGATGCTCTTTGCCTGGGTATCACCAGCGGAGGCTGCAGAACAGCAAATATTGCAGAATAGCAAATGTTGCTGCCTGATCCTTCCTCTGGAAGCTTCATCTCAGAGGGGCACCCAGCTGTATGAGGTGTCAGTCGGCCCCTACTGGGAGGTGTCTCCCAGTTAGGCTACTCGAGGGTCAGGGACCCACTTGAGGAGGCAGTCTGTCCGTTCTCAGATCTCAAACTCCGTGCTGGGAGAACCACTACTCTCTTCAAAACTGTCAGACAGGGACGTTTAAGGCTGCAGAAGTTTCTGCTGCCTTTTGTTCAGCTATGCCCTGCCCCCAGAGGTGGAGTCTACAGAGGCAGGCAGGCCTCACTGAGCTGCGGTGGGCTCCACCCAGTTCGAGCTTCCCAGCTGCTTTGTTTACCTAGTCAAGCCTCAGCAATGGCAGACGCCCCTCCCCCAGCCTCGCTGCCACCTTGCAGTTTGATCTCAGACTGCTGTGCTAGCAGTGAGCAAGGCTCCGTGGGCATGGGACCCTCTGAGCCAGGCGTGGGATATCATCTCCTGGTGTGCCGTTTGCTAAGACTGTTGGAAAAGTGCAGTATTAGGGTGGAAGTGTCCTGATTTTCCAGGTACCATCTCTCACGGCTTCCCTTAGCTCAGAAAGGGAATTCCCCGACCCCTTGCACTTCCCAGGTGAGATGATGCCCCGCCCTGCTTTGGCTCACACTCCGTGGGCTGTCCAGCAAGTCCCAGTGAGATGAACCTGGTACCTCAGTTGGAAATGCAGAAATCACCTGTCTTCTGCGTTGCTCACGTTGGGAACTGTAGACTGGAGCTGTTCTTTTTATTTTTTTATTTTTTAATTTTTTTAATTTTTTATTTTTATTTCATTATTATTGTACTTTAAGTTTTAGGGTACATGTGCACAATGTGCAGGTTTGTTACATATGTATACATGTGCCATGTTGGTGTGCTGCACCCATTAACTCGTCATTTAGCATTAGATATATCTCCTAATGCTATCCCTCCTCCCTCCCCCGACCCCACAACAGTCCCCGGAGTGTGATGTTCCCCTTCCTGTGTCCATGGGTTTTCATTGTTCAATTCCCACCTATGAGTGAGAACATGCGATGTTAGGTTTTTTGTCCTTGCGATAGTCTGCTGAAAATGATCATTTCCAGTTTCATCCATGTCCCTACAAAGGACATGAACTCATCATTTTTTATGGCTGCATAGTATTCCATGGTGTATATGTGCCACATTTTATTTATTTATTTATTTATTTTTTATTTTTTTTAAATTTTTTTTTTTTATTATACTCTAAGTTTTAGGGTACATGTGCACATTGTGCAGGTTAGTTACATATGTATACATGTGCCATGCTGGTGCGCTGCACCCACTAACGTGTCATCTAGCATTAGGTATATCTCCCAATGCTATCCCTCCCCCCTCCCCCGACCCCACCACAGTCCCCAGAGTGTGATATTCCCCTTCCTGTGTCCAAGTGATCTCATTGTTCAATTCCCACCTATGAGTGAGAATATGCGGTGTTTGGTTTTTTGTTCTTGCGATAGTTTACTGAGAATGATGGTTTCCAATTTCATCCATGTCCCTACAAAGGACATGAACTCATCATTTTTTATGGCTGCATAGTATTCCATGGTGTATATGTGCCACATTTTCTTAATCCAGTCTATCATTGTTGGACATTTGGGTTGGTTCCAAGTCTTTGCTATTGTGAATAGTGCCGCAATAAACATACGTGTGCATGTGTCTTTATAGCAGCATGATTTATAATCCTTTGGGTGTATACCCAGTAGTTGGATGGCTAGGCCAAATGCTGTTCTTATTTGGCCATCTTGGAGGGAACGGGAGAAAGACTTCAATACAAGACCTGGATCTGTAAAGCTACTGGAAGAAAATATAAAAGGAAAAGCTCCATGACATGGGTCTGGGCAATGATTTTTTTGGATATGACTCTGAAATCACAGACTGCAAAAACAAAAATAGATGAATGGGACCATGTTAAACTATAAAAGCTTCTGCACAGCAAAGGAAACAATCAGCAAAGTGAAGAGACAATTCAGAGAATGGAAGAAAATATTTGCAAACCATACATCTGATAAGGGGTTAATATCTAAAATATATAAGAAACAGAACTTAATAGCAAGAAAACAGAAAGAACTGAAGAGACGTTTCTCAAAAGAGGACATACAAATGGCCAATAGGTGCATGAAAAAATGCTCAGCATCACTAATCATCAGAAAAATGCAAACTAAAACCACAATCAGATATCACCTCACACATCTTATGAAAAAGATGAAAGGCAACAACTGTTGGAGAGAATATGGAAAAAAGGGAACACTTACACACTGTTGGTGGGAATGTAAATTAGTATAGCCATTATGGAATATAGTATAGAAGTTCCTCAAATATCTAAAAATAAAACTATAATATGACTTAGTAATTCCGCTTCTGGGTATTTATGCAAAGGAACTGAAATCAGCATGTTGAAGGGATAGGTGCCCTGCAATGTTCATTGCCACATTATTCCCAAAGCCAAGATATGGAATCAACCTAAGTGTTAATCAACAAATGAATGGGTAAAGAAAATGTGGTATATATACACAATGGAATACAATTCAGTCTTAAAAAAGAATTAAGTTCTGTTATTTGTGACAACGTGGATGAATCTAGAGTATATTATCCTAAGTGAAGTAAGCCAGGCCCATATAATCAAAAAGTCAAAAAATAATAGATGTTGTCATGGATGCAGTGAAAAGGGAATGCTTTCACACTGTTGGTGGGAATGTAAACTAGTACACTATGGAAGACAGTGTAGAGATTCCTTAAAGAACTAAAAGTAGATCTACCATTTGATCCAGAAATCCCACTCCTGGGTATCTATCTAGAGGAAAAGAGGTCATTATATGAAAAAGATACTTGCACACACATGTTTATAACAGCACAATTTGCAATTGCAAAAATATGGAACTAGCCCAAATGCCCATCAATCAACGAGTGGATAAAGAAAATGTGGTATAGATATCATGGAATACTACTCAGTCATAAAAAGGAAAGCAATAATGGCATTTGCAGCCGCCTGGATGGAATTGGAGACCATTATTCTAAATGAAGAGACTCAGGAATGAAAAACCAAACATCGTATGTTCTCACTCATAAGTGGGAGCTAAGCTATGAGGACACAAAGTCATAAGGATGCTGCAATGAACTTTGAGGACTGGGGAGAAAGGGTGGGAGGTGGGTTGCGTACAGTGTATACTGCTCTGTTGATGGGTGCACCAAAATCTCAGAAATCACCTACTAAAGAACTTATTCATGTACAAAAAAATAAAAATAAAAAAAGAAATAAGCCAGGAACAGAAAGACAAATGCCACATGATCTCACTTATATCTGGAATCTAAGAAAGTTGAGCTAGTCCAAGTAGAGAGTAGAATAATGGTTACCAGTGGCTGCGGGGGGTGAGGGATGATGAAGGGAGGACTGGGGAGTTGTTGAAGGATACAAAGGGTAAAAAGTTTCAGATAGACAGGAAAAATAGGTTCTAAGATCTATTGCACAACAACAGGGTGCCACAGTTAATAATAATGTGTATTTCAAAATGACTAAGAGAATAAATTTCAAATGTCTCACCATAAAACAGGATAGGTAGGTGAGGTGCTGAATATATTAGTTAGCTTGATTTTGTTCTTCCACGTTGAATACATATATCAAAACATCCCATTGTAGCCCATAAACGTGTACAATTATAGTTTGTCAATCAAAAACAATAATAATCAATAAAAATAAAGTCTTTTAATTAAAAAAATCATATGATTATGATGCAGAGCAAGTTTGAGACCTGCTGCATTATTTTGTAGATGTGAAAGAGAGAAACAGAGGAAGAGAGAAAAGATAGAATGCATGGTGAGTTAGTGGCAGAGGCAGCAACAGAACTCAAGCCTCTTGACTCCTTTTCCAGTGCTCTTTCCCCCGTTTTCCACCTTACGTTGATGGACGCTTGCAACATCCCCCCGTTTCCCCTTGTTCTGGGTAAGCAAAGAATATATCTCAGCTTTATATTTGTTTGATTTCCCTGGGAGCTAGGGAAGGAGTAAAGCTGGTCCCTACCACATATTTCTTCATTTCTAAATTTCATAGTAGGTTAAACATTGCATATATATTTCTGCTCAGCTCTGTAGATATAAAAAGTGAATAAAAACAAACTAATTAAAAAGGAAATAAAATATGTACACACAAAATAAGACAGAACAGAAAGTAAAACAATACAGAAAAAGGGTCATGGGAATATAGCACCATTAATTGCTTCCGAAGCCAGATTAGTGGGAAAAAAAAATCCTGGAGTTGTGGGGGGTATTCAGGTGACCTGGCAAAATTAGAAAGTTTTGCTTCAACTTTCTGAAGGGCAGTTGGCATATTATTTTACCTCCCCATATCTCAATTTCAGCAGCATTTGCAATGTGCTGTGTCCTTTTTACACTCCATGAAGTTGGTAGGAAGATGAAGGTGATACCTCTTTTTAAAGAGGGGCTCAGTAGTTCTTGTACACAGACTGTATTTCCACTACCATGAAGTTGCCTTTAGACATTATTTCACTGAATTATTGCAGTGTTCTTCCACTGTAACTGTTCACTTACCTTATATAGGAAGATCCTGATGGTCAAGGAAAATAAAGCACATTGCATAAGGTTGCAGCTATAGTAGGTAGCAAGCTCAGGCTTCAACTCAGATCTTTCTGACTCCAAAGCCCATGATGTTTTCTTTGAACTAGACTGCAAAAGAGTTTGTAACCGCAGAGGTCTTACCACTGCTCTTTGCCCATGGGCTCTAGGAGATAAATCTTCCAGAAGAGGAAAGCCAGGCTGTTCTTAGCACATCTGAAAGGGCTGTCCTGTGGGTCTATAGGAAGTTCTATATATTTCTTGAAATTTATAACAAGAACAAGGAGTGTTCCTGGAGTCCATTTGGTAATTTATTTTAGGATGTCTGGCACTGGGAGCTCACGAGATGCGTATAAAGCAGGAAGTTAGGCCTTGGACTGAATAAACAGCTGAAGATAGAAGTGGTGGATCAGCTTCAGTCAGGGCAGAGGGGACTTGGTATCAACCCAGCCAATGTAGTTCCTTTCATTTCTGTTCATTTGGATCATTATTAAATGTATTGCCTTTTCTTTTGTTTTTTTTTTTTTTTCTTTTGGTTTAGAAGAGCGATATTTATCTCATGATGGGGTTTTAAAGCAGAGTGTCAGGTCTTGGGTCTCTAAATGCCACTCCACTGTGAACACCACAAAATACATTACCTTTTCATGTATGAGTGATAAAAGCAACACATACCAGACATCCAGACTTGAGAATGCTGGGCTAGGGAGCTACTTGTTTTCCAGTGCAATTCTTTATTTCACTTTGTAGTTATGGTAGGCCAGAACGACACTGACTCCAGAGAAGAAGTGGCCAGGTAAAGGGGACCTGGCAGCTCATTGCAGAGAAATATTAATTAATATTAATACTGCAACATGAAAGTGCAATTCATAAATTAGCATTGTTAGAAATGAAGGTTGGAGTCAGAATGGCCAGTGTGTAAATTCCAGCTCTTTCATCCACTAGTTTCATCACTTTAGGGAGTTTCAGTTTCCCCAACGGTTCAATTGGAACATACTGAGGATTCACTGGGATAAGGCATGCAAAGTACTCAAATGCTAGACAGTGTGACAGTGCTCAGAAAATGTTAGTTCTCTTTCTTATTTCTATTGTTCAGGGCTGATTTATATGGTAAAGGCTAATGAGGAGGAGGAGGAGATTGTTGCTTCTACCTTTATATTTCATTTTAGAACTTTTTTTTTTTTTTTTGAGACGGAATCTCACTCTGTCGCCCAGGCTGGAGTGCAGTGGCATGATCTCGGCTCACTGCAAGCTCCGCCTCCCAGGTTCACGCCATTCTCCTGCCTCATCCTCCCGAGTAGCTGGGACTACAGGTGCCCGCCACCACGCCCAGCTAATTTTTTGTATTTTTAGTAGAGACGGGGTTACACGGTGTTAGCCAGGATGGTCTGGATCTCCTGACCTCGTGATCCGCCCACCTCGGCCTCCCAAAGTGCTGGGATTACAGGCATGAGCCACTGCGCCCAGCCTAGAATTTTAATTAGCAGGGAGATGTATGGGCTATACAGCTGAGGAGGGGATAGATGAAATTTGTAGCCGGGTAGCATGATAAGTAGAGAGTTAAGGAGATGAGAGGGTAGAGTGAAGTGTGAGGGAGAGGACAAAGTGCAGAATATCTACTGGGGCCATCTTTTATGGGCTCTCGTATAATTTTCTTTGATGGGAATAGAAAAGCCACACTCAGAAAGATGAGAAAAAAAAAAAGGACCTGCCTTTATCCACCCTACCTGTATTGAGTAGTTTCAGCTATTTAACCGTCATTCCTCTCTCTCCATTTTACTTATCTATCTATCTATCTATCTATCTATCTATCTATCTATCTATCTATCTATTTATAGACAGAGTCTCTCCTTGTTGCCCAGGCTGCAGTGCAGTAGTGTGATCTTGGCTCACTGCAACCTCTGCCTCCCAGGTTCAAGTGTTTCTCCTGCCTTAGCCTCCTGAGTAGCTGGGATTACAGGCGTCTGCCACCATGCCTGGCATTTTGTTTTTTTTTTTGTATTTTTAGTAGAGATGGGGTTTCACCATATTGGCCAGGCTGGTCTTGAACTGCTTATCTCAGGTGATCCACCCACTTCGGCCTCCCAAAGTGCTGGGATTACAAGCATGAGCCACCGTGCCCGGCCTCATTTATTCTTACGTTTACCTGACTCCAGAGTTTTGGTTTCTTTTCTATTCTCATCCTATGCCTTTCCCTTGAGTGAAGCCACTGCTTGACTTTTCTCTGGTTTGCCATTGTTCTCTCTCCTGGATGTGGTTCAGTCCTATCTTCTCCAGCTGCCTTGTGTAACCCCCCAAATGAAGCAGCCCTGGTTTCTGAAACCAACCAAGCCTTGACTGGCTTGACTGGGATCTGTTGATGAAATTAAGTCAGCACCTTATAGAGGTGAAACTAAAAAACTTCGTTTTTTTCAGCCAAGGAATTTTGAAATGGTCATGGAGCTTTACAGTCAAAACAAATTTTAAGGACCTCAGCTTGTTTCCAGCAGTAATACGTTTGAAAAGGCTTATTAAATTACAAATTTGTTTTCGCCTCTTTATCCAAGTATCAATGCAGAAGAGAAACAACCTAATGTAGAGAAAATAAAATGAAATAATTACAAAGTTGCCGAATGTGAAACGACTAAGATAAAACCAAGCAGGCCTGTTGGAGATAATGGTTATCTGTTTGCAATAAACATGAAGTGAGAACAATTCATGACTTGCGATAACATTCAACTGAAAGGAAGTAAATTAGATGTAGACAAGGCCAGGAGAGCATTACAAAAACATCCGGAGCCAGACAGTACAAAGGGAGAGCAGGGGCTGGATTTTATCTTTATCAGGTAATTGAAATAATGCTTTATATTAACAGGATGAGTTCAAAGTGGAAACTGGAGTCAGGAGGTATGGAGAGCGACAGATAAAATGCAAAGAGCACTGGAAACTCTGTGGGCTGGGAAATGAAATAATCACTGAAGGCCTAATATGTGTCACGTACTTTTACATATACAACCTCATTTAAGCCTACGGCAAACTTGCAAACTGTGATTAGCAGTCAAATTCTTGATGGGGAATGTGAGGGTCAGATACGTAACTCATCTAAGTCTTTATAGCAAGCAGGTGGTGGATTTGGGATAAAAGCTCAGGTTGGCCTGACTTCAAAATCATGTTCTAAATATGCTACACTATCTCACAACTGCCGAGTTATATTGTACTCTTGAATCACTTTATAAAAGTGATTACACAGGCTCCGACAGTTTTAACACTTTCACTAATCAGCTGCCAGAGCATGGATGGGGCAATTACAGAAGTAGCCACTCTAGGTGTTTCTCTCTCTCTCTCTCTCTCTCTCACACACACACACACACACACACACACACACACAATTTAAACTCCGCATCAAGCTGCTAACTTCATATATTTATTTGGGTGTCCCACAAACAGGTCAGATTGAACTTACCTAAAAATCACTGCCTTAAGTGTCATATTTTATGTCTTCTATCCATTTTCTCATCAGAAATTTGAGGTTTCCCTTGATCCCTTTCTCTTTATCAACCCCATGCTCAATGACTCTTCAAGTCTTGTCAATGCTACCTCCAAAATGTCTCCACTTTCCTTCTTCTCTCTATTCATTGTCTGAACTTTGGTTCAGACTAACGTCTTCTGCCAAGAATACTATAGCAGCCTCTTACTAGCCTTCTTGTCTTCTGTTTCCTTCTCCCCAAATCTACTTTCCCTATTGTAGGCCCAGAGATATTTACAAAATACAAATGTATATCACCCTTCCATGCCTCTCCTTTTCTTGAGCATAAAGTTCAATGTCGTTAACATAAGTCTTTTTTTTTTTTTTTTTAAGACAGAGTCTCGCTCTGTCACCCAGGCTGGAGTCCAGTGGTGCGATCTCGGCTCACTGCAAGCTCTGCCTCCCAGGTTCATGCCATTCTTCTGCCTCAGCCTCCTGAGTAGCTGGGACTACAGGTGCCCGCCACCACGCCTGGCTAATTTTTTGTATTTTTAGTAGAGACATAATAAGTCTTTAAAAAAACTATCTTTGCATGGGATTTTACCTCTTTCCTACCTCTACTTTATGAGCAAGTGAAAAAAAATTGCATTATTTATAGTGTCATTGTGTTTTCATAGTCATCCTACTGTTTGAACATGCTGTTCCTTCTTTGTGAAATACCTTTCTGCCTTTCTTTTTCTTTTTATTTCTTTCCAGACTAGTTAGCTCTTACTTGTCCTTTAGAAGCAGTGTAGATATCTCTTCCTTTACAAATACTTTTTTTTTGTATTTCTGCTCTGAATTTTTCTTTTTTTTATTATTATTATACTTTAAGTTTTAGGGTACATGTGCACAACGTGCAGGTTTGTTACATATTTATACATGTGCCATGTTGGTGTGCTACACCCATTAACTTGTCATTTGGCATTAGGTATATCTCCTAATGCTATCCCTCCCCCCTCCCTCCATCCCACAACGGTCCCCGGTGTGTGATGTTCCCCTTCCTGTGTCCATGTGTTCTCATTGTTCAATTCCCACCTGTGGGTGAGAGCGTGTGGTGTTTGGTTTTTTTGTCCTTGCGATAGTTTGCTGAGAATGATAGTTTCCAGCTTCATCCGTGTCCCTACAAAGGACATGAACTCATCATTTTTTATGGCTGCATAGTATTCCGTGGTGTATATGTGCCACATTTTCTTAATCCAGTCTATCATTGTTGGACATCTGGGTTGGTTCCAAGTCTTTGCTATTGTGAATAGTGCCGCAATAAACATACCTGTGCATGTGTCTTTATAGCAGCATGATTTATAATCCTTTGGGTATATACCCAGTAATGGGATGGCTGGGTCAAATGGTATTTCTAGTTCTAGATCCCTGAGGAATCGCCACACCGACTTCCACAATGGTTGAACTAGTTTCCAGTCCCACCAACAGTGTAAAAGTGTTCCTGTTTCTCCACATCCTCTCCAGCACCTATTGTTTCCTGACTTTTTAATGATTGCCATTCTAACGGGGGTGAGATGGTATCTCATTGTGGTTTTGATTTGCATTTCTCTGATGGCCAGTGATGATGAGCATTTTTTCATGTGATTTTTGGCTGCATAAATGTCTTCTTTTGAGAAGTGTCTGTTCATATCCTTCACCACTTTTTGATGGGGTTGTTTTTTTCTTGTAAATTTGTTTGAGTTCATTGTAGATTCTGGATATTAGCCCTTTGTTAGATGAGTGGTTGGAAAAATTTTCTCCCATTCTGTAGGTTTCCTGTTCACTCTGATGGTAGTTTCTTTTGCTGTGCAGAAGCTCTTCAGTTGAATTAGATCCCATTTGTCAATTTTGGCTTTTGTTGCCATTGATTTTGGTGTTTTAGACATGAAGTCGTTGCCCATGCCTATGTCCTGAATGGTATTGCCTAGGTTTTCTTCTAGCGTTTTTATGGTTTTAGGTCTAACATTTAAGTCTTTAATCCATCTTGAATTAATTTTTGTATAAGATGTAAGGAAGGGATCCAGTTTCAGCTTTATGTTTTTAACTCTCCAAAGATTCAGCTAGGAATACCTCATATGGCCTTCATAATGTTTACCCATCATAGCTGTTATTACTTTGCATTCTAATAGATACATTTCTGTTTTCCCAAATTGTAATCTTCTTGTGAACAAAGACCATGTCTTACTAATCAGTGATGATTCTGGTGCCTGAAACATAATAGATGCCTAATAAACATTTTTGGTTGGGTGTTGTCACAGATGGAGAATGATGTGCAAGGCAGTTATCAGGGAGCCCTCCTGAAGTGGGGATTGTGCAGAAGAAGAAGTTGAGCCTTGGAACAGCCTTGTGAAAGCTTCAGCTGACCTATGGGGATCTCTGAAGCTTAGCTAATCCTTCAAAGTGATCTCACATGGGGCAAAGAGACCAGACATTTATCACTTGTGTTGATTAGTAATTGGCCTTGAATGTGACCTTGAGTGAGGGTGCTCTTTCCCACCAGGGCACTCTCCAAAGGGAGCTAATGGCTGAGGACTGCCTACCATTAGCATGTCCACCAGCTGGGGAATGAATTTTTCATTTCTGAGGGTGTATGTTTTTGAGTATTTATAATCTTTGTTTTAATATAACTTATTTAATTGTGACTTTATATGCTTCAAATTTTAATCACAGTTGTGTTTAACAGTCTGCTCCCCAAATTCCTGAAAATTTAACAATTGGCTCTTGCAAGTTAGTAATGAACCAGCTCCAGCACACAAGGGAACACGTCTGTCAAATTACATTTGTACTCCAACCAGTTCTATTTCATTTATGACCCATAGGTTTCTTAATTTAGCAAGAAAATCACTCTGACAATGATAATGTATTAGATCAAAATCTCTATTTGCAGTACTACTGCAAAAAAAAACCTTCTTCTTTAATACTGAACTTATACATTTACTATAAAATATCATCTTTCACCCCCAAAGAATGATTTGAGTCCATCGTGGGTGTCACTCAGCAAGCACTCACCCCAGTCCACCCACTCCAGGCTTGGCTAAAATAAAGAATGTAGTTGTGGAAGCTACAGTAATATTCCTTCAGGGAGCTCTTGAGGAGTCATGCTTATGTGTTTTCTGGTGAAGAAATAATTGAGGAAATGGTTTCAACTCTTCTAAAATTGGCTATCCTCTTCATACTTTCTGCAACTCCTAGTATAGGGTCTCCTTAACAAGACATTCAGACACACAAGACCTGAATAGGTAACACCTGGTACCAGTTTAATCAGATGGCTATTGGACCAGAAACATAGCACCTCACTCGGGCTGTGTCAGGCAATTCTTTTCAAAGGGAATAATCCTTATAGCAGAACACCTTCTGTTCTCCCTTGCACTGCCCCTGCCTCGTCCCTGCATGGCTGTTGGACCAGAAACATAGCACCTCACTTGGGCTGTGTCAGGCATTTCTTTTCAAAGGGAATAATCCTTATAGCAGAACACCTTCTGTTCTCCCTTGCACTGCCCCTGCCTCGTCCCCGCATGAGAGCTTAGGTGTGAGAAAATAAGACTCAGGTTAGGCCGGGCATGGTGGCTCATGCCTATAGTCCCAGCACTTTGGGAGGCTGAGTTGGGTGGATCACTTGAGCCTAGGAGTTCAAGACCAGCCTGGGCAACATGGTGAAGCCCCATGTCTACAAAAAACACAGAAACTAGCTGGGTGTGGTGGCGCATGCCTGTACTCCCAGCTACTCTGGAGGCTGAGGTGGGAGGATCACTTGAGCCTAGGAGGTCAAAGCTGCAGTGAACCAAGATCATGTCACTGCACTCCAGCCTAGGCAATAGAGTGAGACCCTACCTCAATAAAAAAAGACTCATATTAGACAGGTGCAGTAGTTGCCCTGGCATAGAAATATTATGCCACATAGAGACCAATATCTCTTGTAATAGGCCTAGGTATAGCTTCTAGATCCCCACAGGGATATGACCTGTTATGAGCCTCCATATTCAGGGAATCCTAGAGCCATGGCTTCCCACCAGGCATTTATGCTTCATTCACACTTTTCCAGGTCAGGTGCAATTTCTCCACCATGGGCCTTTCTATCCATAAATAATGTTGCCTAGCAATACAGGTGAGATCCTACCTTTATCAAGTTTTCAGGGTAAAGAGCAAGAAAGTTAACCTAAGCTCAGATTTGTCTTTAGAGAAGGAGAAAGGGTTTGTTCACCCTTCCCAAGCCCCATCTGAACTTCATAGTATCACAGAGTACAGTCAGAATACCAATTGATATGAATGTCAGGGTAGATAAGCCTCTAGTAAGTTGTTTTCTGCCTGGTTCACCTCTTCTTTTCATGGTTCTGAATATGAAGGAAATTCATTAATCTTTCTCACCCTGGCGACTAGTATAGTGCCTTTAACTCAGTAGAAAAATTCATTCAGTTAACAAAAAAATTAAATTGAGAAAAATCAGAAGAAACACTCCTGTATTTCCACTACTAGACATAACAATGGTGAATATTTCAGTAAATATCTTTCTAGTCTTTGTTATATGCACTGCTATATGTTATATGCGCTTTGTTATACTGCACTGCAAATTTCTTGCCTTTTTTATAGAGGGACTTTTTTAAGAATAAGAAGATTAGGCTGGGCGTGGTGGGTCATGCCTGTAATCTCAGCACTCTGGGAGGCCCAGGCGGGGCGGATCACGAGGTCAGGAGTTTGAGCCCAGCCTGGCCAATATGGTGAAACCCTCACTCAACTAAAAATACAAAAATTACCCGGGTGTGGTGACACGCACCTGTAATCCAGCTACTTGGGAGGCTGAGGCAGGAGGATTGCTTGAACCCGGGAGGCAGAGGTTGCAGTGAGCTGAGATCCCGTCATGGCACTCCAGCTCTGGGTGACAGAACAGACTCCGGCTTGGGGAAAAAAAAAATAAGATTATTACATTACTAGGAGGTTGATTCTGCCTCAACCTAACCTTAACATACCATCTCTAAATGTAACCCATTTCTAAACACAATCATGTTTGGAGATGCTTGGATGATGGGCATAACATTTATTGAAGGTACACCACTGCTGGACTATGTAGTAATAGGTACATGAGGAGGGAAAGAAAAAAAGTTTTATTCTGCCTTCAAAGCAACTAAATGTCCTCCATGGGGAAAGAAATTTCCAATTCATATTTTATTTCCCATAACGTGACTGTCTAATGTTGTCTTAAGCTTGTTCTGTTTAGTTGGGATTATGCTTTGAAAGGACCAGGAGAAAGAAAGACCCATTTAACAAGTTTCTGCCAATAAGCCAGTTTCTGAAAAATAAATGGTTAAATAATCCCAGAAGATTATCCGGTCTTGGTAAAATAATTTTAACACAATATCCAGCTCATCAATTGGGATGGAAGCACATCAGCTGGTGAGGAGTGAACATTAGTGACTTGATTGTCATGAAAACATTTCTTCCAGACCAGGAAAAAGACAGTCATGGGGAAACATGCCATGTGGAAAAATAACCCATTTCTTCGTGATCTATTCTCTCTGTTGGTCACAGGTTGACATTTTACTGGCCCTGGGAGTGGAGAGAAATGCAGGCTTCCTAGTCACACAGAGAAAAGAAATGTTTTCCTCTGTGCAAAGAGAGACCCAAGAGACACGGTTTGAACAAGAAGTGTGCAGATAAAAGTTGGAAAGCCAAGGTCATGAATTTATTTTATTTTTAGTCTTTTTTACTTTTTTAAAAAAATGATTCCTTGCAAGTTGTTAAAAAGGCTCATTCTCTGTCACCCACAGATACAAAGTGGGGAGGGCTATTGTTGATATGAAACCTTGACTAGCATTTGAAGTGCTGATTCAAGACACAGCACAGCATGTCTTGCCCAGAAATGAAGTCTGTGATTTGTTTAACCCCATTAGAAAAAGTCAGAATCAAGAAATGATGGAGAAGACGATCAGTATTATAGGGAATCCTTAAACTGGACAGAAGTGTGAAAATTACTTTTAAAACTTAGTCTAACTTGATTATTATATTGTTTATAAGTGTTTACCATTCTTGCCAATATCTCTCTGTATTTGTCCCAATTAATCTGAATTTACATAATCTTAATAATCAAAATAATTTTAAAAAGATAGTTATATATCCCCACCTATGCATCCTTCTTCTGAATGCATCCTAGCTATTTGTTTATATTTGCAACTCGCTTTTCTAAATTGAGAGGTCTTTAATGCTTTGGATGGTACCTTGTTCATCTTTGTAAACAATACTAGCATGATGCTCAGTTGGCAAGTGTTTGATTTATAGTCACTTTTTAAAAAATTTTTTGAGACAGAGTCTCACTCTGTCACCCAGGCTGGAGTGCAGTAGCGCAGTCTCGGCTCACTGCAAGCTCCGCCTCCTGGGTTCACGCCATTCTCCTGCCTCAGCCTCCTGAGTAGCTGGGACTACAGGCATCCACCACCATGCCCGGCTAATTTTTTTTTTTTTTTTTGTATTTTTAGTATAGACGGGATTTCACCGTGTTGGGCAGGATGGTCTCGATCTCCTGACCTCACGATCCACCCGCCTCGGCCTCCCAAAGTGCTGGGATTACAGGCGTGAGCCACCGCACCCAACCTGTTTATAGTCACTTCTGTGTACAAGACTCTGGTATATGTTGGTAAACAATGCATGTTCAAAGTGTAGCTGGTCAAATGACAGAACGGAGGATGAATGGATGGATGGATTGATAGATGGGTGGATGGATGGATTGATAGATGGGTAGATGGATGGTTGGCCATATCTGGATTTTCTTGGTTTTCTGTGTTTTGGAGAGCTAATTACTTATTTCACAAAAGCAAAATCCATCACACAGTTATTTCCCTGGTAGCAGCTTTGCAAACTGAAGAAAATAATTAAGATGAGACTTCAGTAGGAATTACTTGGTAAATCATCATAGGGTGGGAAAGTCTTACCTCTGTTCCTATTCTTGGTTTTTTCATTTGAAGTCATTGTAAGTTAAATGAAATCGATCGATCTATTCATTCTATAGAAAGACTCTATAATAGTTTAATCAGTATACATTTCTATTTATGTACAAAGACTCTACTCACTACACAAAACTTACTTGTCTTACTGACAGTCAAGTGACAATAATTCAAAGTACCTTTAGTGGCAGAGGTTGCTTTCTCTGACCATTATATTCCCCAGTCTTTTCCACTATTACACTGACCTAGTTTATAATCTCCTCAGAACATAAATCTTTTACTTTGCATCATTTATCTGCCTTTTCACACAACCAAAACCACTTCATCTCAACACATCCTCATCCCTTTGTTTATTCATGACTCCGGCTCTGCCAAACCTCAGTTTTTGTCTGATTCGTTCAGTTCTTTTTCCAAGTTGAAAAACATTTCTTCGATATGTATATCAATACTGTTCTTTGAATAGTTCTTATGTATCTGGAAACTGTGCATCAGAGACAGGATTTCATGTATTTATTTATTTATTTGTTTTTCAGACAGGGTCTCGCTCTGTCAGACAGGGTCTCGCTCTGTCACCCAGGCTGTAATGCAGTGGTGTGACCGTGGCTCACTGCAACCTCTGCCTCCGGGCTCAAACGATCCTCCCACCTCAGCCTCCAGAGTAGCTGGGACTACAGGCATGCGCCACCACACCCAGCTAATTTTTGTATTTTTTGTAGAGATGGGGCTTCGCCATGTTGCCCAGGCTGGTCTTGAACTCCTGGGCTCAAGTGATCCACCCACCTCAGCCTCCCGAAGTGCTGGGATTACAGCCATGAGCCACTGCACTAGGCCTAGAGATAGAGAGTTTTATATGATTTGAGCCTTTCTCTCCTCAAGAGGCTCACAGTCAAATGCAGAGATCGTAATCTGGGGGTAAATGAATCCTTGAAAGCATATGAAAATATTAGATAGTTGAGCACCTATTATTTTCTGGACAAAAGGTCCATATGTTTTTAAAAAAATGTCTAGTGAATAATATAGACTAGAAAACAATCAAATTTTCATATAATAAATGCTATTTTTGAAAGAGGTAAGAATAGGAAGCCAGTGAGGAGTGCCTTGGTAGAATCAGAAAAGGCAAATGCTCGGGACTATGCCAGAATTTTCACCAGAATTCACCTGCAAGCAGGTCCCAGCTGGGGCCTCAGTGCCTCTCAGTAATCCTGTTTCTCCACTGATCCTTGGTCACACTGCTCCTAGGTTTCTGCTCAAACCTTCTCAACGTGTTCTTCTCAAACCATATCTTCCAAACTATTGTTACTTCTCATTCACCTTCTTTAAAATGTTATCACCAGCTTCAGATATTTCGTTGAAAAATTAAAAGGACATGTTTTTCAGAGTCTTGTATGTTCTTAAAAGTAAGTAAACCTGGAACTAATATCATCCGCAAAGTATTTTAGGTAGGAATGTGTAATTCTAAAGGGGGAAAATCCTGCAAAATAAGCAAGTAAACTTCTGGGACAAAAGAGGAAACATTGTGTACAGAAGAATATTTTGTTTAACTTGTATGCTTTCATTTCTACTATGTTGAATTTCTGCTTCATTATCTCTAGGGAGTCTACAACCTGCTGAAAATGAATGTTTTTGAGTGTGGGAGGGTGGGTATGGAATTTTAGAAGCTAACAAATCTGTTACCTTATGTAATCTTCACACTTCTTTAAGAGGGCCTCGATTATGAACCTTGTGCAAAGTCATGCCGCTAACAAATTGTAAACTAAGGTTGGAACCCAGGTCTTGCTTGATGGTGTTGCCTATGTTCTCCCTACATCAAATTCTTTTAAGACATTGGAGAAATTACCATACCTCCCAATTGGAGCCCCAACTCTAAGGCTTATTTTCAGGTTGTTAATGTGGGAATGTGATCCCAGAGGGAAGGAGTGAAGGACCCAGGTAGTGGAACAGGAAATGAGCAGTCGATATAAGAATGTGTAACCATTTGACCAAGGATATGGATGTCTGGTTTGATGGGATCTTCTGAAAATCTTAATGAGTGCCTCAAAACTCAGCACTGTCTGAGGTAGTGGGGAGTAGGGAGGACCATTCACCCATAAGCTCATATCCCCCACTGATCCAGTTCAAAGGTTTCCCCACAGGCCTTTAGTTCATGCGTTCCAGGTTGCTCCCACACAAGGGTCAAGCACTGCATCAGAGATCCTTGGAAAAGGATGAGTGTATTAGTCCATTCTTATGCTGCTAATAAAGACATACCCAAGACTGGGTCATTTATAAAGGAAAGAGGTTTGGTTTAATTGCTCACCATGGCTGGGGAGGCCTCAGGAAACTTACAATCATGGTGGAAGGGGAAGCAAACACGTCCTTCTTAACATGGTGGCAACAAGAAGTGACCAGTGAAGGGTGGGGGGATGCCCCTTATAAAAACATCAGATCTTGTGAGAACTCACTCACTATCATGAGAACATCAGCATGGGGGTAAGAACCACCCCATGATTCAATTACATCCCACTGGGTCCCTCCCATGATGAATGGGGATTATGGGAACTACAATTCAAGATGAGATTTGGGTGGGGGCACAGCCAAACCATGTCAATGAAAAATGTGCTGTCGGGTTGTACCTGCATGAATCTGCTTGCAGTGTTACTGATTGGAAAAAGAGTTGAAGTGGGTATGATCTGAAGCAATGCATAAGAGATGTTCCATACAGAGATAAAATAAATAATAATAATAATAATAATGATAGCAAGCTTCTGTGCATCATAGGATCAGTGAGTGGAATTCAAGGAGTCCTTTTGTGTGGATTAAAGTGGGCCATCTTCATGCATGCGCTAAGTGTCTGGGCACTCTGCTGAGGTATGTTAGACATTGACTCTCTGCAATCCAGTTCTTACTCAGTCTGTGCAGTTGTAGGGCTATATCCTCCAAGGGGCTCTGCAGTTTAGAAAACACTTATACTCTGTGGCCTGAGTGACAGCTGAGTCTTTGAACGTCCATTATGAAATCTTTGTCATTGGAGTCTTAGCTCTTTCCCTGTACACATCCTGCATTTTTCCCTTTTGTGGAAGGCAATGGGTAAATGAAATCTAATAAACTCTAATATGTTGAACCCTAAGTAAAGCTTCTCTGTTTGAAGCAGGTAATTTCTTAGAGAATTGATTGCTGCAGAATAGAAAGTAGAGGATATGGAGACCGTTATCTTTTGGATACCATTGATACATCATAAAAATCCACTGAGAATCAATTGAACAGCTAGAAAATCCTTGCCTTGGGGCTTGAGTTAAGGATTCTGACAACTGGAGCTTTTACAACATATAAAACCAATTCCAAAATGTGAGCTCCATGAAGGCAGTGACATTGTTATGTTCACTTGTGTATTTCTAGAAATTCTAAGAGTCTGTGGCACATGCTAGGTCTCAGTATTTGTTGAATGAATGCATGACTGCTATATTCAAGGTGCTATTCTACTATTGGTAAGTTTGGAAAAGCTACTTGTGATTCATCTATACTTTTAGTTCCTTGGTCACCATCGTTATTTGTGAAATAGATGGCCATGATTAGAAGGCCAGTCAACTAACCTTAAATAAAGCAGTACTAACTGGCTTTGGGAACTCAAATCCATGACCTTAGTCTATTGAAAAGTATCTTCTAATGAGACTTAATCAAATACAGACATCAAAATGAACTGGGAGGGAACTGGATCCATAAAACGCGGAGTTTGGAAAAAACAGACATATGTGGAGAGGACAAATCTGTGAGGTTCTGTGAGGAAAAATTATTTTTTTCTAGCTTTATTGAGACAAATAAAAATCGTATATATTCAAGATGTACAACATGATGATTTGATATATATGCACATTATATAATAGTTATAATGAAATTAATTAACATATCCTATACACATAGTTGTCGTTTATGATATGTGTGTATGTGTGTGGGAGTGAGGACACTTCAGATCTGTTCTCTTAGAAAATTTCAAGTATGCAATACAGTATTATTAACTATAGTCACCATGCTGTACCTTAGATCCTCAGGACGTATTTAAAAATGTAGATGTATTTAGTGCAGATACAATGCTGGAATTTTTTGATGCCTATATAAAGGAAATAAGTGAATAAGTAAAACCGTTTATTTAAACCATGGTAAGGAACTGGAAGTTCTAGAAAGCACATTTAGTAGAAAGCTCTGGTCTTATGACACTAAAAGTGCTCTTGTAGCTATCAACAAATATTACTTTCTTGCTTATTAAATGCTTAATTATTTTCTTGCTTATAACTTTCACATTGTATGTTGCCACATAGGAAATGTATTCCGTATTGATGTTAACAACAATATAGTTCGATATACTGACAATATTTGAATTCCCACCAAGCTTCTGGTTTTCTAGAGAGAATGGTTTATCCAATGAGGATGGCAAATGGCAATTTCTGGCAGCAATGCTAGTGATAGTAGATTTACTGGAACACAGCTTGGAAGTATTTTTCATATCCAAAAAGGAAAATTGTCTTTGTATATTATGAAGTCCATAATGACCAATTTGTAATTGGAAATCCTTGCCACCGAACAAGCTTATGTTGTAGCATATTGGGGGAGAAAATTATTTCTACAGTGGTATGTTTTAGCAACAAAATGGTTCATGCAAGATCTAGCAAAAGCGGTTTATATTCCTGATGAAGTCCCTTGTGGAATCATACTTATTCTTTCATTTTACATTATACCAACACTGTTTTAAAAAATACAATTTATTTTTCAATTATAAAAGTAATACTTGCTCATTATAGAGAAGTAAGTGTAAAACATAATCTCAAACACCTAGGGACAATCACTGCTTTCATATTTTTAAACTTTAATTTGTTTTGATTATACAAGTTAAACATGTTTAGGGAAGAAATTTAGAAAATTCAGACATGCAAAACATAAAAAAAATGAAATCACTTGCAAGTTCACCACTAAGAGATGACTACTTCTAACATGTTGGTCTCAATTCCTATCTAGCTTATACATACACGTATTTAAGATAAGCATTTTAATTTTTAACAAAAAGGAACCCCATGTATTCGGTTAATTTTTTTTTTTTTTTTTGAGACTGAGTCTCGCTCTGTCGCCCAGGCTGGAGTGCAGTGGCGCGATATTGGCTCACTGCAAGCTCCGCCTCCCAGGTTGACGCCATTCTCCTGCCTCAGCCTCCCGAGTAGCTGGGACTACAGGCGCCTGCCGCCACGCCCGGCTAATTCTTTTTTTTTTTTTTTTTTTTTTTTTTTTTTTTTGGTAGAGACGGGGTTTCACTGTGTTAGCCGGGATGGTCTGGATCTCCTGACCTCGTGATCTGCCCGCCTTGGCCTCCCAAAGTGCTGGGATTATAGGCGTGAGCCTCCGTGCCTGGCCTGGGTTATAATTTTTATTATCACTTAACATTTCATTTTTCATATTCCTAGGCCAATAACATGTTTTTATAATACCACTTTTACTGAATATATAGAATTCCATTATACTACAATTTATTTTACTAATCTTCTATTATTGGCATTTTATAGACAAACCTTCTAAACTAAATCTTTACACCTACACCTAAAATTAGTTATAATTTTTGGATTAATGTTTAGAAATGAAATTTCTGTGAAGGAAACATAATTTTCATTTTCACTGAGAGCATATGAATTTTCATATACACTGTATATCAGCATGCTTGGGCATTGCATATAAGTGTATAAATATTTGTTAATGTTCTGGTCAAAAAAGGCAGTCTTATGATGTTACAGTTTGATGACTTATAAAGTCTGGTGCTTGTAAAGAGAGAATTATTGAGCATTTGAGAGATATATTATTGCGCATATAATTATTGAGCATTTGAGAGATATATCCAATGGCCAGATAACATTATAAGACTGGAAAGAACTGATGTTCACTTACATTGCTTCATGGAATGAGGGTTTTGTGAGGAAGCTTATGTTAACTGCACCTCTAGAGTAATAAAGCCAGACGCCAAAGAGTCTGGTACTGAATTGGAGAGAGGAAAGTTTTTCAAGATGAAGTACAACTCTGGTTATCAGATCTTCTCATCTTCTCCCTTCAGTAAGAAGTTTTTTAGTTAATTCTTTTTCTCCCTTTAGTTTTAATTTTCTTTAGAGATGGTGTTTCACTGTATTGCCCAGGCTGGGTTTGAACTCCTGGGTTCAAGTGATCCTCCTATCTCAGCCTCTCAAGTAGCTGGGACTACAGGTTTTACCAATTCTTCAACACTTTTCTGTTCTGGTGCCCCACAGGCTATTTCTTATTGCTTTCTGCCCTTTTTTAAAAATTAAAAAAGTGTTTTTTATAGATGGAAGTCTTGTTATGTTGCCCAGGCTCGACTCAAACTCCTGGGCTGAAGCAATCTTCCCGCCACAGCCTCCAAAGTAGCTGGAGCTACCAGTGTGTGCCACCACACCCGTCTTGCTTTCTGCTCTTATTAGCAAGTGTGTACTTTCTGTTTCTCACATTTAAACTTAATAGATAAATAATACTATCGGTTCAGAGCATCATGATTGTTCCTTTTGGGTCATCCCTTCATACCATCTCAATTGTCAGCTGGACGTCCAAGCCTTATCATTTGCCACCAGAGAAGCAGAGTCAGGGATGGTAAACTGTGTGATAACCCCATCCACAGAAGGACCTTTTATTCTTTTCTGGCTAAAACTGAGAGCAAAATCGGCTTCTCTCTGACATTGTCCTTTTAATTTTTAAATTATATTTCACTGAATAAATTTCATATATCCACTGGTCATTTGTATTTCCTTTTTGTAAATTAAGCATTAATGTGTTATATTCCAAGATTAAAGTAAAAAATGCAAACCTATTACTGTTTAACAGAAAAATAATTAACATGATATTTTTGCTTCCTGTTTGTTTTAATCAAGCAGTTTTGAAGTTGGAGAGTATTGGAATTTCTTAAATCACTTAAAATAATTTAGACCTGCTATTAATTTTATATCACAAGTGAGTAGTTAATGCAGACTTAGCAAGTTCATTACTGTTTTTTAATTAAACATAAGTTGATTGTAAAGAGAGAATTATTGAGCATTTGAGAGATATATCTAATGGCCATATAATTAGATTAAAATTACATAAGCAAGAAATGCCCAATTTAATTCTTGGTATATTAACTGTATATGAAATGTACACATACTTGCTTCACATTTATATGTGAAGAATAGGCTACAGCAAGATAATTAGGGATTACTTTTGAAAATGAAGGTATTTAATAGACATATTAATTGATATCAATCTTCCTACAAATAGCCCATTAAGTCAAAAACTGTTACATAGAAAATAGTTTATCAATAAAAATCAAAATGTACATTTTTATATGCAAAGTTAATTGCCTGCCGCTCATATATTTTCATTTATTAAAATTAAGTAATGATTTTCTTTGCTTTGCTGATAATTAAATAATTGTAACAGTCAATGAATCTCAATTAAATGTTGATGGTAGCTTACAATCAATTTACAAAAATTATAACAATAATATACCAAGCAATCAGAAACAATACAATCTATATGTATTATACTAAGATAAGAAAACTATATGGCTAAGTTTTATTTGCATATACTTAACATTAGATAAACTTCTAATAATTAAAAAATAGCCTCTTTAAGGGGAATATGCAATCAATTGACGGAATATCATATCAGAACTTTTATAAAGATGCTGGTGACTGAGGACTATTCTTAGGGAAAGTGAACATTTCAAGTCAATTCACAACATCTATTAGATGCCAGTTTGTAAAAAAAAATTATAAAGCTTAAAAGTAAATAATAATAGTAATACTACGAATAAAACATCAAGGCTTGGGACAAATATAACTGACTCATAATTAGTCGTTGGATCTACCTGATTACTGCAAAATTGCAATCAAATATAATCAAAAGAAAAGCCAGAAAAAATGATAGCAGTCTTAGAGGAGAGTGTTAGAATAAATGGATCCAAATGAACATTACATCATTTTGTTTTTCTAATAGAAAATCATACCTATTAATGGATCATAAAATTTATTTGAGTCACATAAGCATTAACAATAAAATAGGAAAAAATTGAGATAAAGTAGGTATTATTACCCATAATAACGATAAATGTTTTGCTATGAAGCTTTGGTTTTAGTTTAGTTATATATTTAGGGGTATGTATGTGTATTGGGTGGTGACATAAACTATATTTCTATTGTAGGTCACAGCCAAAGATGAAAAAATAGATATATGTTATAAATGTCTTGTATAATGATCAAAATTTTATAGTTTGTGGTTTGTCTTGTAATGTGTGGTGATATACAGCTATGAATATCAACTTGAATCAAACTGTCCAGAGTTGAAACATGGCTGTAGCATTTAATAGTTCGGTGACAAAGGATAATTTTCTTGAACTCTTTGTGTTTCCCCATTTGTAAAATATATACAATAATAGTATCTAACTGACTGGGTTGCTGCAAATTTAAACAGAATAAATGGAAATGAACATGTCAAAAGTTAGGCCATAGTGAACTCAAAATAGTAATATTAAGGTTCTCATAAATGATTCAAATAAGGTTATTTAGAGAGACTTCCACTCCTGACCAAGATGGAGTAAGAGGTGATAAATTTATCATCCCACCTGTAAAAAACACAAAGACTGGACAAAATATATGAAACAATGGTTTTCAAGACACTAGCCCTGAGGCAGTGGAGCACAGGCATCCCTGAGAGATGGGAAAGAAATGAGATGACCCCAGTGATTGCCCAAGTTTACTGCCTAGAGACAACCTCAGGTGGAGCCAGAAGACCCCCCTGATGCAAGACGGAGGTGAGTGTCTAGAGAGATGAAGGCAGCAAGAGTTTATAGGAGAGAGTACTGAAGATGTGAGAGCTTCACACACAGAGAAATCCAGAGATTGCAGAGTACTTCTTGAGTATTTAGCTGAGTACTAATCAACTGTGTGTGTGTGTGTGTGTGTGTGTGTGTGTGTGTGTGTGTGTAAAATCTACCCAAGGCTACAAAAAGGGCCACCTGAAAGGATTAAAAGGAACAGTACTCAGATCTCACACAGGGCCAGTTCCCACAAACCAGAGTGAAAAAATTCATAATTCACGGGGCATTGGGTAGAGTACTCACAAGTTTCTTGCCTTAGTGTTGGGAAATAATTAGCATTAAACTAAACATGGCTGTGGTTCTGCCTAATAAGTGTTAAAAGCAGAACCCGAAAGTATCAAACTGTTTACAGGTGACTAAACTATATCCCAGAACAAAGCTCAAGAATATTTGTGGTACTACAGAAATACCCAGTCCGTAGCCACTTATGCCTAGTGTTCCATTATTGGAACGCTAAGCATGTGGGAGTTATTTATATCCTACTGCTCAAGGTCACCGCCATGGTCTGATTGCAAAAATTCAAAAAATTGTGACCCCCAGGCATAAATGAATTAAGAAGGTAAAAATCCCAATGTCTGGCATCCACTAAGCAATTATGGGGGAGGTAAAGAAGCTGGAAAACATAACCTATATTGAAGAGAAAAAGGAATCATTTGAAATCAACCCAGAACTGACAAGTATTAGAATTAGCAGAAAAGAACAAAAAAAGTCCTAATAACTGTATTCTATATACTCCAAAAGTTAAATAGAAACATGGAAGATACAAAAAGGACCTAAATGAAACTTGGAGATGCAAACTGCAATGTTTGAAATGGCAAACATAGTGAATGGGATGAATGGCAGATTAGACATTGCAGAATAAATGATTAGTGAACTTGAAGGTATAGCAATAAGAAGTATCCAAAATGGAAGACAATGACAAAATGAATCAGTGATCTGTGGCTCAACCTCAAGTGATATAATATATATGCAATGTAGTCCACATAGGAGGAGGCACAGAAAAAATAGTTGATGAAATCATAATTAAAAATTTCCAGGGTCAGGCACAGTGGCTTACGCCTGTAATCCCAGCACTTTGGGAAGCTGAGGCGGGCGGATCACAAGGTCAGGAGTTCGAGACCAGCCTGGCCAATATGGTGAAACCCCGTCTCTACTAAAAGTACAAAAATTAGCTGAGTGTGGTGGCAGGTGCCTGTAGTCGCAGCTAGTCGGTAGGCTGAGGCAGGAGAATTGCTTGAAACCAGAAGGCGGAGGTTGCAGTGAGCCAAGATCGTGCCACTGAACTCCAGCATAGGCGACAGAGGGAGACTCTGTCTCAAAGAAGAAAAACAAAAATTCCAAATTGAGGAAAACTATAAACTCACAAATGCAAGAAACTCAAATAACCCAAGCACAAGGAAAATAAAGAAAATGACACCAAGGCACATCATGATCAAATTGCTCAAAACCACTGTGCTCTGCTTGGCCAAACCCATGGCTGGAGTCACCCTAAAAGTGTTGGCAGGGGAGTTCCCTCAAGGACCACCCCAAACCATCATGAGTTAGGGCCAGCTGGAATTCTAAAAAATGAAGTACTAAATGCCAAAGGGTGAACAGTCCAAGTATTGATTAGGGGAACTTTTGGGAGGCTGCAGCATCCTTGCATTGGACAGCAAGAAATATGTTCTACCCAGGTATATTTGTAATGAGGGGGTCGGGTTATGGAGTTTATATGGGGATTTAAGACATTTGGCTCAGGGTTGGGGCTAGTTTCTATGTGTTTAGCAACACCTTTAATCTTTCACTGTTTTGGGCAACAACCAGAACAACTTTATCGGTGCCTAGGAATGTTCAAGGCCCCTGATTTGGTCCAAGCCTGCAGGAAAAAAACATTCAGCTGAATAGGTCACAGGGTGGTCAAGACATTAAGTGTTTTTTTGGTCAGATTAATGAAAGAAAGTGGGGGTGGGGGGACCCTATACACAGTTAAGAGGAAATAATTGAAAGGAGTCAAGAAAAAAGCTACATTACCTACAGAGGAACAAAGATAAAGATGCCTGCAGATTTCTCGCTGGAGAATGAAATTGAGAAGATAGAGGAAAAACATCTTTAAAGCAATGGAAAGAAAAAGACAAACCCAAACCTGTCAACCTAGAATCTTATCCCCTGTGAAAATATTTTTCAAAAATAAAGACGAAATAAAGACTTTTTTAGAAAAAAAAAAAAAAAAAAAAAAACACCAGAAAGAATGGCACATGCCTGTAGTCCCAACTACTCAGAAGGCCAAGACAGGAGAATTGCTTGATCCCGGGAGGTGGAGGCTGCAGTGAGCTGAGATCACACCACTGCACTCCAACCTGGGTGAGACAGAGAGAGACATCATCTCGGGAAAAAAAAAAAAAAAAAAGTGCACAGCATTCCTGTGTTCTAAGAAATGCTAAAGGAAGTCCTTTAAGGAGAAATAAAACCATACCAGAGAGAAATATGAATCTATATAAAGAAATGAGCACTGGAAATGATAGTTACGTTGGCAAATATACAAGATTATTTTTAAAAATCTCCTTAAAAGATTATTGGCTATTTAAACAAAAATAAAACAATTTATTGTAAGATTTTGACATATGTAAAAATAAAATGGCTAAGTGGAGAGAAATGGAAGTATACTGTTGTGAGGTTTTGATATTTCACGTGAAGTGGTAAAATATACCTTGAAGGTTAACTACGATAAGTTAAAGATCTATATAGTGAACCCTAAGGCAACCACTAAAATAAAAAAGACCCTAAATTAAAAGGTAAAGATTATCATATTGAATTTAAAAGCATGACCCAACTACATGCTGTCTACAGAAAACAAAATTTAAATATTGAAACACAAATACATTTAAACTAAAAGAATAGAAAAAGACATACCATGCTAACATAATACTACTCAAAAGAAAGTTGGAGTGTCTATATTAATTTCAGATAAAGTAGGATTCGGAGCAAAGAATATTACCAGGGTAAATGAAGGTCATTTTATAATGATAAAGGGGTCAATTCATCAGGAGAACATATCAGTTTTAAACGTTTAAGCATCTAATAACAAAGCTTAAAATACATAAAGCAAACATGAAACTGCAAGGAGAAATGGTCAAATTCACAACTGTAGTTGGATTATTTCAATGTCCCTCTCAATAACTGACTGAAAAGGTAGACTGAAAAATCAGTTAGGATATGGAAGACTTAAATAGCAGGATCGCCATCTTAATCTAATTGACTTTTATACAATACTCCACCCAACAACAGCAGAATTCTTTTCTAGGAGTCATGGACCATTTACGAGGTCACACAGTATTTTGTACCATGAAACTAATCTCAAAAAGGACGTAAGACATACAGTGTATGTTCTCTGAAATGACCAATCAATGACAAAAAGGTATCTGGAAAATCCCCCAATACTTGAAAACTACGTAAGACACCTCTAAATTAACCTTAGGTGAAATAAAAAATAAAAGGATATTAAAAATTATTTTTAATTGAAAGAAAATAAAAATATACAACAAACAAAATTTGTGGCATGCCATTTAAGCATGAGTAGGGGAAATGAATAGCATTAAACACCTAGACATTATAAAGCTGCAATAATTAAGACAGTAAGTTATTGGCATAAGGACAAATAGATCAGTGGAACAGAGAGTCTGGAAATAGAGCTATACATGTATGGGTATACATGATTATAAAAATGATAATTAAAAATGACTATAGTTTATGATATTTGTGCATTTTTTATGGAGATATAAACCTGGAAATGTAGGAAGGGATCTTGCATATCTTTTTGGGGAGTTTGAACATATTATGAAGATAATATATAGCTACTGAAGAATTATAAAGGAAGAGTAACAGGATAAAATTTATTTTGGAAACATCAGAGGGAAAGTGGTATGGAAGATGGATTATAGAAGCATGAGACATGACAGGCAGTATAATCAGGAGGCAGTGAGGTTGAATAAAATAGGGGAATATTTGAGATATATTTAAGAGGACAGAACCTGTGGTCTTTTCTGGGTGATTTAATAAGGTGAAGGACTATGGAGTAGAAGGTATCAAGAAACAGATCGCAGATTTCTAAGCAGAGATCAATACCATTCACTGGGATAGAGAACAAGAGAAGGAGTAAGTTTTAAAGGGCTCGTGATGATTCAGTTTTGAATTTGTTGAGTTTGAGATTCTTTCGGGACTCCTTTGGGCAGTTGTCCAGTAGTCGGAAGGATACTTGGGACTAAAGATGTCAAATGAGAGGACTGGTTTCATGGTAAGAATTTGGAAGCTGTCAGTATTTGTATGGAAATGAAAGCCATTGACTTGAAATTTCACAGAAAAGAATGTATAAAATATAAAGCGAAAAGTATGGAAAATGTAATTAAGTCTGGAAAGTAACAACATTTAAGGAATAAGCAGAGGAAGAAGAGTTACTGGGTGAATCCAGAGTTTATTTTTTGGGGATGTGGGGGCAGAAAACAGATTAGAAGTGTGTGTGTGTGTTGTGTGTGTGTGTGTGTGTGTGTGTGTGTGTGTGCGCGCGCGCACGCATGCACGTGTTGCTGGCAGTAAAAGTGCTGCATAGGGAACTTGTCTTGAAACTGTGTTTCCATCAAAACTTACAGGTTTTACTCAGACTACGTGTTTATGAGAGAGGACTGTTGGAGATGAATATTGTCACCTTTTCTTCACCATACAAAGACAGACTCACTAAGGAGACTAAGCAGGTAGAGTCAGAGATAAGAAGGGAGGGGACATTGTTATCCAATATTGGAAAGCAGGCAAATAAGATAAGGAATGTAGTTTGTCAGGTTATCAGCAGGCAACATTGAACTCTCAAATTGGGTAAGATGAGGCAAAGAGGCTTGATAAGGACACTGTTTACCAAGGTGTGGGCAGAATGTAAGGAGACTCCATGCGATTGTGCCTTTCACCAGGGCAGGAAGATGGTGATGCTGTGACTGCCTAAAAGGGCAAGAGGAGGAGCAGTTACCCAGAACCTGGCATGAGAGAGCTTTGTGGAGACTGTTGCTGAAGGAGTTGTGGACCTCCCCAGCAGGGAGGGGCTGGAGGGTAATTCCCCTGACCCTCTGTTGACTCCTCCCCTCACTTCTCTGGTCTGTGCTCTCCATTGGCCAAGTCCAATTGGAAGCAAGGGAATCAGTTACTGTAGTCCATGTACAGCAGCCTCTGGGTGCAGAGCAGGTTGGAAGAGAGATGGGCGTGGATCTGAAGGGGGCAAACAAAATACACGGAGCATAGACTGAGGGATATTGTTACTAGAATTCATCCCAAAAGGTCACTGGGGACTCTAGTTGAATAGAGCTTTCAGGGCAGCAGTGGGGCAGGGGGTCGATTACAGAGAGTAAATTAAGGATGAACCAGGAGTGAGGAGGAAGAGCTACTGTTGAGGGAGGGAGTTTGGGGAGTCACTGGAAGTAAATTTGCTGTCATGGGTGGCAGGCACGAGTTAAGATGGTAGATTCCTATTTATGACTATATGGTGAGTCATACAAAATCACGGACTCAAAACGGTGTCTGTTTCCCAAGATTTCCCTGTAATTTTTAATTTTCCAGAACTGTGAGAATGATAAGGCTGGTTTGATATAAACAGACATATATTAGGACTAATCTGTAATAGAATGTGTCTTCCTTTCTCTGTGTTCATTGAACCTCGTATACGCGTGTAAGTTCTGCACACACTGTATTGTGACTTGTTTTATGTGTCTACCTCCCCTACAAGACAGAAGATATACCACTTTTAAAATTTAAAAATTTTAATTTTTATGTGAAGCAAAACAAATTATTTAAACAGTTGACACAGTATATTATATTTAAAGGAAAGTAATTTTTTTTTTGAGACGGAGTCTCTCTCTGTCTGTTGCCCAAGCTGGAGTGCAATGGTGCGATCTTGGCTCACTGCAACCTCTGCCTCCCATGTTCAAGCGATTCTCCTGCCTCAGCCTCCTGAGTAGCTGAGATTACAGGCGTGTGCCACCACATCGCAAAGGCATAGTGTAACTCATTAATGCAATTTTTCTATATTTAGGATAGCAAAATAAGCTATTTAGTTGTGAAGTATAGACCCATCCCTCTTTACTATATACCACATACCTTGCTTTTATCATCTACTTTCTCCTCAAGAAATAGTTTTCCTTAAATAAGTTTTAACCCCTTATTTCAGGGGAGAGTTTGATTCTTGTGTGACAAGTCATATCAGCTTTGCACAAATATTGGAACATCTCTTATGTGAATTTAAGTCTAATTGTTAAGCCATTTCTCTCCATGAAGGATCTTTAGAAGACTTTGTAGGAGTTTCCCTCCTGTCTTAACTAGTTCCATTTCCAGCCTGGCATTATAGTGCCTGAGTTCTAAGACTGAGAAATATTCCCTGTCTAACTGACTGTAAGAGGGTAGAAAGTTGCTTTTAGCTACTCTGTGACATAAATATGGTTCTCTTGTTTAAGAAATACTTTGACATATTTAGAAATTCTCAGTAATAATTTTTGAAAGAAAAGTATGAAAACAATCCTAACTCTTCCAATCATTTGATTTTTGACAATTCCCATTTCTGTCTTCAAAGTTACATTATTTAAAACCAAATTCCATTTCTTATTTTATTCATAAAACATAAATATCAGGATGTACCATAATAGCACATCAGCCAAAACAACAGAATATTAAAACATAATCAAACTAAGAAATTCTAATTCTAAAACAAAAGGTGAAATTAATATCTCTCTTAGGAAAAGGAATCTGGAAAATTTCAGTCTGGTTGCTGGGGTCCTTCCTACAATAGGCAGAAATATACATATATAAAAGAAGGTAAATCAAGTTGAGCTTAGTGCTTCTTTGATTTTAATGCTTTGTGTTTAACCCTTAAGACCAAATTCTCCAAATGGTTGTTTAAATTAGTGTAGTAGAGCCAGGTGTGATGGCTCATGCCTGTAATCCCAGCACTTTTGGAGGCTGAGGCAGGTGGATCACCTGAGGCCAGAAGTTCGAGACCAGCCTGGCCAACACGGTGAAACCCCGTCTCTACTTAAAAATACAAAAATTAGCTGGGCGTGGTAGTGTGCGCCTGTAATCCCAGATTCTTGGGAGGCTGAGGCACGAGGATCGCTTGAACCTGGGAGGCGGAGGTTGCAGTGAGCTGAGATTGTGCCACTGCACTCCAGCCTGGGGGACAGAGTGAGACTCTGTCTCAAATAAATAAATAATAAATAAATTAGTGTAGTAGGTTTAGTAAGCATAATTGTGCAGCAAAAGCAGAATTGTCTGCTTCTGAAATGTATATACCTCACAAAGTATGTACTTTCACATACATTGAAGTTTCATTTGTTTAGCGACAGCTTCATTTTTAAGCTTACAAAATACATTAGCTAAACTGATTTATATTTTAACATAAATATTGGAGAGGTTGAAGTTGCCAAGGTGGATCTGTTGTGGAGATTAGACACAGCGGAATTATATGTTGTACATATTCCTAAGACTTTGTGATTCTAAACTGTGTCCTGCTTATAGAATATGTTATAAATAGGTTGCTCCTCAAATACTCATTTACCATTTTATTTTTACTAAAATACTGAAAATAATCGATTTGGCTATTTGGATTATTTAGTTTTGAACATATTATTTTTTTTGTTGTGTATAAAAAACTATTTAAGTAACTGAATGTCATTTTCCTACTATTTTGAGTGCTAGAATTTTAATCTTCTGTAATTAAAAATAAATCTTCAGACTGAACATAACAGTTATTTTCCCATATACTTCATTGCAAGTGATAAAAATGGATAACATTTAGCCATGAACTGTGCCTATTTCCTATGAAATGTCAAGCTTCCATTTCATTAAATTTGGAGAGTTTTTTTGAGGAAATAATATGATGATACTGAAAGAAAGGAAATAAAATTCTTAGAAAACTCTCAAATGAGTATTAATAGATGAAATTTGAATAAGACTGATCAGATGCTGGAATAGATGCTTTTTTTTGATTGCTTACATTGTCTGAAAACTGTTCAGCAGAACAAAGGGTTTTATGGATGAAAGACTGGTATGAAGAAACATGAATGTCAACCCAGGCTCTGAAAGACAGTCTGCTAATGAAATATTCTAAAAGTCATTTTCAAGGTGGTTGAAAGTTCTCACTGATGTGCACCAATGCTTTTGATAAAAAAATTATATATATCAAATAATTATGCAAGTGTTAGCTCTGGGTACAGAGAAAATAAGATTAGCTCACATGCACCCAAATATTATGGGAATGTTTATGTGTCATTCTTTCTATGATTGAAAATGATCAGATGCCAGATAACATTATTTTGGTAGTAAATTTCTTACTTCTGACTTGTGAAAAATGCCTTTTTCTGCTATCTAGGTTATGCTAACTAACTTTGGTCTATGATTTACTACCTTAATGGTTAGCTCTTTATGTGCAAAGTGTAGAAAGGAGATGATTATCATTCAAAATTGAACTTTTTCAAAACATCCTTGAGTGAACTTTCCTGATAAATGCAAGAAGTAATGGCTTTTCCCTGAAGGTCCACTGATCCACTCTGTTCTGCCAATGACACGTGCCTATCCTCTATTCTACAGTATGCATTCTTTCTTAAGGCATGTATGTGTAACACACATATACATATGAGACACATATCATTATGTGAGTTTATAATTTGATGGAACTTTGTGTTCAGATGTCTTTGGGATCTGGCTGCATCAGTTTTCTGTGAGTTTGATTTTAATCATACAAGGATGATGGGGATGCTCTTTCAGCAGTGTCTATGATGGTACCCCATGCTGAGAGGCCTTTAATGAAGGGTAGCAATGGTTCTATGACATGACCAAATTAGTGAAAGCATGATTTATAAGGTTTTTTAAACATTCTATATCACACGGACAGTGGGACGTTAACCTTCTTTCCCTGTCCCAGTCCCAGATGACTGACTGAATTGCAGTGGTCTGATGACAATGTCAAGCTTTGTATGTCTGGGTCTGGCTTGAGCTTGTTTTACAAAAGGCAACTGATCTCTGGTAGGTAGATTCTATCTCCATTCTGTTTTATACTTTCATAAATAAAATTTTAATTACCCGTATCATTGATACAAACATAAAGAAGAATTTTGCATGAGTTTTAATGCCCTTTGGGACTGACCTGGTCCCAGTCTCTCAAGCTGTATTTGCCTGAGTATATAATATGCTGTTGCCAGTTTGTTATGCACTTTCCCCATGCTCTATCTTTCCAACTTGAAACTGCTCATCAGCCTAGATTCAAACATAATGATATCTTTTCTGCAAAACTTCAACGGACATTTTTCCAGTAAAGGTAATCTCTTTGCACATGTTTTTATAGTGTTTTTACATATGTATATGATGACAATTTTATATCACATAGTAATTTACAAGTATCTTTATGTGTACTAGGGAGATCTAAAGGAGAGGGGCTAGAACTTACTCATATTAAAAAAAAATCAGGATCAAAAGTAGGTACTCAGTAAATATTAGTTTTAAAAATTTTTTCAATAGTAACTAAGAGTACGTAAACAGGATCTTTACAAGTAGTAAGGAAGTTTAAAAGAAAATAGAGTCCAAGATGCTGTGACATTCAGAAATAATGTAAAAAATGGGACCATCTTCATGAAGAAGTCGGGACCCTTGTGCACTGATGGTGGGTATGCAAAATGGGGCAGCTGTTATGGAAAACACTATGATGCTTCCTCAAAAAATTAAACATGGCATTACTCTATGTTCCAGCAATTCCACCCCTGGGTATCTACACAAAATAAATGAAAGCAGGGCCTGAAAGGGATACTTGTCTACCCATTTTCACAGCAGCATTACTTACAATAGCCAAAGGTGGAAGCAACCCAAGTGTCCATCAAATGATGAATGGGTAAACAAAATGTGATAGGTACATATAATGGAATATCACCACCCTTAAAAAGGAAGGAAATTCTGACATATTCTACATGGATGAAACTTGAAGACATTATGCTAAGTGAAATAGGCCAATCAAAACAGACAAATGCTATATTATTCCACTTACATGAGTTACTGGGAGCAGTCAAATTCATATAGACAGAAATTAGAAGGGTGTTTGGCAGGAACTCAGGGGAGAGGGAAATGGGAGATTGTTCAATTGGTATAGAGTCTCAGTTTTGTGAGATGAAAAGAGTTCTGGATACTGTACAAGGTGAATGTACTTAATGCTACTGAGCTGTACACTTAAAATGGTTAAGATGGTAACTTTTATGTTAGATGTATTTTACCACAATTAAAAAAACTGAAAAGAAAATGAAATCATCCTCATGATCACATTACTGATTATATCAGACTGAGCCATCCTGAAGGTGCTTTAACATCTATAACTGTAGTTACAGTCTTTGGGCAGGTAGTCTGCATAGGGATCATCTTTTTTTTTTTTTTTTAGGGATATTCACATGAGAAAGAGAAGTTATTGTTATATAATTTTAATACCAATCCATCAAGATTTGTTTATTGCATACTCAAATATGGTGGTTTTGAGAAAGGATAACAATGAATATCAAGGCGGTGGTTATCCAACTATATTCTGAGGGCTTTTATATAGCAAAGCCATTGCTCATAAAACATTAAGAGAATTGACACAGCTCCTTTGTCAAATCTGACATTCTGGAATTGTTCTAGAATTAATCTTAGTTGAAAATTAACTTAAGAAATTCAGAGGGCTGATACTGTTAAAAAAGGAGAATGAACTTTCCAGTAACATGGGTACATGCTCAGATGGATCCTACTATCATTGGCTTTAAATGCTCACCTAGGAATTGCTTTTGTAATATACATCTCTGAAGGAAAAGAGGTGAAACTGGAAAATCCATGTCTTTCCAACCATGTTTCAGCAATAACACAAGTCTTTTTAGTTAGATTTGTCCAATTTCACTTTCCTACCTCTGAAGCTGTTAGAAATGGCCCAGGTTGGTTCATTCCAGTGAAGGACAAGTTGAAAGACAAATACCAAAAGTGAGTTCAACAGGAGGTGGGGAACTCAGTCTAGAAATTTCAAAGCGTGTCATTGATTGAGTGGAGATGGAGACAAATATCAAGCGGAAAAGTGTGAACCTAAATAGAGAACCAGGATTGGCAAAATCCAGGGGCAGTAGGTCAGAGGAGATAAATAATACTGGATCTAGCACTAATAGACTTAGCTAACAATAATCATAGCTAACATTTGTGGACCAGAGACTATATCCTGAGCCCTCTTTTAAGTGCTTTTACTTGTATTAATGCCATGAATCTTTTCAATGTTTTATCTGATAGATACTGTTATTATTTCCCAATGTCTTAATTTGTATTACTCCAAGAGGAGACCCTGGGACAAGAATTCAGGTGCAAATATTTTGTGTGAGAAATGATTCCAGGTTTTCTATTCCGTGTGTGAGTGAGGAAGTGAGACAGGGAAAGAAAGAAAATCAAATAAAGTTAATTAGTGGGTTTGTGCTATGGGCAATAAAGGTTCAGGTACCTCTGGAGACTTCATGGAACATGCTTCAGTGTTCCACCGAAGGATGAGGGAGCTGGGAATGATACCAACTCCTACACCTCAATGATTGGGGGTTGCTTCTGGGAAATTAATTCTTAGGCACTATCATATTACCTTATTCTAAAAACATCCTAAGGCAGAGAGACACAGGAAACAGTTCATGGTATGTAAGGAGCTGCAGCAATGGTATTAATAGCACGTGCTTCATTGAGTCTGCATATGAGGAACATGAGACACAAACTTAACATTCATGTAATTTGTATTTATTCTAGAAATATAGACCATTGACTGAAGGTAGGTTTCTACATTCTGCTTGTGTTTACAAGGGTAACTCCAGTACAGCTAAAGCAGATAAAACAAACAAGAGTAGAAAGACATCTGACACATTAAATCCATAGGCACCACTGATACATAGTTCATTTGTTCATTCATTCATTCATTCACTTCTTTGTTCTTCGATTCAAACATTTGTTAAGTGTCAGCTTGGAGTCTGGTAAGGTTTTATGCACAGGAGATGAGGTGGGGAAGAGATATGATAAAGAGCACTTATGACAAAATTTCTGCATCACAGAGATGACATGTTAATGGAAAGAGACAAAGAAATACAATTTCAAAGAATAATGAATATATTGAAGAAAATAAAATCATATTGAAATTAGTCAAAGTACCAGAGACTTGGCCATACTTGCTAAAGGAAAAGGAAACTTCTACTTCTTACCAGAGTTAGACCCCTAGATAGGATATGGAGGAGTTTGGAGTCAGTAAGTGGTAGCACACCAAAGAAGAGATACATAATGAATGGTAAACCTGTTGCCAGCAGGGCTTGGTGCATAGCTGCCCTCATTAGAATGATGATGGATTGTGATGCTTTGTAAAGAAGGAAGTGGTTTCACATATTATCCTATGTTATGCTTTGCATAAAAGGTTACAAGCATTTCATCACAAATTACATGTTGCTCATTTCAGTACATCAAGTATGTGCTCAAACATGCAGTAACTTTAGGTCAGGTATTAAGAAATTCTGAGCCGGGCGCAGTGGCTCATGCCTGTAATCCCAGCACTTTGGGAGGCCGAGGCGGGTGGATCACCTGAGGTTGGGAGTTTGAGACCAGCCTGACCAACATGGTAAAACCTTGTCTCTACTAAAAATACAAACTTAGCCAGGCGTGGTGGCGCATGCCTGTAATCTCAGCTACTTGGGAGGCTAAGGCAGGAGAACTGCTTGAACCCAGGAGGCAGAGGTTGTGGTGAGCCAAGATCGTGCCATTGCACTCCAGCCTGGCAACAAGAGTTGGAGACCATCCTGGCTAACACGGTGAAACTCCATCTCTATTAAAAATACAAAAAATTAGCCGGGCGTGGTGGCAGGTGCCTGTAGTCCCAGCTACTCGAGAGGCTGAGGCAGGAGAATGGCATGAACCCGGGAGGCGGAGCTTACAGTGAGCCGAGATCACGCCACTCCACTTCAGCCTGGGCGACAGAGCGAGACTCCGTCTCAAAAAAAAAAAAAAAAAAAAAAGGAAATTCTGCAGGACATGGTCCTTTCTATGGGATGTTGTTCAAGTTACATGCTGTAGGTCATATTTGGAAACTAGTCTGCTGTGAGTTATCTATAATCTATAAAGGAATGCATCTTTAATAAGCAATGTTTTATAGTGGGGCCTTAAGAACCAGGAATCAGGTGTGTTGAACAGCCAGGGGCAGGCTGTTCAGAGCATGAACGTAGAAAGTAGTCAAACACCAAGATCCTGAGTTTTGAAAGAGCTTGGCTTATCTGAGATTTAATAAGTCAGTGAATGAGGGTGAGGAAAGTCCGGGGAATTGGAAAAGGTAGTCAGGGGCTATACCAGGCAGGGCCTTAGAGGCCTTACTTTGGCTCAGCTAGGCCAGTTTATTTTTCATGTGATAGAATAAATTTAAATTTCCTCTTTTATTCCTTATCCTCAATGCAAACAAACAAAACCAACAAAGCTACATCTCTTGAAAATTAAAGGGAGAAATATCACATTCCTGGAACTATGCGCTAATATGTCTCTCTCCTCTGCACATGGACCCTGTGAACACAGCATTGCTAGTTCCTAATTAAATGCTTGGCCTGTAGTAGGTGTTCAATAAATATGTACACAAATGGTTTGTAACTGACATAAGGTATTTTATGTTTCTTGTTTTATAAGGCATCCTTAACACTGTGGGATCAGCACATAGGATTAAAATGATGTTTAAGACGAGATTTTAAGACAATATGCAGTCTTTGAGTGACCACTGAGCAACTAGAAATCATAAAGAGAAACTCCTGGGGCTCAAGATTGTTGGTAAATTTTGACAATTTACTGACCATTTAAAATTAACTTATTATTTTTCTTTGGCTATGAGTTGGTCCTTATCTCAATTATAATATTGGTTAAGATGTTTTTCATTTATTCATCCATCTAAGGTACATACTGGGCATCTGTTGCATTCTAGGCATTTATGCTAAATGCTGAGAAAACAATACGTGGTCACTGTTCTTACTGTTTAAGGAGTAAATTTAATATAAAAAAGGAAATGTGATAAAATATCTGTCACACAATTTTAGAATCTCTGGAATGCGAGGTGTTATCATGTACCATGGTACAGGCAGGATCTTATCCTCCCTGAGCTCAGAGTCTGGAAAGGAACCTATGCAAAGTAACATGCAAATCGCGGCATGCTGACATTTATCAGCAACCACTGTTGGATAATGTCAAATGATAGGCCTGATTGTACATGCAAACAACAGAAGTATTAATATATATACATAGCAGATTCTTGAAAGTGCACTTGTTTGCAGAGAGTCTGAATATTTCACTAAAGTAATGAGGTAAAACATTGAAGGTTTTAAAAAATCAACAGATTTTATTCAAAAATTATGAGAAAAAAATTGTGCAGATCTTGGACCTCACACATATATTCCTGAAAATGCTTTCCAAAGATATTAGGATACAAGTAAAGATTTTACCACACAGATTTTTTTAAGCTTTTTTCTCATTTTTATTAATTCACGTGCCAAGCATGCTTCCTCTTCTGTCTTTTATATTACTGAGTCTGGAAGGCTTGTCACTCAGAGTTCCGGATGGCCCATGCCATATAACCTCATTCAGATCCCTGTTTGAATGTCATCTTATCATAGAGATATCTATCACTTCCTGTCACTCTGTCTTCTTTCTCTGCTTTAGTACGATTATTATAGTTTCATTATAGGACTTAACCACTGACTGCCATATTTAATGGCGTGCATTGTTCTTCTCGTCTATCTCTATCACTCAGTCCCCAGAACAGAAGCTCCATGAGAAAAGGGAAAAGTATTCCCAGTTTGGGAAAAGGTAGATATTGCACAGTGAGAAAATATTTCATAAATATTTGTTGAATGAATAAGTTACAAAAACAAAACAAACTAGATGTCCATCAGTAGGTTATTGGCCAAATATTTTAGGTAAGCATATAATAAAATTCTATACGGCCTTTAAAATGGCATTTTTAGAAATAAGTATATATAGTTTTTTAACATGGCAACACGTTCATAGTAAAAAAAAAAAAAAAGTACAATTTAGAAAACAGGCTTTTTACTGTTCAATATTATTGTTTCTCTGTTGCTCTCTTTGTATGCATATATATTTCTGTGTGTGTGTATGAAAAAGAAATAAAGATGTTAATGGTAATTATTTTTCATATAAAAAATAAAATGATAAAGACATTTTTAGTCCCCAGATAAATTAAGCAGTTGTGTTGAGGTTTAAGAATTTTGTGGGTTTTGCTTGTTTGTTTCTCCAGAGTGACCCATATTGACTACATTTCAAAGTACTGTCACATCTAATATCTTTATATAGGCAGCCAGTTATTTAATACTTAATTCAAGAATTTCATAGAGATTGTATGTGCAAAAGTACTTGCGAAATAATATTACTGTAATATGCAATATTTTAGCATCCTAAACACACAGTTTTAAAATTTACCCCTAATATATGTTTTCAAATAAATAATATATATATTTTTTGAGACAGAGTCCTGCTCTGTTGCCCAGGCTGGAGTGCAGTGGCATAATCTTGGCTCACTGCAACCTCTGCCTCCTGGGTTCAAGTGATTCTTTTGCCTCAGCCTCCCAAGTAGCTGGGATTACAGGCGCACCACCATGCCCGGCTAATTTTTTTTGTATTTTTAGTAGAGATGGGGTTTCGCCATGCTGGTCTAGGCTGGTCTCGAACTCCTGACCTCAGGTGATCTGCCTGCCTAGGGCCTCCCAAAGTGCTGGGATTACAGGTGTGAGCCACCGCACATGGCCTCAAATAATAAAAATTTAATGTAAGTAGCAAACTTTGTCTTCTGATTTCAATGTGGCTTTTGAGTTTTGCTTGCTTACTTTTGTCTTCTCTCTACCAAATTTGGCATTAGTTTCTTTACTTATGAAAAACAACCTGTTTGTCTCCTCAGTTCCTGGATAAGTCTGAACTCTTCAAATATATTTACAAGAAAATTCTGGTCCTACTGCTTTGAAAATCTAGAAGGATAATTTTTATGAATATAATACCCCATCTAAATGGTATTCCTTAGGCAATCTTTCAGTATTTCTCCCAATACGGATCAGTTTGTGAATTCCCAAGAAAGACCAAAAATACATTTTAAACTTCTTGAAACTTTTTAAATCTTAAATTAAATGCTTAACTCTCTTTAAATGTGTGACACCATCCATCACAATTTTATATTTAGACACATAATAATGTATAATCTCAGCTTTCTGTCCACTTGTAAAAATGGGAATAGACTTGGAGAAATAAGCAATTTCCCAACAGAAAATTGGAAATTCTGCCAACCAATTCCAGGTGACCTGCCATCAATCAGTGTTAAATTCTCTGGGGCTATTGTTGAAGGGCATTGCTATTAGTGAACGGCTTTACCTGGTGACTAATGGTATATAACAAATACATTGAAGAACTATGAAAACCCGCCGAATCTGTAATTGTCTGGTAACTTTCAGCAGAGACCTTTCCTGGTAATCGAGAAATAAAGTGAGATTTTATAACCTCCTTGCAGTTCTCTTATTACAATCTCTTTTTAGAGAAATAGGTGAAATAATTATGCCATGCAATTAAATTAAATTAGCTGACAAAATATTTCTTTATGACTAAGCTGTTTAACGTAGGCATTTGGAAATATGTGGTATCATTTAGAACATGTGCAAATGTGACAGTTATTCTGATTCTAAAGTTAAATAAGAAGTCTAAGTTTGTAACAATCTCCCTGTTTGATATTATTAAGTAATTATGATTAATGTCTGAAATGTAATGTTCCATGGTTATAATTTCCTTGTTTGCTTGAGTGAGTACATTAGGAATTCATTAAAAATGCAAGCTCTTCAGATACCTGAAAACTACAAATATAATGACGACTTTGGTGGAGGTTAGAAAGCATTTTTCAATAAGAAACCATGACTGGGGTGAACCAACAGCTGGCAGATAAACTATGATGGATTTCTAGTACTGAAATGAAGGAGCAGACAAATGGGTTTGTTCATTGATGTCAAAAATCAAATCCATTCTGTTGTAAAGATCTAATCGCCAGGCAAAGCTGCCATTCCTCCAATTCTTACCTACAAAGATTGAAGCAGGTAAGACTTAAAGCTTGCAAAAGTGGCTCATGCTGGAGGGTAAGCCATGGATATATGAAGGCAGCTAAGAATCTGATGTTCTCAAAAAGCAGTTTGCCTTAAAGTAGTGAAAATAGTAAAATCAATCGATTGATCAATCAATCCAGGAGTCACGAAATAGCTGCCTCACCAAGTGGTTGTGCAGATTAGAGGAAATGAAGTACATAAAACACCCAATCTTGTGTTTGTTCTATCTGGAAACTGTCATTTAAAGTGATGCTCTAGAGTTAGTTGTGTGGTGGTCAATCAATTGGCCTTTGTCCACTTAAGATGAAGTGATACAGTGAAGAGCAGGGTCCCTCCACCCTTATATCTCTTGGGAATATTGTCTCCAACTAAAAGAAGGCTGAAATTGCAAAAGGATTATTGACTACAGAAAAGCAAAGCATGGACTAATGAGAAGAGAGCCTTGAAGGATTTCTTCTGAGCAAGCATGAGGCTGTACCATGGGAACCCATCAGAAATACAGTGTTGGGGGTGTATGGTGATGGTTGTGAATGAAAATCAAATACCTGATTCAAGTTGGAGAAGGAATCTGTAAGGACTTACTTAAGAAAATCTCAAGACATAATATTTTTGCCTACTATTATTACCAGCAGTGTACAAAATAGATCGTGCATGGGGTTTATATTTTGAAAGCTGTGCATAAGCCCTGAATACATTATGGGATTGGATAAAATAATCCAGATTTAGGAAAGTGACATTTAACCATGGTCCTTCTGTAACTTGAATATAATTCTGCTTTGTTAACTGCAAGATATAATCAGTAGAATCAAGGAGGTCCTAAAACAGGCAGCTAAAATAATCAATGGAATGATGCATTATTAGGTACACACTGTAAAAATTAGAATTTTATTATAGAGAAATAAGATTATCTTAGTCAGCTTGGGCTGCCATAATAAAATACCACAGACTGGGTGGCTGAAACAACAGGCATTTATTTCTCATGGTTCTGGAGGCTAGGACGTCTGAGATCAGGGTGCAAGCATGGTCGGTTCTACTGAGAGCTCCCTTCCTGGTTTGCAGGTGGCTTTTCTCTTGCTGTATCCTCACATGGTGGAGAGAGGAAGCTCTGGTGTCTCCTCCTCTTTTTATGAGGGCACTAATCCCATGATGGGGGCTCCACCCTTGTGACCCCATCTAAACCTAATCACCTCCTAAAAGCTGCTAATAACATCACATTGGGGATAAGAGCACCAACATATAAATTTTGGGGGGACACAAACATTTCATTTATAAGGGTTATGAAGGCATATCCTTAAAGCCTATGAATTATAAGGTGGGTATACAGAAGAGAATTTCCAGAAAAGTAGGACCAAGATAGCCCTTCCTACTACCATTTCATAGCTTGAGAGAGTTATAAGGCAATAAAAGGGAGTATTGGTACAAGAAGTGATGAAGATAGAACCTGTTATCACAGACAGCGTGCTGTAGTGGAGAGATGGTTGAACAAGAAATCAAATTCGCTTTACAGTCTTACCTCGTTGTTTTCCTTTAAACACATCTATTCAACTCTGTAAAACTCAGTTTTCTTATCTGAAAATTGGGAATCATGAAAGTTTTGCCCAACTCAGAGGAAGATTACAAGAACCAAATTGCATAATGTCTGTGAAAGTGGTACCAAATGATAGGCAAATGGAAGGGATTATTACTGGCTTTAAAAGTTCTCCATTGCTGCTGTAACAAATTACTATGAACTTATTAGCTCAAAACAATACGAATTTATTATCTTGCAGATCTGGAGGTTAGAAGTCCAAAATGAGTCTAATGGGACTAAAATTAAGGTGTTGGCAGGGCCGTGCTCCATCTGGAGGCCCTAGGGGAGAATCTATTCCTTGCCTCTCCCAGCTTCTAGAGGCTGCCCATATTCCTTGGCTCATGGCCCCAAATCACTCCAACTTCTGCTTTCTTTGTCACATTACCTTCTAGGACTGTGACACCCTTGTCTCCCTTCTGTAAGGACCCTGTGATTATATGGATCCCACCTAGATAACCCAGGCTAATCCTCTCACCTCAAGGTTCATAACTTAATCACATCTACAAAGTCTTTTTATATTCATAGGTACCAGATATTAGGATATAGACATCTTTGGGGGGATCATTATCTGACTACCTCAATTATCCCATGATGTAGTTTGGGTGGTTAATATAAGCAATGAAGAAAATCAGAAATAATCAGAAATGTCTAGGAGATGCCAGGCATAGTGGTTCATGCCTCTAATCACAGCACTCTGGGAGGCCAAGGTGGGAGGACTGCTTGAGGCCAGGAGTTCAAGACCAGCCTGGGCAACATAATAAGACCCTGTCTTTACTAAAAATAAAAAGAAAAAAATATTAGCCAGGCATGGTGGCTCACGCCCGTAGTCTCAGATACTTGGGAAGCTAAGGCAGGAGGATCACTTGAGCCCAGGAATTTGAGGCCACAGTGAGCTACAATGGAGTCACTGTACTACAGCCTGGGTGACAGAGTGAGACCCTGTCTCAAAAAACAAAAGACAAAAAAACCCCCAAAAATGCCCAGGAGAATGAAACATCAACTTATTTTGCATAAACATATTTTCTCTTCTAAAACTAACCTGTTTTCTGGGAAAATGGAATTAGATACATTAATGGGTGGCAGTCATATGAATTAAGGATATGGCTTAGGGCTTCTTTTTATTGTCATTAGAAACAAATTAGATTGTTCTTATGTTTGAAGAGTTTCCTAAAAATACTGCCTGAGTATTAACTGTTGTGTGTATGTTCTATAGGCTAGGGCACATTATATTTACTAACTAGATGGGAGTATAAATTAAAAAATAAAGCTAATTATCTTTTCAATACTACTTTCAGTTAATTTTCTCTTTAATATTAATAAGCCATATGCTCAGGTCTATGGCTAAGAGACCAGCCTTCTACAAGTCTTCAGCCTTACATAAAGTCTCTGTGGCATTTTTGGCAGGGAAGAGAAATTTGGGCTTGTCTTGGCTCCTTTAATTTTAAAGCTCTAGAGGGCAACTGTGCAATTTGAGGTGCTTCTGATATTGTCTTTCAGATTTGCCAAGGGACAAGACAGGTGACAAGATATACAATTTTTTCTGGAAATTGAGCAGCAGGAGTATTGCAGGATCTCTTCCAGTGAGAATAGAGACTCCGAAAGAATAGAACAGTAGTCGCCTCTTTGGTGTGGAGGCATAAGCATGCTGAGTCCATATGCCGTGAAGGCATAGACATCTTTGCTTATATTGTTATTCCGCTAGAGACTTTATCAGGTGGCACAGTGTTTTGGGTTATGCCTGAGAAGAGAGGATGAGTGGTCCACACTGAGCCTTCAGAGTGTCCCTTAAACATTAAACTCACTGGAAGCTTAGCAAGAAACAAAGAAATAAGCACAGAGAATTGGCTTCCCAGTATTTCAGTTCTGCTTCGTATTTGGACTAAATTTTAAGTTGGTGTAAAAGTCATCGCGGTTTTTAACCAACCTAGTAGAAAGGAGGCAGCCTTTAAATTTGGGAACCTCCAAAATGAAAAAGGTAAGATTAAACATGCAGGAGCTGGGATGATTGCCCTTGCTGGATTCTTCACAAGTTTTCTGATTGCTTGGTCTTCACATGGGCAGTACATGAAACTCTCCAGTATCTGGACCCTATTTTGAGTCCAGAAGACCATGCCTCCATGGGAATTCTGATCTCTTAGTTGAAACCTGCTCCTCCCATGCTCCCTCTGAGTCCTACACTCAGGACTAGCCTTCTGAATACAACTCCATGACACAATGCTTCTTTGATTACTGCTCATCCACAAACTAGGTCTCTAGCCAGGTCTGCCTAAAATACACTTTCTCCTTTTATTATCTGACACCTTTTTTTATTATACTTTAAGTTTTAGGGTACATGTGCACAACGTGCAGGTTTGTTACATATGTATACATGTGCCATGTTGGTGTGCTGCACCCATTAACTCTTCATTTAACATTAGGTATATCTCCTAATGCTATCCCTCCCCTCTCCCGCTACCCCAGCCCCGGTGTGTAATGTTCCCGTTCCTGTGTCCATGTGTTCTCATTGTTCAATTCCCACCTATGAGTGAGAACATGCGGTGTTTGTTTTTTTTTGTCCTTGAGATAGTTTGCTGAGAATGATGGTTTCCAGCTTCATCCATGTCCCTACAAAGGACATGAACTCATCATTTTTTATGGCTACATAGTATTCCATGGTGTATATGTGCCACATTTTCTTAATCCAGTCTATCATTCTTGGACATCTGGGTTGGTTCCAAGTCTTTGCTATTGTGTATAGTGCCACAATAAACATACATGTGCATGTGTCTTTATAGCAGCATGTTTTATAATCCTTTGGGTATATACCCAGTAATGGGATTGCTGGGTCAAATGGTATTTCTAGTTCTAGATCCCTGAGGAATTGCCACACTGACTTCCACAATGGTTGAACTAGTTTACAGCCCCACCAACAGTCTAAAAGTGTTCCTATTTCTCCACATCCTCTCCAGCACCTGTTGTTTCCTGACTTTTTAACAATCGCCATTCTAACTGGTGTGAGATGATATCTCATTGTGGCTTTGATTTGCATTTCTCTGATGGCCAGTGATGATGAGCATTTTTTCATGTGTCTTTTGGCTGCATAAATGTCTTCTTTTGAGAAATGTCTATTCATATCCTTTGCCCACTTTTTGATGGGGTTGTTTGTTTTTTTCTTGTAAATTTGTTTGAGTTCATTGTAGATTCTGGATATTAGCCCTTTGTCAGATGAGTAGATTGCAAAAATTTTCTCCCATTCTGTAGGTTGCCTGTTCACTCTGATGGTAGTTTCTTTTGCTGTGCAGAAGCTCTTTAGTTTAATTAGATCTCATTTGTCAATTTTGGCCTTTGTTGCCATTGCTTTTGGTGTTTCTGACACATTTTGAATTACTCTTTCAATTTGGTCCCTGTGTGACTTCCTCCAGGAAGCTTTCACAAGGCCTAGTGTGGTATACAACACTGTGACCTCCATCCTCACTTCTAAGATGCTTCTCTTGGCATTCTGTACTTGTTTTTATCGTACTCGATTTAATGGAAGTGTTTATTTACCGTCTCTTAAACCTGCTCAGCTGTTAGTATTTTATCCTTCTCCATATTATACCTAATATAGGTTCTAGCACATAATACACATACTTAATGAATGTGTAAATAAATGAATTAGTGTATGGATGCATGACAGCTGTTCCAGCCTGAGTTTGTGCTGCTGAAACATAACTGCACAACTTTTTAGAACCATGCTTGTTACCATGAGATTTTCTGACAAAAGAGAAACTCATTACTGCTTAAATTTAACTCATGATTTTACTTAATTGGGAGAAGCCATAGGTAAACATGTTGGCCATTACAAACTTATCTTAAAAATAAATACTATTTCTATCTCTTCTGGTTTTGAGAGCAATAGTCAAGTGAGATGTTTATTTTGAAAAGAAAAGTGATAACACATATTAATAATATCAGTAACTGTCTTGCATTAGACTCTTGGGCATCAAGTACTGTGAGAAGTACACTGGTGCAGAATTTCATTCTTAGAGCCATCTGTTTCTATTTACACAAGAAGAGCTAGGATTAGAGAAGTGAAGGAACTTGGGTTTTTTCTTTTTATGTTGTAAAGCCAGCACATGCCTTAGTTGAGGATCTAAACTTGGCTACTTCTACTTTAGAAGCTATGCTTTAAACTGTTATGTTAAGTTATGCAGGATTGAATAATCTGAAAAACCTAAAACGCTTTGGTCATACTTTTTTTTATGATATTTACTTAAGTTACAATCTCTGTAGCAACAACAGGGAGAAAGAAGACCACAGTACCACACAGCCAACAGGGACAGGATCTTCTACAACAACAAGTGAAGCAAGATATATATCATGAAATTGTGAAAAAAAAAAAAAAGCAAAGCCATGTGAATTTAAGGAAATGATTAGTTCCGGAGGTAGGGGGCTGGGAGAAGGGACTGTATTACACTTCCCATAGTCTAGCTTTTGCCTAATTTCAGTGCCATCTCATGCCACTCGCTAGACCCATCACATTGCAACTGTGTTCATCTCTTTCTTGATCCTTGAATTAATCAGATATTTCTGTCTCTGGGCTTTTGCGCCTACTGCTCCGACCTTCTGGAACTCTCTTTTCGTGGCTTTTTAAATGTCTGGATTATTGTCATCTTTTGTGCTTGGAGCATAATAGATAATAAATATTTTTTGAATAAAGGAAAAAAATCAGGGGCAGATGAGTTCCTGGCTTATTTAGCATCATTTTTATACTAATTTGCTTCCAGGGCTCTCTCTCCTACTGCACTTGGAGATATCGTTGCTGTTAAGCATGTGCCTTTTAAAAAAATTATACCCACAGAAGAGCGAGAGGGGAAGTGAACCAATATTAATTATTTGAGCATCTTTGATATACCACATTTTTACATGTAATTGCCCCTTAAATCCTCAAAACATCCCTTTGTAGCAGTTTACAAATGTGAAATTTGAGTTTCAGAGAAGTAAATGGTGCAGTAACAACTGTTAAAATGTAGAGCCAGCATTATAACCTAGGTCTATCTGATTCCAGAGGCCGTCTTCTTTCCACTATACCAGTGATCTGTATTAATGAAAGACTCAGAAAATTTACCTGTGAAAGAAAACAGGTAAAGCAATAGACACTAACATTAGGAACTGTTAAGAAAGATGTTTGCGAAGGGTGGATTTTACTGAATTTCTCTATTTAATTCATCCTCTTCCCTCTCCTGGGATAACTGGATTAGCCATATGGCCATTGTGGACAAAATTTATCTTTGTGGAGTGTTAAGGGAGCAAGAGATTATCTCAGCCAAAGCAAAAACTCAATTTTTCTCTGCTGATAAACTTAGAGAAACAGCAATTAGGACACAGAAGTAGAAGCACTGGTCAACCAGATACATTACATCAGGCCTCAGCCACCAAGGATTGATGGATGAAAGAGAAAACAGAAAACTGAGGGTAAAGAACACAGAATGCAAAGCTGTTCTATCAGCAAATGCCGTCTTGGGGTAGTACGTACAGAGAAACACCTCTTTACTATATTAAGCATGTTATCCTTGAATCCTGTAACTAGTGGACATGTGGGACAAGCCAAAAGCATGGGTTTTGGAGTCAGGCAAACATGCAGTGGATTCCCAGGTAATTAATTAATTAGATTCCCAATTATTTCTATTAATTAGTAGAAATTGACACTTAGGTCTTCAAGCTAAGCTCTCTTGGTTTCAATTTCTTCAGCAAGAAATGAAGAGTAACTCTAAAGTGATGTGAATAAACTTCAGTAATGCTGCAAAACACTGCACAGAAAAGGTGCTTCATGAAATGAGCTATTGTTATAGTTAATGCTGTTAATAATCACAATAATAATCTGTTATAAGGATAAATATATTAGAAATATAATGGTACATTATTTTATATATAACATAATCATTAAATAGAATTAATTGTAATTTGTTTTTGATGAAATGGTAAAGTACATAAAGAAAAATGCCGTACTTGCATTTATACCACCTATGTACTTTATCTTAAAATGAGATATTATTTCTTTAATATATATTTATGTGCAGTTACGGATTGTGCTGTCTTCCTTCATTTGTTTGAATAATTACTTCATGACTGAAACTTATAGAAACCTGATTAAAAATCACCAATAATGCTGTTTCTTTCCTGCTCTTCATGTTATTTAATAAGGTGTAAAAAACAATTATATCTCTTAATAAAAAGCTATCTAAGCAACTGAGTAGTCAGTATCATTACCTTTTTTTTTCCTTGCCTGGATTTTCAAGATAATCAATGATCATTTTGTAACACTGAATAATTGAGCTCTCTTTGGGAACCTGAAAATAGAAAAATAGAAAAAAAAAAAAAGGAAAACTGACTTTTAAGAAGTCATGAATTAGGTTCTGCATACTAATCTCTATCTCTGCCTGAGGGTTCTGCCACCCTCCCGGATTCTGGTTCCTACCGTCAGGGCTCTCAGGGGAGCAGAAGTTTGGAATCAAACAAGCATCTATGCTAATAATACTTAAAAAGCATTTAAGGAAACCATTAATCAGAATCAGGATGTTTCTAAAGTGGTGTTTGTCAGCTGAGACATTTAGACTTGTTCTAGAGACAAAGAAGAATGAGGTTAAATTAATCAAGTAATAACCAAACTTTTGCTTTGGTAAGGAAATTAAACACTCAATCTGCAAATCAGATGAAGGGTCCTTGTAGAGCTGGATCTATATGGCACTGGAAAAGTATTTCAGAGAGGAATAACAACATGTGGCTTCATAGAATATTGAATCCTATTGAAGACTTTCCTCTTTTTTGGTAAGAGCAAGGCGGTGAGTTTTTCTCAAAACAAATTTTGCTCAATTTAAAAGGCATGCTATTCTGAGATTATATCATATTGTATCTCTATCTATACAATCTATTATCCGTGAATCATCTGTCTATCCCAAAATGTGGAGGGAAGTCTAGATCATTCTCATCTGACTTTGCAACTTAACTGGTCTTTGAAATTCCCATTCTGGGTACCAGTGATGTAGAGCAAAGACTTCAAGGATGACCTTGTAGCTCTGACTGTTAATTGGTTAGATAAGCTTCTTAGTCTCTTTTGAGAAATACAAATACAATTCTAAATGCCCCCCTCCCCAACTGACTGAATGGATCATCTCTTGGCCAAGGGGACTGTGAGAGAAACCCTGGAAGCTGAGTTCTCAGCCATAATGGGGTGAGAGGTCGGACTTGCCTGGTTATACCCTCTCCCTCATTACACCACCATTAGGCTTTCTTTTTAAAGCCTAAACAGAAACCATCCCTTTCAAAGCACTCCACTGCTGATTTCAGCCAACCGCCTGATTGCTGCCCTTCCCTTTTGTGGCTTTGGCATAACCACTGACCAGCTTTTCTTCCTGATAAGACTGAGTGGTTCTTGCCAGTTTGCAAAGGATGCATATTGAGAGTTTTGGTGTCCTCTGCTTCACCTTTTGACATGAGAGGGCTGAAAACTCCACCCTTGGATTATACTAATATGGCCATTCTTTGAACATGGGTCCCATGGAGAGGCATGAAGCTCAACTGTGCATGTGTGTGTTTCTCCTTTCATAAATATTCATGCTCTTCCAATAGCTGTTAGATATGTATATTTGGCCACCTCGTTCAGCATAAATTCCTGTCTTATTCTTCCTACCTTAAAAGTGTCTGTTTTCATCTTCTGTCCAGAGGCTACACTCCCCAACCTGTTGGAAGGGCCACCCTGCAGGCTGCAACACTTTATGAGAAATAAAGCTCTGCTTTCCAAATTCATGAACCTCATCATTCTTCAGTCAACACTTTCTCTAACTAAAACTCAGTTTCTCATCAGAGATTTATTTCAGTGATGAAGATGATCTGGTCCAGTGCTAAACACAGTGTGGTCTGAGGACCTGAAGCATCAACATCACTTGGGAGTTTGTTAAAGATGCAAAATCTCAAGGTCTATCCCAGACCTGAGTTAAAAATGTGTATTTTAACAAGCTCTCTGGGTGATTTTGATGCGTTCTAAAGATGTGAATTACTAATCTCGCCCACAGATATGATGTTCTTGATTTGTAGCCACAGGATTATTTAATTGCAAATTTTATTCTTGTTAGAGAGATTGGCTGTCCTGCTGAGATATCTATACCCTTTCACTTCCTAACCACAGTAGGTGGATAAATGACACTTTGTGGGTCAGGTTCCTGTAGACATTGGTGCCTTCTGGTTTGGAGGCTCTAAGAGATGAAACATTTCCACTTGGTTGAGAAGGCCTTCACTGTTTTACCCCAAAGACTCAGTAGTTCTTCTTGATGAGAAGAAAAAACTTTACGTGGGCCAGGTGCAGTGGCTCCTGCCTGTAATCCTAGTACTTTGGGAGACCAAGATGGGAAGATTGCTTGAGCTCAGGAGTTCAAGACCAGGCTGGGCAACATAGGGAGACCTGGTCTCTACAAAAAAAATTGAAAATTAGCTGGGTATGGTGGCATGCAGCCATGGTTCCAAATACTCAGGAGGCTCAGGTGGGAGGATTGTTTGAGCTTGGGAGGTGGAGGCTGCAGTGAGCTTTAATTGTACTACTTCACTCCAGCTTGGGTGACAGAGTAAGGCCCTGTCTCAAAAATAAAATAAAATAAATAATAAAAATAAAAAACAAAAGACTTTGTGAAAGAAAGGAAATAATACGGGTAAACTAGGTAAGAATGCAGGTTGTGGAATTATTTTCTGTATTTCTATTACACAAGGTCAATAGCAGCTTCCCTTATTAACCTCCTTGAGCCTTTGTAAATGGTGATAATTATAGGTTTTGTTAATATTAAATGAGATAATTCATGTATAAAACTTATCCTTAGTCTTGGTACACAGTAAGCACTAAATACATGTTATTTGTTCTTAGAGATTAATAGAAACTTTCCTGTAATGGGAATGGGGGCCAGAAGAGGAAAAATGTTGTGTGATTTTCACTCTTACGAATAAAATTGAAAAAAATACATAGGGACATACATTTACCCTATGACCCAGCAATTCCACCTTCTGGTTATTTACCAAAGAGAAACACAACATATGTCCCCAAAGGGCAAGGCTGTTCATAAGAGCTTTATTTTTAAAATTCTAAAACTGAAACAACCAAAATGTTCATCAACAGGTGAATGGACCTACAAATTGTGATATTTTCATACAATAGAATACTAGTCGACCACAAAAATAAATGAACTCCTGATATACACAACAACAGGGATAACTCTCAAAACATGTTGAGCAGAATAAGCTAGACATGAAAGTGTGCATAGTGTATATTCCATGTATATAAAGTTCCAGAACAGGTAAAGCTAAGCTAATGTGATAAAAATCAGAGCAGTGGCTGCCTTGTGGGGAGGGTGGACTATAGAGGGGGCACTGGGAACTTTCTGGAGTGAAGGGAAATATTCCATATATTGATTGGGGTGGTAGTTACAAGGGTATATATGTTGTCTAGATGCATCAAGATGTGTACTTAGAATATGAGCATTGAATTCAATGTAAATATAAGCTCAATAGAAAACAACCCCCAAGAAAATGCACCAGGCCTCCTAGTTCCCATCTCAGAAGTTAATGTGAGATCACAGTCTACAAGAATTTTTTAAGATTTCACAATTTGTAGGAATTCACCATTGTGTCCTCCCAAGTGTAATTCTCCATGATGAATATCAATCCAACCCACAAATGAGAAATAGATCAACAATTCATCACTGGGAGCAAAAAGAATCTGGAGAAACTGGGCCATCTCCAAACCATCTTTAGAAGGAAATTGAGTCTTAGGCATCATTTACTATCTCCAATTTCCAAGGGGAAATTTTGTTATGTTTTATTTTCAAATTCCCTTAGAAATATTTGATTAAAATTAAGAGTGGGTTGCTTTGGATCTATTCCTGTTACAATCCAGTAACTATTGCAATTACACCTATCTTACTGAACACCTTCATCCAGCAAACAGTCAGCAAGCACTAACTGAACGCCTACCACTTGCTCAGTAGAGTCTTTAAAGGGGTAAAAAAAATTGGTGTTAATATGACATTTTATAGCTGGGCAATCCAGGTGGTTAAATAACCTCTCATAACTGAAAATTGCAACACAGAGAGGGCAATTGACTTAATCAAGGTCACTTTTCATGCCTGGGCTTAAATATCCTGAATGCCAATCAAAGAATCTTCTCATGGAATTACACTGGTGTAGTCCTTGCTTTTAGATGATTTATAATCTATTTGCAAGCCAGAGATTAATTAGAACATAAACAAGGAGAAAGGAGAATAGGGAGAAGAGATTGAATGTTTGAGCATCTATTATGTGCCAGACAATTTTCTGTGTTTTAATTCTCTTCACTATCTAAGAAACGAATGCTGCTATTCCCATAATATAGTTGATAAATTTGAGTCTCACAGAGTTTCTATGACTTACCCAAGTTTCCATCAATGGAAAGTGGCAGAACCCAGGAATATCAGGCTCAAATTCTTTACATGATATAACTCCGAATCATTATAAAGCAATCATTTAAGGAAGTGATGTCAGCAAGAAAACACTTAACAGCCCAAACAAATCAGTTACATTTCCTTGTTTTCCGCAAGGAAAACAGGATTTCAAAGCCACTTTGGGATTTCCAGTGTAGAATAGGAATTTGCATGTTCCCAGGGAAGAGAAAGGCAAACTGGGAAGATAGGACGTGAGAGGGGAGCATTCACTATTAGTGACATAGAACTTCTAATCAAGCATTTAATACTTCTGTTTGCCACTCGGTAAAAGGCTTTTCATTTCAATTCACCTTTTAGGTGTTCTATGTCAGGCAATTACTCTACCAGAAAGTTTTCAGGCTAAGAAATTAAATGGGTGGTTCTTAAAGCAACATTCTCTTGAAAGCATAGTTGCAGTGAAGTAGTAACAAACCCGACTAACAAATCAGGTTTTTTTCTTCCCTTGGTACCCAGGGCTTCTTCATTATGGTGAGTGTGCGTTCCTAGTATTTAGGAAAGAAAACCAGAACCTCATACCTATGATCAAGAAAGAACAATCGCCTTGTGATCGAGAAATGAGAAGGTGCTACCTAACTATATCATATTAGATTTGTAGAAGATTAAACCCCCTTTTTGCTGGGTTATTTGCTTAGTTTATGGCATTTGTATAGCTGGTAGATAGGTTACTTGAAGCTCCAGTGGGACCAAAGGACGGAGATTGGGCCCTGGAAGTGCTTAGCAGGAACCTTTGGGGCAGTAGATGGAGTACTCAGCATTAATTGTCTTGGATTGTCTTTGTGGTTGGTCAGATCCACCAGCCTGACCAACCACAAGACAGCACAGCCTCTGGTCATGCAGAGAATCTTCGCATGGTGCTGTTTATGAAGCCTCCGTAACAGTCATTTTATAACATTGTGGTAGGCAGAATTCTAAACACAGCTCTAAGATTCCTGCTCTCTGGTTATGCAATCAAACAAGAATCTGGGTACTGCTGTGAAGGGATTTTGCAGATGGAATTAAGACTTTGTAATCTTAGGTAATCTTAAAATCAGTTGACTTTAAAATAGACTACCCAGGAGTGTCAGGGTGGGCCCGAGGTAATCACATGAGCCCTTGAAAGTCAGTAGGGGCTAGGCGTGGAGGCCCATGCCTGTGATCCCAGTGCTGTGGGAGGCCAAGGTGGGAAGATCATTTGAGCCCAGGAGTTCAAGATCAGCCTGAGCAGCATAGTGGGGCCTTAGCTCTACAAAATAGATTAGCTGGTGTGGTCGCACAAACCTGCAGTCCCAGCTACTTGGGAGGCTGAGGCGGGAGGATTGCTTCAGCCTGGGAGGGTGAGGCTGCAGTGAACCATGATTGCACCACTGCACTCCTTTCTGGGTAACAGAGTGGGACCCTGTCTCAAAAAAAAAAAAAACAAACCAATAAAATTAAAAAATACGAAAATAAAGTGACTTTACGTAGAATTAAAAAAAAAAATGGAAAAAAAGAAGGTAGAAGAGGAGGCAGAGGAGATGGGCACGGATCTGTCTCCCCGTTGCTGGTTCTGAGGTGTAGGGGGTGCTATGTGCGACTGGAGAAAGGCCTCTAGAAGCTCAGGTTGGTCCCCAGTTGACAACCACCAAGAAAACAGGACCTCAATCCTACAACCGTATGGAACTGAATTCTGCCAACAATTGAATAAACCTGGGGAAACAGATTCTGCCCCTAGAGCACTCAGAAGGAAATACAGCCCTGTTGACCCCTTGCTTTCTGCTACTGGAAACTCTAAGCAGAGAAACCAGCTGAGCCCTCCAGATTACTCATCTACAGAATTGTGATATAATAAATAGATATTGTTTTAAGGCACAAATCTGTGGTAGTTTGTTATGACAGCCATAGAAAATTAACACAAACCTCTTCTGATGGGGGCCTGAGGAATCTCTGTTATTTTCAGCCTCACTTCTTTGTGCTTTTGGATAAGGCACCCTTTTTGGACAACTGGCCACTGTACAGAGATGGCAGTTAAGAGCATCCATCTTTTGTTCTGGCTTGGCGGGAATAATACAATGTGCATTGAATGAAAACTTCATTTGGATGGGCTCACCGTGCTTACTGTTCTCCCCTCCAAATTTTTTTCACTCTGCAGACTCTGAAAGGTTCGTTTTCAAAGTAAGGATGGTGAGTGCTTCAGGAAGTCTCTAGAAGATTGTTATTCAACTGATCCTATATAATAGATTAAAAATAACATTGTGCTGTTTTCCCAGGGTGCTGTGACAAATTACCCCATGCTGAGTGGCTTGAAACAACAGAAGTTTATTATTATGTAGTATGTATTAAATACATATATAAATACAAATTTATATATATTTTATATATAGTGTGTGTGTGTGTGTGTGTGTGTGTGTGTTTTATTAGAGCAGAGAACAACAATCTTGGAAGGGTTCTTGTGATTGCTGGGAGGTAGATGCCTTCCAAAAGCCAACATTCTATAACTCTAAACTAGTTATTATATCCTTCTGTGAGGAAATGAAAACGTGATTTTTGTTCTATTGCCTTAAAATATTGTGAAATACTTTAGTTAAGATTTAAATTTCATCTACAGCCCGGTGCAGTGCTCACGCCAATAATCCCAGCACTTTGGGATGCCAAGGCTAGAGGATAGCTTGAGGCCAGGAGTTTGAGACCCGCCTGGTCAATATAGGGAGGCCCTGTCTCTACAAAAAATAAAAATAACTGGGCATGGTTATTTATGTCTACAGCACATGTCTGTAGTTCCAGCTGCTCAGAAGCTGAGGTGGGAGAATCACTTGAGCCCAGGAGTTCAAGGCTGCAGTGAGCTAGGATCATGCCACTATACTCCAGCCTGGGTAACAATGAGACCACCATCTCTAAAAAATCAAATCAAATAATAAAATTTATTTTATTTTAAAATAAATAAATAAATCTCATCCACTCTGGCTTGGCACCACATAGACAAAAACAATAGATTAACCTTTTGAAATGTTTAACTGAGGAAAGCACTGCGAGCTTAGATTTTTAAAATGCTGTCTTAGATGTTTTATTTTTCTTTCCAAAGCTAAAGTAGCAGGTGAACATTATGTCTGTACTGGGTTGAATAGTGTCCCACCCTACATTCATGTTCACCTAGAAACACAAAATGTGACCTTCTATGGGAATAGGGTCTTTGCAGAGGCTATTTGTCAAGTTAAGGGGATGTCATACTGGATTAGCGTAGTCCCTAATCCAATGACTGGTGTCTTTATAGCAAGAGGGAAATTTGGGCACAGCCACACAGAGGAGAAAGTCATTTGAAGACACATAGAACACCATTTGATGAGGGAGGGGGTGGAGACTGAAATGATGTGTTTACTGCCAAGGAAGGCCAAGCATTGCTGGCCCCCTCAAAAGCTGGAAGAAGCAAGGAAGGAAGTGGCTCTGGAGCCCTAGAGGGAGCACGACCCTGCCAACATCTTGATTTCAGACTTCTGGCATCCAGAACTGCGAGATAATAAACTTCTGTTGTTTCAAGCCACTCAGCATGGGGTAATTTGTCACAGCAACCTAGGAAACTAGCACAATGTTATTTTTAATCTATTTTGTAGGATCAGTTGAATAATAATCTTCTGGAGACTTCCTGAAGCATTCACCATCCTTACTTTGAAAACGAACCTTTCAGAGTCTGCAGAGTGAAAAAAATTTGGAGGGGAGAACAGTAAGCACGGTGAGCCCATCCAAATGAAGTTTTCATTCAATGCACATTGTATTATTCCCGCCAAGCCAGAACAAAAGATGGATGCTCTTAACTGCCATCTCTGTACAGTGGCCAGTTGTCCAAAAAGGGTGCCTTATCCAAAAGCACAAAGAAGTGAGGCTGAAAATAACAGAGAGATTCCTCAGGCCCTCATCAGAAGAGGTTTGTGTTAATTTTCCATGGCTGTCATAACAAACTACCACAGATTTGTGCCTTAAAACAATATCTATTTGTTATATCATAATTCTGTAGATGAGTAATCTGGAGGGCTCAGCTGGTTTCTCTGCTTAGAGTTTCCAGTAGCAGAAAGCAAGGGGTCAGCAGGGCTGTATTTTCTTCTGAGTGCTCTAGGGGCAGAGTCTGTTTCCCCAGGTTTATTCAATTGTTGGCAGAATATATATATACATATATATATAATATATACTATATACAGTATAAATATATATACATAAATATATATTATGTATAATATATATTTATATATATTTATATATTATATTTATATATTATATATTATATATAATATATATTTATGTAAAATATAAATATATTTATCTATATCTATATAGTATAAATAATATTTATATACTATAGTATATATTTATCCTATATATAGCATTATATATACTATAGTATATATAGTGTATATTTATACTATATATAGTATTATATATACTATACTATATATAGTATATATATTATGTACAGTATATATAATATATTTATAGTATATATACTATATACATAGTGTATATGTATACACTATACTGTCTCTATATATGTAGTATAAATATATTTATACTATCTGTCAGAATCTGTTTCCCCAGGTTTATTCAATTGTTGGCAGAGTATATATATATATGGTGTGTGTGTGTGTATATATATATATATATATATATATGGTATATATATATATGGTATATATATGGTATATATATATGGTGTATATATATATATTTATATATAGTAAATATATGTGAATATATTTACACTATATATAGTATAAATAAATATGGTATAAATATTTATGAATATAAATATATATATGAATATATATTTATATAGTGTATATGTATAAATTATATATATATAGGTTTGATTGGGTCTGTATGGGACAATGTGAATGGAGAGAATTCCTAATGCCAAAGGATTAATTAATGACAGAAATTTTTTTATGCCAAAAGGATATATTTAACATTTGATTAATAGTCTAAAATTTAATTCACAATTTTTATTGTGGAAAATCAAGCACACCTCTACAAATTACATATGCCCACATGCTTAATTTGTGTGAACTTTGCTATTTTCCACTCTCACATTAAGACTCAAGTTTCAAATATTTGGATGACTGGAAACAACATTTTCACCAGCCCTGGCTATTCAATATTTTGTATTTGCCTGGGTGTTTCATGACAGATGAATAGACTAACATATTTTCATCAATTTTTGTTTTTCACTTAAAATGCTGTGCATTAGTATACTTTGTTAAATGCTTCAAATTACTCTTTAGTAACAATGCCAGGTGGTATTAAAAACCTAAATGGGCACCCTCTTCATCCCCGTTTTGCCCTCTTTAAAGGTCTGCTGCAGCCTGGAGAAGTACATCGCGCCCTGAAGGAGCAGCTGATGTCTGTTCAGTGTGCATGATCTTGGATCCTGAGTTGTCTTGTTTCACCCACTTCTCCCTTTTCTTCTCCATCCTCCTTGTTTGTCTTGCTCCCTTTTGGTTCTGACTTTGCCTAATCCCTTCAGGGGGATGCACTAATCAGATCTCTCTGGGCTTCAGAAGCTCTGCTTCATTTTCTTATTAGGGATCTTGTGTTTATTTTATTTTTTTTATTTTATTTTTTAGACAGAGTCTCCCTCTATTGCCCAGGCTAGAATGCAGTGGCACAATTTCAGTTCACTGCAACCTCCGCCTCCCGGGTCAAGCAATTCTCCTGCATCAGCCTCCTGTGTGGCTGGGATTACAGGCGTGCACCACCACACCCAGCTAATTTTTGTATTTTTAGTAGAGATGGGGTTTCGCCATGTTGGCCAGGCTGGTCTCAAACTCCTGATCTCAGCCTTGGCCTCCCAAAGGATCTTGTTTTTTGAGCCTTCTGTAACAGCTGTGCAGACAGACGTCAGGAAACTCCTCCTCATCTCTGAACCTGTGCATCTCTTATTGGGTCTCTCTTCCTCTAGTCTTGCTCTACTCTGATCTCTTCCCCAAATTGCATCCAAAAGAATCTAAGACGTTAGTCTGATTCTCCAACTCCTGTGGCATTCAACATCTAATTCACTGATATGTCTTATGAGGTTCTTCATGATTGTTCCCTGCTTACCCCTGTGGTTTCATCCTTTGTGTCCCTACTCTGTGACCCCATCCCGTACTGCAGGCATAATGGAATAGTGGATTACTTACTTGCAGGTCTCCAGTTGTTCTGTGTTCCTTCTTACTTCTAAGTGTTAGTACATTTTGTTTTCCTTTTCTATCTGGCACATTCCTTTCTTTATTTATTTGTAAATATTTGCTATTTGTCCACATTGACTTAAATGTCACAGTCTCCAGGTAATATGCTCTGACGTCTGAGGATTTCATTAGGGAAACTTTTCTGTACTACATCACTCTAAACTTTCCCTAGTTAGTGGATATAACAGAGATCATAAAGATCTGTTAATTTATCATATCTTCCCAAGGTTAATGGTAAGCTTGGATATGCCTATTCGCAGCAAGGCATGGAGAAACCAAGAAATATTTATCAAATGAATGTTGAAATGTGTAAGTAATTAACATTGGATAAGCATTGAAATTTTTTACGACAGTGGTGTTCTCTTATAGACACCCACAGTATGTGAATGGTTGAAGCTTGTGGGCAAATCCAAGGCATGTCTTTTATAACATAAAATAGATGTTTTGAGAAGTGAAATGCTATTGGTAGTGAGCAAGGATTAGGTCGCTGGTACAAGTTTGACCGCAGGAAAGATAAAGTCTGTTCTAATAGGTTCAGTTCAGAGGTCAGAATGTGTGTGTTAATGGACCATCCAACCGTGATCACCATAAACACGCAGCCCCTCATTTGCAGGTCTCTCTCCACTTAGGCTGATTAATAGTTATGGTTTCCATGAGCCAGGTACAAATTGACAAATTGTGTTCCTACTGATGAGCAGAGTCATTTGAGATGCATTTGAATTAGAATGCTTGCTGGGCTTGTTTAATCCCTGCACAATTAACAAATACTCATTTTGCAATCTACGCTGCCAGTGCTCTGTTTGGACCTGACAGAGGGACAGGCAGAGGAGACTTTATCGTGTTTCTCCTCATGACGGAACAGACTGGAACAGTGCAACTCAATCTTTGCGTGGGGTCTCCTGGGGACCTTGTTCAAATGCAGATTCTGATTCAGTGCTTCTGGATTGGGGCCCAAGGGCCTGCATTTCTAATAAGTTGCCAGGTAATTTCAAGAACCCCTTGGAAACTTGCTAAACAGTAAGTTCCTAGAAAATAAGAAATGAGGCTTTTTAGTTTTTGTGTGTTTTTCTTCTAACATTAGCCTTTCAAAATAGATGTGAGAAGGTAGGCTGGGGGACCCAGATGGGGACTTCAGAGAATGGATCTTTGGCTTGTTGTCTGGGGCAGATTGACAGAGTTGAGGGAATTCATAAGCCATTTTCTATTGTTAGTCAAAACAGAACCATTCACAGATTTGTTCCCTTGCCTCTGTTTCTACCTTGGCTTCTGAAATTGCAGAATTATTAAGACAATATTAAAGGTTGTTGCAACGCTGAATTTTAGATGTCAGCTGGACTGGATAGAGGGATGCCTAGATGGCTGATGAACTGTTTTTGAGTGTCCTTAAGGGTGTTTTTGGAGGAGATTGGCATATGAGTTGGAGGAGTTGGCTTGTGAGTTGGTGGGCTGGCAGGTGAGGAGTTGGCGTGTGAGCTGGTGGAAGATCCTCCTTAATGTGGACAGGCATCTACCATTCAACTGGGAAACTGGATGGAAAGAGGGCAAAGAAGGGTGTATTTTCTCTCTCTTTTTTTAGAATGGGATGCCTTTCTCCTGCCCTTGGATATCAGCACTCCAGGTCGTTGGCCTCCAGTCTCTAGGACTTGCACCAGCAGCTTCCTGGGGGCTCTCAGACCTTTGGCCTTGAATTGAGAGTTACAGCATCTGCTTTCTTTGTTCCCAGACATTCTGAGTTGAACTGAGCTAGGCCATCGGCTTCTGTGGTTCTCCAACTTGTAGAGAGCCTATCGTGGGAGTTATCAGCCTCCATCATCCTACCTGCCTATCTCCTATTGGTTCTGTCTCTCTGGTGGACCCTGATTAATATAGTTGTACATGCCTTTTTCCTTTCTTACTTATTATCTTCAAATAATAAAAATAACAAGTTCCACTTATATCCAGAGTGATTTCTCTGAACCCCTCTCCAGTATAAAGGCTGTGGTATTTTTAGTTCTGCCCTTGATAATTCCATGACTTAGCTCTAAAGAACACTTTATTTTTGTGTTCTCCTACAGGATTGTCCTCCAAATGAGAAACAGAAACAAAAATATCTCAAAAAATGCAAGCATTTTGCCTCCACTGCCTTTTGCTTTTCCAAGTTTGTACTGAAAGAAAAAAACTACCACTACCACCAAAAGCAATAAAAGCCTATGCTTCCCTGCCATGCACTTTATTCTAATTTAGAGTCTAGATTGGCTAAAATTGCAATGGTTGAACTTAACCACTTCCTCCGAGTGGATTCATTGCCAGAGGTTCTTTTCACTTGAACTCAAAGGTTCTTTTCCCTTGAACTTTTGACTCCTATTGTCTTAGTTGGCATAAAAAAATACTGTGGGCTGGACACAGTGGCTCACGCCTGTAATCTTAGCACTTTGGGAGGTTGAGACAGGCAGATGACTTGAGGTCGGGAGTTCAAGACCAGCCTGGCCAAGTTGGTGAAACCCTGTCTCTACTAAAATTACAAAAATTAGCCAGGCATGGTAATGCATGCCTATAGACCCAGCTGCTTGGGATCCTGAGGCAGAAGAATGGCTTGAACTGAGACAGAGGTTGCAGTGAGCTGAGATCACACCATTGCCCTCCAGCCTGGGCAACAGAGTGAGACTCCATCTTAAAAAAAAAAAAAAAAAAAAAAATATATATATATATATATATATATATATATATATATATATATATATATATATATATATAGTGGAGCTGTATTGTCCACAGGAAAAAATAAATTAAAAAATGAAAACAAATACCGGTTAGCTCTGAATGCTCTCAGGAGGCTGAAAGATACAGTTTTCCACATGGCCATCAGCAAGCATGGCTAAGATCTCTACCAAGAGGTAGACCTGATGAGGCATGATTAGCTCCAGCATTTTTCTACATGTTTCTGCTGGTGGTTTCTCAAATCTTTGCTTTTATATACTTAAAAAAGTGAGCCCAAATCTTTACTTAACATAAAACATATGATTTGATCAGCTTTAGTGCCTCATCTGTGTTTGAAAATGAATATACTGTATTTGTGATGCCCTTTACAGCTAGTCAGCAAACATGATCAGACTTTACCTTCTTGTGTAGTTAAGTTTTATTTCAGAATAAAGTAGGTCTGTCAGATCTAACAGTCTGATTAGGGAGATATATTCAAAATTCTGACCTTCATAATAAGACCTGTCATTTACTAAATACCTCCTGTGTGGCAGGGACTGTGCTAAGTACTTTATATTTGTTGTATAATTTAATATTATAGCAACACCAATAACTGGATGAGGTTGTCATATTTATTTCTCACCACCCTCCAGTCAATCAGTACACAAGCCTTTTAGAAATAAGGTGAAAACAAAAACCAAAGCAACATTCAGAAAAAATAAACACATCACTCAAAGCTACATAACTAGCTAGCTATGGTTAAAAAAAATCAAATCTAGGTTGGGTGCAGTGGCTCACACCTGTAATCCCAGCACTTTGGGAGGCCGAGGCGGGCCGATCATGAGGTCAGGAGATTGAGACCATCCTGGCCAACATGGTGAAGCCCCGTCTCTATTAAAAAAAAGAAAAATTAGCCAGGCATGGTGGCGGGCACCTGTAGTCCCAGCTGCTCGGGAGGCTGAGGCAGGAGAATGGCATGAACCCGGGAGGTGGAGCTTGCAGTGAGCCGAGATTGCACCACTGCACTCCAGCCTGGTGACAGAACGAGAGTCTGTCTCAAAAGATTAAAAAAAAAAAAAAAAAGTCAAATCTAGGTTTGTTGCTGGTGTGAATGTTTTAACCAGTAGGCTGAACTCTGGACTGCCTCTGCATCTACGATATATATTTTTTGAAGATGCATTTCTAAGATATGGCCTTCGTAATGCAGAGTCACTTGAAAAATGTAACATGGAAATAGCACTGAAGTGAGACAACCATAGTTCGATTTCTGGTTTTGTCAGAAGAATGAGGTACACTTTGGAGAGTCACTAGTCATTTTATTTCCTGAGACTCCTTTTTAAAATCTGTAATGGAGAAATGAAGCTAGATTCAAACAATTTATTTACATTACAGTCATGCAGGTAATTTATGGATTATATGGCAGTTATGGACTGGGATTTTGGCTGTATACTACTTTCTCTTGCTGAAAGGCATCTTTTATTCACCTTACTCTCATCCCGCCCTTCTTTGCAAGGCAAACAATTTTATCTCTAATCTCATCCCACGTTTTCATTCTTCTCTGCTACCACATTTCCTGTTTATGAGTCCATTCTAATTGTTTGTATGCAAGAGGCACAGCATGGCACAGCGTGGAATCATTGCAGTTTGAAAATTTTTTTTTGAAAATTGACCACCACATGTGCAATTTCTTGGGTCAACTGCCGAATCTTGCTATACCTTTGGTATGCTGTCAATTTAACAGAGTTGTAACTTAAGTAAAATGACAGTCTTAGCCCTGTGAAGCTGAACTTAGAATATGTTTTGTCCAAATAAATGATCTGAATTAAATAATTTGAGCTGCTGTTTAACTTAATTGTAGGTAGCAGGTTTAGAGGAAACCTGGCTGGTCCGAATTAAACACAAATTCTACTATTGGGCTCTTGGCTGACGCTAATAAACCCTTAGACAACATCATTACTCACTTCATGCTATGACACTGCAATAAATAGAGATCTGTTTATAACAAAGGCCACCTGATTTTTCTGCTTTGAAAGCAGAGTGAAAAGTTAATCGTAGCTCCAAATTCTAACTTGGGCGTCCCTTCTTATTTGGATGCCATCATTGATTTCACCTTTTGTTTAGATTTTGTGAAAATCTGTAGCCTCTGTAATGGTGATGGCTGAATAGATCAGGCCAAGCTCTGATAGCCAATGAACTTTTCATTAGTGAGCAGATGAATACACAAAACCTTTAGAAAAACTCATAACCCTCCCTACAGTTTAATGCACACCTGTAATGTTCCAAGAACTGTGCTAAATGCATGGGATATATTTCTCATTTGACAACTCTCAATTGACAAATGCAAAGTTGAAGCACAAAGCTGGTTTTCCAGTGCCATTTTCCACAAGGTAATAACTATATTTAGTAACAGCAAAGCTGGAATTTAACTTCATGCCTGTATAATTTCAAAGCTCATGCTCTTTGCCTCTATGTCATGAATGCATGACAGTCCTATGGGTTCAATTTTAATGAAAACAAAACAAAACAAAATCAAACTAAACCATGAGGTGTCCTTTAGCAAGAGATTCTCTTTTATGAAGAACCCAAGAGTTAAATATTACAAAAACATTAAAAACTGCAAAAATACTGCAGTGTAATTGCTCTTCCTCGTCTAGGTTTTTCCTTCTATACATGAGTTTTCAATTATATTTAAATTTTAATAAATTCACTTATTTTCTTGTGAGCATCTTGAACTTCTATCACCCATTCTATGTTTATTAATGCTCCAAAATTCTTAAAAGTTATCATCACAATTTAATGTAAATGCTTGAGATACAAATGCTGTTATATGCTGGTCTCCATAAATATGTTTCCTCATATTTTCCATCTTGCCATTGTTTCTTTAAGGCCTAGCATGAAGCTCTGCAGAAGGTAACACTTGCTCATTGCTCACTGTGCTGTTCTGACCCACTTGCTTTATTCTAGTCCTTCAATGCTTTCTGACTTTTTCTCAAAGTCTCTTGATCTTGTTATTAGTTCTCACATTTCTTGTTTATTCTCACCCTTGGACTTGACACTGTTTCCTTGGATATTGACTTTCTTCCCTCTAAACCATAATTTGTATTCACTCTCAATGACATTTTCTCATACTGTCTTGGAAAAATAATCTTGGTAGCACATTAGTGGATAACATTCCTAACCAAGCTTTTGTTTTGGCCCCTCAAAGAAAAGACAGTCAACATTCATTCTGAATTTCTTTTAAAGCTTTAAAAAGGTATCTTCTTGTTATAATAGCCTATATTTTAAAAACCATTAAACTTGGAAGTCAATTGGAATGTCACATGATAGAGCTTTCTACCAATATCTTGACTTCCCTTCTTAATGTATCTTTTTAATGATTATTATTTATATACCTGACTATTCCAGGGGGTTACTGCTTTCTGAAGCAGCCAGTCCATTTTGTATTCCACTCTTTTGGAATGCTTTTTCTTATATTAAACAAAATTATATTTCACTGGTCTAAATTCTAAGCCATGCAACCACATAGAACAAGTCAATTTCCTCTTACACAAGACAACATTTTAACGTTTGTCAATAACTTTCACTATTCTAAATATTTTCATTTATTTTTATCATTCCTCATAGGAGCTGGTTTGGAAGCCTTTATGTCTTTGTCTCTTGTCTTGTGGGGTGGAAGGACTCTACTCTTTAAATATTTATTTTAAATGAACTACCTTGAATTTCAACGTGATCTGCTCAGAATAGAGTGAACCTATGTGATAGTTAATTTTTCTCTCCCTGCCTGTACCTATGACCTCATGGGAAGTTTCCTACAATCAGTTGACAAAGGAAGAGAAAACAGGGGCCTGGTTTACACATGGCCTGGTTTACGCATATCTGCATGATATGCAGGCACCACACAACAGTGGACAGCTGCTGCATTACAGCTTCTCTCTGAAATAACGCTGAAGCACAGTGGTGAGGGAAAGTCTTCTCAGTGGGCAGAACTTTGAGAAATGCAATAGTTTCTCATGTTGCTTGGAAGAGGAAGTGGCCAGATGTGTGATTATATACTGATTCATGGGCTGTAGCCAATGTTTTTGCTGGACAATCAGGGACCTGGAAGGAACATGATTGGAAAATTGGTGACCAAGAGATTTGAGTAAGAGATATATTGATAGACCTCTCTGAATGGGCAAACAATGTGAAGATATTTGTGTATCATGTGAACGCTTACCCAAGAGTGACTGCAGCAGAGGAGGATTTTAATAAAGTGGGTAAGATGATCTGTTCTGTGGTTGCTGGTCAGCCTCTTTCTTTAGCCATCCATTTCATCACTCAATGGGCTCATGAACAAGGTGACCATGGTGGCAGGGATGGTGGCTTTGTGTGGGCTCAGCAACATGGACTCACCAAGGCCAACCTGGCTCCAGCCACTGGTGATACCCTATCTGCCAGCAGCAGAGACCAACACTGAGACCACCAATATGGCCCCATTCCCTGGGGTAACCAGCAAGCTGCCTGGTGGCAGGTCGACTACACTGGATCCATTTCATTATGAAAAGGGCAATGTTTTGTCTTTACTGGAATAGGTAATTTGGATATGGATTTGTCTTCCATGATTGCATTGTGGCTTAGAATGTCTTATCTGTCATCATGGTATTCCACCCGGCATTGTTTAAGATCAGGGAACTCACTTCACAGCAAAAGTTCAGCGATGGGCCCATGGCTGTGGAGTTCACTGGTCTTACCATATTTTCTACCATCTGGAAGCAGCTGGCTTGATAGAATGGTGGAATGGTCTTTTGAAGACTCAATTACAGTGCCAGCCAAGTGACAATATCTTGGTTGGCACTGTAATTGGCCAGGGGTGAGGTCCTCCAGGAGACTGTATATGCTCTGAATCAGTGTCTAGTATATGATGCTGTTACTCTTATAGCCGGGGTTCATCATCTAGAAATTAAAGGATGGAAATGGAGTGGCACCACTCACTAGTACCCCTAGTGACCCACTAGCACAATTTTTGCTTCCTATTTCTGTGACTTTGTGCTCTGCTGGCCTAGCCAATTTAGTTCCAGAGGGAGAAATTCTTCCTCCAATAAATACAACAATGATTCAATTGAACCAGAAGTTAAGACTGTGAACCAGCCACTTCGGGCTCTTAATGCCTCCGAGTCAACAGACAAAGGAGGAGTTAAGGGATTGGCTGGGCTGATTGATCCTAGTTGCCAAGGAGGAAATTGGGCTACTACTCTACAGTGGAGGTAAAAAAAAGTGTGGTTTGAAATACAGGAGAGCCTTTAGGGCATCTCTTATTAGTATCATGCTGTGTGATTAAGGTAAATGGAACACTACAACAACCCAATCCAGGTAAGACAACAAATGGCCCAGACCCTTCAGGAATGAAGATTTGGGCTACCCCAGCAGATAAAGAACCAAAACTACCTGAAGTGCTTGCTGAAGGCAAGGAAAATACATAATGGGTAGTGGAAGAAGGTAGATATAAAGACCAGCTATGATCATGTGACTAGTTGCAGAAAGAAGGACTATAATTGTTGTGAATTTTCCTCCTTATTTTGATATGAACATCTGTTGTGTGTGTATTTGTTTTTCTTTTTCTTCTCACTCTTATTCTCTTATCACGTAACATAAGACATATTGACTTTATATATAGTGTTATAGTATTGTTAATTTGACACCATAGTATTTAAGTTATAGGATGGAAAGAAGAAGAGTAATTATCACTTAAGAACTTTACCTCTTCTTTTGGGAAATGAGTTAATACATTCTGGTAAGCAGGATAGTTGTATCATGTTAGGTGGAATTATGACCTTATTATTGTCTTTATCTGGAGATTAATTGTGGCTTAAGGGAATTTGTGTGAATGCCGAGTTGATGAGGTGGACTTGAGAAAGCTGATTGCATATTTCAACTTGAATGAATCAGGGAATGCACAGATATCTGGTTAAACATTCTTTCTGGCTATGTTCATGAGGATATATCTGGATGAGATGAGTGTTTGAACCAGTGGACTCAGTAAAGTAGATTACCCTCCCCAGTGTGAGTTGTCACCATCTAACCTGTTGAGAGCCTGAACAGACAAAAAGGTGGAGGAAGGAGGAGCTTGCCTTTTTTTTTTTTTTTTTTTTTTTTTTTTTTTTGCCTCACTGCTTGAGCTGGAACATCTCATCTTTTCCTGCTCTTAGAATTGGATTTTTGCTCATTTTTTTGTTTTTATTTTTTCTTTTTCACATAATTTTTCTTTTTTCTTTCATTATGTTTCATTATTTGGTTGTATCACAATTAGTCTAATATCTCCGGTATTTTGGCGGGCACATACTTTTCTGAGATTCTTCCTACAAAACCAGAAGGCATCTACAAATGGTAACACTGTGAACTGTTTCCTTTCATTTGCTTTTTAAAATTTCTGCTTTTATTTTAGATTTAGGAAGTGCAGGTGCAGGTTTATTACAAGGGTATATTGCATGATGCTGAGGTTTGGACTTCTATTGATCCTGTTGTCCAAATAGTGAATGCAGTACCCCAGAGGTAGTTTCTCAACTCTTACACCCTTCCTTCCCTTCCTCCTTTGGAATCCCCACTCAGAGTGGGATTTATACCATTGGCTCACCTGGTTCTCAGGCCTTCAGATTCAGATTGAATTTCACCACTGGACTTTTCTGGGTCTCCAGCTTGCAGATGGCAGATCTGGGACTTTTCTGTCTCCATAATTACATGAGCCAATTCCTCATAATACATTTTCTTATATATATTTATATATGATATTTATTATATTATTTATATATGACAGGATATATACATATATATGTGTGCGTGTGTGTGTGTGTGTACAGATGCATGTTTTCTATTGGTTCTGTTTCTCTGAGAACCCTGACTAATAAAAATCTGTTATCATCTTTGTTATAGACACTAAGTATTTTGTTCATTTGGGCCTCTTTGGTCATAAGGTACAAAGCAATCTAACAAAAATATATTGCCCCTCAGAAAAGAATTTATATTAGGAGTTTACTGAGGTGTGCACCAGTTTAACTGGCCTCAGGAAGACCTGGAGCCCAGGACACAAACGGCCGCATGTTTTGAACCTAGCTCTTTTAAATTTTGGCTAGAATAATAGAGTAAATAATAGGGCAGAGTACTGTGTATCTGGCTGATGTTTTCTTCTCAATACCTCTCTGTGCTATCCCCAGCCCTTCATCTCCTGCTAACACACTTTTTGTGCCAACATTTAGATTTCAATTGGGTTACAGCAATAACCTTGAAAGGGAGGCAGTGACCATAGCAGTTCACAGTATTACCATTTGTAGATGCATTCTGGTTTCATAGGAGGTAAGAATCTCAGTAAATTACATGCCCCCAAAATACCAGAGAGGTTAGACTAATTATGGTACAACCAAATAATGAAACATAATGGGCCCTTCAAAATCATGGATGGAGAATTCAAAATGACATAGGAAAATGTTGATGATATAATTTCAGCAAAAATTGAAGGGCAAGAAACTGCATAACCTGTATGATTCCAATTACATTAAAAATGAAGACATCCACCTGAAAAATGAATATAAGCTTAATCATGATTATATGTAGACTGTAGATTATAGATGATTCATAGTTCCCTCTGAATATCTTCCAAGATTTCTGTGGGGGAACATCTATTAATTTTTATAAAAATAAAATCTAAAAGCAAAAAGTATAAATATGAATCTATTAAATAAGTGTAAATTTTGATTATGAGGACTACAAAACTTAACATATGTGAAAGTCTTAAAAGAGTGACTAGCCCACAGTAGGTGCTCAGTAAATTCCCTTTTCTTTTAAAATTTTTTCTGTTCAGTACTGAGCCTTTATATGAAAGAATCCATCTAGGATACTGCATACAAAGGCCAAATTGACATGGAATAAAATTTAAGCCAATCAAATAAGAATGAAATGTGTCATAGAGAGGAAAAAACATTTTATGGGTTGGAGTAGCCTCTGAGGTGACTTTTAAACTCCAGGTTTTCTTTGATTCCGTAATCTACTCCAGTATAGTTCCATTAAATGTAGCATAATAAAGGGAATAAAATTTACATCTAAATTCACAATAGTGTATGTGTTTACATGTTCTCCAGGCTAATTGCCATTTCTGAACATCATTTAATGTGGCAATACTCTTTAAAGCAGAATTATAACTTCACATATAAACTTTTCCCATGAGGTTAAGGCCAAAGTATTAGAGTCTCCCCTGGTCTTAACTTATAGATGTCTAGATTTGAGAGTAAGTAAATGTTCTTCAATGTAAAATACAATTGAAGCCATGTGGTGGAAATATTTCCTCTTCAGTTTTCTTTTTTTCTAAAGTTGTAAACTCTTTGCTAGTTCGTTGTTCTGTCAGGAGTTTCTTTTCTTTTTGCTTTTAATTATCCTTGGCTTTTGTTTAACAGGTCTCATGTATGTATTGGATCTATGCCCCTCTCCTCCACACACCACTTTGCTTTCTTAGCTGTGAATTCGATGCAGTTAAAGTCTGCTTCAATGTACCAATTACCAGCATTTAAGATAAAACCAAGCCACAGATTATACAAATGAAAGGAGAAAAAAAAATAACAGCACTTTGTATAAACAAGGGCAGAGAGACAATTTGTTCTAGTCAAGGATAAATAAAGTTAAACTCTACCCAAATTACCACGTGTCAAGCTAATCAAGGAAATGTTCCTTCAATGCTGTTGTGCAAAAATAATTGAAATGACATTTTATAAAATCTGGCAGAGGTAAATGTTTTTTAAAGCAGGGCTGCAAACTTTCAGATATTTCAGCTCACCCTAAGAGCTATTTGTATTGTGTGCTCGACTGAAATAATTGGAGAGCATAGCTTCAAGATGGGTTTTTTCTGCTTGAGAGAATCAGGGCCATCTCTTGGGGTTCGAAAGTAAACCCAGGTATGTTAAAGGGACCTCCCAAATCCCTGAGGGTATCCTCATGAGAATCACTCAGTTACGTGTTTTTGTTTTTTGGTTGTTTGTTTCTATCCCTTCATATTATCCTTCAACGTGCTCTTTGTGAAACCCATTTACCTGCTGTGTTTTCTTGCATATTGTACATGAAATCTTGGTAATAAATCAACTTTCTTGAAAGAGTTTGTTCAAGTCTTATTCAGAAATTAATTTTGACTTTTATTGGGGCAGTTATCAAGTAGAAAGACTAGAAAAGGTGAATAACATATTCATTCTTTTTGTTCCTCATTCTATTCTTTTCTGAGGTCAATATTGCTTAATGTTATAAAATGAAAGTTCTACAAATCACAATTGCATAACTGTCAGGCACCTTATTAAATTTCATTCAATCCCATATCAGTTCTTAAGGGACCATCACTATCTTCCAATTTACACAAAAATTGAATAAAAACTGATCAAAAATTTATGGGAATGAAAAGTCATCCTAAATTTGATCTACTATTGCTGGAGAGAAAACTAGGCCAAGAAGTTTAGCCTATTAGGCAGAGGGGAGCCATGAACGGCTTGTGAACAGAGGAGTGACATGATTAAATCTGGCAGTGACATACAAAATTGACTCTTTGATCATTGCTTACACTTTTTTTTCTTTATTGTAAAGGCATAAAAGGTATTGTAACAAGGCAAAGCATTCAGACTTGGGAAGTTAAATCCCGGTGCAGACATTGTTCACAAAATATTCACGGAGTCTTTTATATTTTCTAGGCATCCCTGGAGTTGAGTAACTAGTTCTGGCTGCTGGTCTCCAGGTGACATGTGTCACGTTTGAGCTAAGGTAGGAAAGAGCTAATGTGTCTCCTCCATCCCTTTCTCCCACTCACTGGTAGCATTGGAGGCCAATGGTTGAGTTACAGGGTCAGGAGATTGAAGCTGCTGGTAGCAACCAGAAGAAGTAGAGTTTTCCCGGAACAATGTCCAACAAGAAAGATACAGCCATTCTGGAGATCAATTTGGCAGTTAGTAGTGAAATTAAGAATGACATGATTATGGATTAGCAATCCCCACTTCTGGTTATTTGCCTTGTTAAAAAATATCATACAGGTCTATTAAAAAGAAGTGTCCAAGATCATCAGATTTCCCCTTCTTCCCCTGCTGACATGCTTTTTGTGCTGAACTTTAGATACCACTTGCGGTACAGTGTATTTATGGTAATGAACAATTTGAGGTGATCTATGTGTTCATTTCTGGAAAAATAAGTAATATAATCAGTAAGCTAGATACATATAGAAAAATGGATAGATTTTAAATATACCGTATAGCATAGATTTTATTATTTGTATAAATTTACGGGGGACAAGAAAAGTTTTGTTACATGGATATATTGCATAGTGGTGAAGTCTGGACTTTAGTGTAACCATCACCTGAATAATGTATATTGTACCCACTAAGTACCTTCTCATCCAACACCCCCACCCTTCTGAGTCTCCAGTGTGCATCATTCCACACTGTATGTCCATAAATGCATAGTTTTGAATTATAAATTAAGAAACAGCCAAGAACTGTAGAATAGCATCATTTATATAAACTGAAAACACAAAAACACACATGTACAATAACATGATATGTTTTACAAGGTTACATATATGACCAAGATGATGAGCAGGAAAGGGAAAGGAAATGGACACTAAAAATTAAGCAAAAAATATAAATAAAAAGTAAAACAAGAGAAGGGCTTTTCATAGAACAATTGAGAAATATGTTTAACTCAGCTTTGTAAATCTGAGGTGACAACAAAATTAGAAGGAAAAAATAATTACCTGTCCACTTCAAATTCCACCTTGTGATATATCCACGTTAATACAATGGTGAGCTTCGTCCTATGCTGTGTTCACAACACCACCTTAGATTCACCTTTGCATAAGCCTATATTATCTCAATTGTTGGGATATATCTTATTATCAACATGACCTTGGTCAGAGATTCATAAAACATCAGCTGAAAACTTTCTTAGCACCTAGTCTAAATAACCTCATTTTACCTAATGCTGACTCAAATAACTGAAATTACTTTTTCAAACCAAAAGAAAAATTCAAGGGTCAGGGTCAGCATTGAAGGTCAGATCTCCCATATCCCTAATCAGCACTATTTCCATTATGCCCTGTTACACATAAGAATATGGGGAGTGTCTGAAAAGATCAAAATAAACATGATCAATCTAAATACTAGACTAATTCATGTTATACCAATTATGCCTGCCACTTGAAAAATATATTTTAAGATGATTTTTCAAGTACTCAGGCAATATTTACAGAGAAAACTGTGATGGTATTAGAGGCTAAGCTGTTGATTACAAACAGGTGAATTTTCGGCTTTATGTAATTTGCTTAGAGGCAGCAAAATGAGTTGAAGTGGAAACAGTCCACTCTCTGGCCCTATTCATCCTTGTGGAATTTGATCCCTATGTTCAAGTAAAAGAGAGCTCTTTAGCTCTCATTCAGCATTGTCATTATGTTGGTTCAAACAGGAAGTGTAAATAATTAAGAAATTTTAAAAGTGTCCAATTATAAGTGCATTCAAAAACTTTTCTCTCCCTAAAAGGTATATCTACTGGAATTTTAATCAGAGAAGACAGACATTTTAAGTCTTTTTTTTTTAAGACTTTTTTTCCCATAGTATTCAGTCTCTGGAATATCTCCAAGAAAATTTGCATACTATATAGAGATGAGATAGATTCAAAGAGTGGGGAGAATTAACTCCTGAAACTGCTACTTCCCCAAGTCTTTCATTGAAGGTGACTTTGATGATGGCCAGCATATATGTAAGATAAACCATAATGTGTATTGCCTTGGTAAGCCAAATTGAAAATGTATATGCTCTTTAGGGATTTTATATAGGTGTAATCTCCATATTCCCATATAAATTTGCAAATATAGATTATTTTGAGTAACACTAAAGTCTTTATAAACTCATGTCAAAGAATAAAAGAAAAATGATAACAGATAATGAAATCACACGACAACAGATGAATTCGACCTCATAATACTGTTGTCTGTATTCTGTATTTCAGTCTAACCTTTGATCTCGACTTCTATGGTCATATAAGTACCATACATTTTAACTTTTTTATCTGAAATAAATCTTTTTGCTAAGAAGTCCAGAAGTAGAATAAAATCATTTAATATCTTGCTTGATCAAATAATGTTATTTAAATGACAGTTTTTCATGTTGGTACGAGAGTGCGAAGTTGATATTTTTTGTGAGATTGTAAATTGATATAATTCTTATGATCAATTATGTATGTGAGTTAAAAGGTAATTTTTAAAAATCAATTTTATGTCTACCAGCTGTGTGACCTTGAACGTATATTGGTCTTTGTGAGTTGACTTAATTATACAATACCACTACCCCGAGAGCTAACATATATTGTACAATTACTGGGTTAGAATTATACTGAGAGGCTTATACGTCACACTAGAACTGTGCAAGGTAGGTGTGATTAGCTGCTTTGAGTTTCAGTTTATCTGTAATGTAGGGAAAATTAAGTTATCCACAGTCTCATGAGTAGCCAATGGCAAAACCAGGAATTGAAGCCAAGTCTGTTGTGCTATACTTTTGGGCACTTTTCACAGCATACTATACTGCCTAAGGTTTGTCCTTTTCCTCAGCCTTCCGTGTCAAGGACATCCCAACCTTGTGGGCTCTGTGGGCTGACATTGGTGCATTATTTCTTCTTCCTTCCCATATGTGTTTGAGCTTCCTTCTAATGTTACCGAAATGCCAGGGTTTCAGTCTAGATCTTGTTGCTTGCCTCACAGAAAGCCAATTACTGAAACAATGAGTATTGCCAGGAAAGGAGACTTTATTTGGGTGCTGCAGCTGAGGAGAACAGGAGATCAGTCTCACAGCTACCTCCCTGATCAACTACAGTTGTGGGGTTACATAGAGGGTAAGGAATGTAACTAAGTATGGAAAAACAGGAAGTAGAGAGGGGTAAGGAAGTTGAGTTGGCCAACAGGAAGCAGGTGGTCAGTTAGGCAATCGTGGCAGGTGAGAGGTCTGCTATCTCATTGTCCAGATGCAATGATCTGGTGAGTTTCAGTTCCTTGATACTCTCTGGAAGGCCTCATGGTTGGTTTCCTGGGAAAAAGGTCAAGTAAGATAAATGCAAGTTTCAAGCTTTAAGACTAGAAGGGTCAATTCCTATGTTTATTCAAGAAAACAGTAAACATCAGTTCTGTGGGACAATTGGGCTGGTTTCACTAGTATACTAATTTAGGTCAAGGACAACTAGATTTTCATCTATTTTTTTCTCTTTCCTTTTGAGATTTTGGAAGAAACAACAACAAGAACAACAAACCCAACAGTCTTTTCAAAACGCAAATCTGATTATGTTACTATCCCATGGTAAAAGTCATTAAGTGGCTTTTGATTGCTCTCAAATAGTCTAAAATACTTACCAAGGTTTTCAAACTTTGCTTGATCAGACCCCCTGCCATCTGCCTGGGCCCTCCTGCCCCACACGGTACTCTGAACTCTGATGATCCACACATCTTCCATTACAAGTCTTTTACAAGCACTCTCTCTTTCCTTGGAGAGATTTCTCCTACTCTTCACCTATTCACTTTCTTAAGCAAATGTTTTCTCTTATATAGCCAGTCAGTTTGCATGGTTAAATGTTTGAAATTAAAAGCACTGCATTACTTCCTTGCACTGATCTCAGTTCATAACGTTTTCTGTGCATTTGTTGACTATCACACAAAAAATCCACACCACCATTCTATTAATTAGGGTTTTCCAGAGAAACAGAAACAATGGGAACTATATATATCTTTAAAAAACAATTTTATGTCTACCAGTTGTGTGACCTTGAACATATATCACATATAATATATAGAGAGGGGTTTTTATTTATTTATAAATTTCAGTTTCTATTTTAAATATAGGGGGTACATGCATAGGATGGTTACATAAGTATACTGGACCCAGGCAGTGAGCACAGTATCCAATAGGTAGTTTTTCAGCCTATGCTCCCTCCTTCCCTCCCACCTCTGGTAGTTCCCATGTTTATTGTCCCCATGTTTATGTCCATGTGTGCTCAATGTTTAGCTCCCACTTAGAAGCGAAAACATGTGGTATTTGGTTTTCTGTTTCTATTTTAGTTTGTTTAGGATAGTGGCCTCAAGCTCCATCCACGTTGTTGCAAAGCATATGATCCTGTTTTTTTTAAGGCCGCATAGTATTCTATGGTGTACATGGACCACATTTTCTTTATCTAGTCTACCATCGATGGACATCTAGGTTGATTCCATGTCTTTGCTATTGTGAATAGTGCTGCAATGAACATACGCATGCATGTGTCTTTTTGTTAGAACAATTTATTTTCCTTTGGGTATATACCTAGTGTTGGGATCGTTGGGTGAAATAATGGCTTTAAGTTCTTTGATAAATCTCCAAACTGCTTTTCACAGTAGCTGGAATAATTTACACTCCCACCAATAGTGTATAAACATTCCCTTTTCTCTGCAACCTTGCCAGTATCTGTTGTTTATTGGCTTTTGTATAGTAGCCATTCTGACTGGTATGAGATAGTATCTCATTGTGCTTTTGATTTGCATTTCTATGAGGGCCTTTACTAGGGAAATTGGCTGATGTGATTATGGAGGCTAAGAAGTTTCATGTGGTCAACCACAGAGAGATCCAGGGAATCATGGTCCAGTCTGAGTCCAAAGTCCTGAGAACCAGGGGGCCACTGGTGCAAGTCCCAGAGTCCAAAGTCTGGAGAAACTGTAGTCCTTATGTCCAAGGGTAGGAGAAGGTGAATGTCCCAGCTCCAGAAGAGAGGTCAAATTTACCTTTCTTGTGCATTTTGTTTCATTGGGGCACTCAGTCAGTTGGATAGTGCCCACCCACTTGGATGACGGCAGGTCTTCCTTACTCAGTCCACTGATTTAAATGTCAGTGTCTTCCAGAAACCCCTCACAGACACATCTAGAAATAATGCTTTACTAGCTATCTGGGTATCTCTTAATTCAGTGAAATTGACACCTAACATTAACTGTGACAACCATTTTTGAGAGATGGAGAAGACGTCTGCATCTGGTCAAGATAGAATGGCAAGGACCAGATTTACCTACCCTTTCATCTGCAATAACCAAAAAAACTGGCAAATGTATGAAAAATGGCTTTGAAGATATTGAACTTCAGGCAATAAAAGAGAGTGATTCCTGAGAGGTGGTAAACAAATGAGATGAGCCCCATCTCATAGAACAACCAGTGCCACTAGAGATCACAAAACACAAAACCGGAGAAGAGAAAGTTGCACAAAGAAAGCACTCCAGAGCTGGGTGCAGTGGCTCACGCCTGTAATCCCAGCACTTTTGGAGGCCGAGGTGGGCGGATCACTTGAGGTCAGGAGTTTGAGACCAACCTGGTCAACATGGGAAAACCCTCGTCTCTACTAAAAATACAAATACTAGCCGTATGTGGTGGCACATACCTGTGGTCCCAGCTACTTGGGAGGCTGAAGCGTGAGAATTGCTTGAACCCAGGAGTTGGAGGTTGCAGTGAGCCGAGATTGTGCCAGAGCACTCCAGCCTGGGCAACAGAGTGAAACTCTTGTCTCAAAAAAGATAGCACTCCAAAGATCTGCAGAGGGTTCTGATCAAGTATTCAGCTGAGTACTGATTAGTGTATGCATGTGAGAAAACTATGTGATATTAGAGAAAGAACTACCTGAAAAGAAGAGAGGTAATAGCACTTCCTGATCACACAGGGTCAGGAATAGTGTCTGTTTCCACTACCAGACTGGAAAAGCACATGATCCATGAAGTATTTAGTAGAGTGCACAAAAGATTCTTGCATCAGTGGTGGGTAATAATTATCCCTGGACTGAGCATTGCTTCAGTACCATCTAATGATTATCAATGGCAAGATCCCAAAAGATCGAACTCCTTTGCAAGTAACTTAACTGCATTCAAGAACAAAGCTCAAGAATATTTGTAGGGAACACAAAAATATCCAGCATCCGAGGTAAACTCTCAATGTCTGGTATTCGACAAATACTTATGAGGCTGGCAAAGAATCACAAAAATACTATTTATAATGAGGAGAGAATCAATCAATAAAAAGCAACTCAGAACTGATATTATATATATCAGAATTATCAGACAAGAACATTAAAATAATTATTATAATTGTATTATATATGTCCTCAAGTTAATTAGACATACAGAAGACATAAAACAGATCCAGTTGAACATCTGGGGAGAAAACTGTGATGAATGAGATGAAAAATACACTGGAAGGGATTAACAGCATATTAGACATTGTAGAAGAAAAGATTAGTAAACATGAAGACATAACAGTAGAAACTAAAAAAATAAAAAATGAAACAGATAAAACAATGAAAAATGAACAGGACATCAGTGAGCTATAGGAAAACTTCAAGTAGCCTAATATGTGAATACGTGTATGACTGGAGTCCCTGAAGGGAGAAGAGGAGGTTGTTAGAACAAATAATGAACAATTTTTTCCCCAAATTTGTTGAAAATTATAAGCTTACACTAAAGGGACTTCAAGCAAGCATAAGAACTATTAAGAATACTATGGCGGGGCATGGTGGCTCACGCCTGTAATCCCAGCACTTTGGGAGGCCGAGGCGGGCAGATCATGAGGTCAGGAGATCCAGACCATCCTGGCTAACACGGTGAAACGCTGTCTCTACTGAAAATACAAAAAAATTAGCCGGGCTTGGTGGCGGGTGCCTGTAGTCCCAGCTACTCAGGAGGCTGAGGCAGGAGAATGGCATGAACCCGGGAGGCGGAGCTTGCAGTGAGCCGAGATCATGCCACTGCACTCCAGCCTGGGTGACAGAGCGAGACACTGTCTCAAAAAAAAAAAAAAAAAAAAATACTACACCATCATATGTTTTATTCAAATTACTCAACACCAGTAATAAAGAGAAAATCTTTATTACTGGAGGAATGATGAGGGTGAAAGCACATTTTTTTTTTTAATTTTTATTTTAAGCTCTGGGGTACATTTGCAGGATGTGCAGGTTTGTTACATAGGTAAACATGTGCCATGGTGGTTTGCTGCACCTGTCAACCCATCACCTAGGTATTCAGCCCAGCATCCATTAGCTATTTTTCCTAATGAAAGCACATTTCTTATCTGAAACAATGAAAGTGAGGAAATGGTGAAGCAACATCTTTAAAATACTGAAAGAAAAGAAGTCAACCTAGAATTTTATATTCAGTAAGAATATTTAAAATGAAGGCACGTAGGCTTTTTTCAGACATCCAAAAATGGAAAGAATTGATCACTAAGAGACTCTCACTACAGAAATGTTAAAGGAATTCCTTCAGGCTAAAGAAAAATGATACCAGATGGGAATATGGCCCTAGACAAAAGAAGGAAGAGTACTGGAAATTGTGACTACATAAATAAATATAGAATTTAAAACTTCATTTTTAAATATCTTTAAAAGATCAATGACCATTCAAACAAAAACAGCCACATAGTGTGGGTTTATAAAATATGTAAAAGATATGACAACACTAGCACAAGGGGGAAGCAGATAACTCAGAGTATGATATTATAAAAATATTATACTGTATAGGAGGTGCTATAGGGTCACTTTAGGGTAGAATGTAATGAATTAAAAATGAATACTATAAACCTTAAAGCAACCACTAAAACTACTAAAATAAAAAGACAAAGAATTATGGGCAGTAAACCAACAAAGGAGATAAAATGGACTTATAAAAATACTCAATTTATCCAAAAGAAGGTAGAAGAAAAGGAAAAAAAGAAACATGAAAGATAAAACTAATGGAAAACAGGGTGGAGCCAAGATGGCCGAATAGAAACAGCTCCAGTCTACAGCTCCCAGTGAGAGCGACACAGAAGATCGGTGATTTCTGCATTTCCAACTGAGGTACTGGGTTGATCTCACAGAGGAGTGCCGGACAGTGGGTGCAGGACAGTGGGTGCAGCGCACCATGCGTGAGCTGAAGCAGGGTGAGGCATTGCCTCACCCGGGAAGTGCAAGGGATCAGGGAATTCCCTTTCCTAGTCAAAGAAAGGGGTGACAGATGGCACCTGGAAAATCGGGTCACTCGCACCCTAATACTGCACTTTTCCAACAGGCTTCACAAATGGCACACCAGGAGATTATATCCCGCACATGGCTTGGAGGGTCCTACGCCCACGGAGCCTTGCTCATTACTAGCACAGCAGTCTGAGATCAAACTGCAAGGCAGCAGCGAGCCTGGGGAAGGGGCACCTGCCATTGCTGAGGCTTGAGTAGGTAAACAAAGCGGCCGGGAAGCTCGAACCCGGTGGAGCCCACCACAACTCAAGGAGGCCTGCCTGCCTCTGTAGGCTCCACCTCTGGGGGCAAGGCACAGGACAAACAAAAGACAGCAATAACCTCTGCAGACTTAAATGTCCCTGTCTGACAGCTTTGAAGAGAGTAGTGGTTCTCCCAGCATGCAGCTTGAGATCTGAGAACAGGCAGACTGCCTCCTCAAGGAGGTCCCTGACCCCCAAGTAGCCTAACTGGGAGGCATCCCCCAGTAGGGGCAGACTGACACCTCACACGGCCGGGTACTCCTCTGAGACAAGACTTCCAGAGGAATGATAAGGCAGCAGCATTTGCGGTTCACCAATGTCCGCTGTTCTGCAGCCACTGCTGCTGATACCCGGGCAAACAGGGTCTGGAGTGGACCTCCAGTAAACTCTAAAAGACCTGCAGCTGAGGGTCCTGACTGTTAGAAGCAAAACTAACAGAAAGGACATTCACACCAAAACCCCATCTGTACATCACCATCATCAAAGACCAAAGGTAGATAAAACCACAAAGATGGGGAAAAAACAGAGCAGAAAAACTGCAATCTCTAAAAATCAGAGCGCCTCTCCTCCTCCAAAGGAACACAGCTCCTCACCAGCAACGGAACAAAGCTGGATGGAGAATGACTTTGACGAGTTGAGAGAGGAAGGCTTCAGAAGATCAAACTACTCTGAGCTACAGGAGGAAGTTTGAACCAATGGCAAAGAAGTTAAAAACTTTGAAAAAAAATCAGACAAATGGATAACTGGAATAATCAATGCAGAGAAGTCCTTAAAGGACCTGATGGAGCTGAAAACCACGGCATGAGAACTACGTGACAAATGCACAAGCCTCAGTAACCGATGCGATAAACTGGGAGAAAGGGTATCAGCGATGGGAGATGAAATGAATGAAATGAAGCATGAAGAGAAGTTTAGAGCAAAAAGAATAAAAAGAAATGAACAAAGGCTCCAAGAAATACGGGACTATGTGAAAAGACCAAATCTACGTCTGATTGGTGTAACTGAAAGTGACGGGGAGAATGGAACCAAGTTGGAAAACACTGCAGGATATCATCCAGGAGAACTTCCCCAATCTAGCAAGGCAGGCCAACATTCAAATTCAGGAAATACAGAGAACACCACAAAGATACTCCTCGAGAAGAGCAACTCCAAGACACATAATTGTCAGATTCACCAAGGTTGAAATGAAGGAAAAAATGTTAAGGGCAGCCAGAGAGAAAGGTCGGGTTACCCACAAGGGGAAGCCCATCAGAATAACAGCTGATCTCTCGGCAGAAACTCTACAAGCCAGAAGAGAGTGGGGGCCAATATTCAACATTCTTAAAGAAAAGAATTTTCAACCCAGAATTTCATATGCAGCCAAACTAAGCTTCATAAGTGAAGGAGAAATAAAATCCTTTACAGACAAGCAAATGCTGAGAGATTTTGTCACCACCAGGCCTGCCCTAAAAGAGCTCCTGAAGGAAGTGCTAAACATGGAAAGGAACAACCGGTACCAGCCGCTGCAAAATCATGCCAAATTGTAAGGACCATCAATGCTAGAAAGAAACTGCATCAACTAATGAGCAAAATAACCAGCTAACATCATAATGACAGGATCAAATTCACACATAACAATACTAACCTTAAATGTAAATGGACTAAATGCTCCAATTAAAAGGCACAGGCTGGCAAATTGGATAAAGAGTCAGGACCCCTTAGTGTGCTGTATTCAGGAAACCCGTCGCATGTGCAGAGACACACATAGGCTCAAAATAAAGGGATGGAGGAAGATCTACCAAGCCAATGGAAAACAAAAAAAGGCAGGGGTTGCAATCCTAGTCTCTGATAAAACAGACTTAAACCAACAAAGATCAAAAGAGACAAAGAAGGCCATTACGTAATGGTAAAGGGATCAATTCTACAAGAACAGCTAACTATCCTAAATATATATGCACCCAATACAGGAGCACCCGGATTCATAAAGCAAGGCCTTAGTGACCTACAAAGACACTTAGACTCCCACACAATAATAATGGGAGACTTTAACACCCCACTGTCAACATTAGACAGATCCACCAGACAGAAAGTTAACAAGGATACCCAGGAATTGAACTCAGCTCTGCACCAAGCGGACCTAATAGACATCTACAGAACTCTCCACCCCAAATCAACAGAATATACATTCTTTTCAGCACCACACCACACCTATTCCAAAATTGACCACATAGTTGGAAGTAAAGCACTCCTCAGCAAATGTAAAAGAATAGAAATTATAACAAACTGTCTGTCAGACCACAGTGCAATCAAACTAGAACTCAGGATTAAGAAACTCACTCAAAACCACTCAACTACATGGAAACTGAACAACCTGCTCCTGAATGACTACGGGGTACATAACAAAATGAAGGCAGAAATAAAGATGTTCTTTGAAACCAACGAGAACAAAGACACAACATACCAGAATCTCTAGGGCAAATTCAAAGCAGTGTGTAGAGGGAAATTTATAGCACTAAATGCCCACAAGAGAAAGCAGGAAAGATCTAAAATTGACACCCTAACATCACAATTAAAAGAACTAGAGAAGCAAGAGCAAACACATTCAAAAGCTAGCAGAAGGGAAGAAATAACTAAGATCAGAGCAGAACTGAAGGAAATAGAGACACAAAAAAACCCTTCAAAAAATCAATGAATCCAGGAGCTGGATTTTTGAAAAGATCAACAAAATTGATAGACCACTAGCAAGACTAATAAAGAAGAAAAGAGAGAAGAATCAAATAGACACAATAAAAAATGACAAAGGGGATATCACCAACGATCCCACAGAAATACAAACTACCATCAGAGAATACCATAAACACCTCTATGCAAATAAACTAGAAAATCTAGAAGACATGGATACATTCCTCGACACATACACTCTCCCAAGACTAAACCAGGAAGAAGTTGAATCTCTGAATAGACGAATAACAGGCTCTGAAATTGAGGCAATAATTAATAGCTTACCAACTGAAAAAAGTCCAGGACCAGATGGATTCACAGCCGATTTCTACCAGAGGTAGAAGGAGGAGCTGATACCATTCCTTCTGAAACTATTCCAATCAATCGAAAAAGATGGAATCCTCCCTAACTCATTTTATGAGGCCAGCATCATCCTGACACCAAAGCCTGGCAGAGACACAACAAAAAAAGAGAATTTTAGACCAATATCCTTCATGAACATTGATGCAAAAATCCTCAATAAAATACCAGCAAACTGAATCCAGCAGCAGATCCAAAAGCTTATCCACCATGATCAAGTGGGCTTCATCCCTGGGATGCAAGGCTGGTTCAACATGTGAAAATCAATAAACATAATCCATCATATAAACAGAACTAAAGACAAAAACCACATGATTATCTCAATAGATGCAGAAAAGGCCTTTGACAAAATTCAACAACCCTTCGTGCTAAAAGCTCTCAATAAATTAGGTATTGATGGGATGTATCTCAAAATAATGAGAGCTATCTATGACATACCCACAGCCAATATCATACTGAATGGACAAGAACTGGAAGCATTCCCTTTGAAAACTGGCACAAGACAGGGATGCCCTCTCTCACCACTCCTATTCAACATAGTGTTGGAAGTTCTGTCCAGGGCAGTCAGGCAGGAGAAGGGAATAAAGGGCATTCAATTAGGAAAAGAGGGAGTCAAATTGTCCTTGTTTGCAGATGACATGATTGTATATCTAGAAAACCCCATCACCTCAGCCCCAAATCTCCTTAAACTGATAAGCAACTTAAGCAAAGCCTCAGGATACAAAATCAATGTGCAAAAATCACAAGCATTCTTATACACCAATAACAAACAAACAGAGAGCGAAATCATGAGTGAATTCCCATTCACAATTGCTTCAAAGAGAATAAAATACCTAGGAATCCAACTTACAAGGGATGTGAAGGACCTCTTCAAGGAGAACTACAAACCACTGCTCAATGAAATAAAAGAGGATACAAACAAATGGAGGAACATTCCATGCTCATGGGTAGGAAGAATCAATATCGTGAAAATGGCCTCACTGCCCAAGGTAATTTATAGAATCAACGCCATCCCCATCAAGCTACCAATGACTTTCTTCACAGAATTGGAAATAACTACTTTAAAGTTCATATGGAACAAAAAAAGAGCCCACATTGCCAAGTCAATCCTAAGCCAAAAGAACAAAGCTGGAGGCATCACACTACCTGACTTCAAACTATACTACAAGGCTACAGTAACCAAAACAGTGTGGTACTGGTACCAAAACAGAGATATAGACCAATAGAACAGAACAGAGCCTTCAGAAATAATGCCGCATATCTAGAACTATCTGATCTTTGACAAACCTGACAAAAAGAAGAAATGGGGAAAGGATTCCCTATTTAATAAATGATGCTGGAAATACTGGCTAGCCATATGTAGAAAGCTGAAACTGGATCCCTTCCTTACACCTTATACAAAAATTAATTCAAGATGGATTAAAGACTTAAATGTTAGACCTAAAACCATAAAAACCCTAGCAGAAAACCTAGGCATTACCATTCAGGACATAGGCATGGGCAAGGACTTCATGTCTAAAACACCAAAAGCAATGGCAACAAAAGCCAAAATTGACAAATGGGATCTAATTAAACTAAAGAGCTTCTGCACAGCAAAAGTAACCACCATCAGAGTGAACAGGCAACCTACAGAATGGGAGAAAATTTTTGCAACCTACTCATCTGACAAAGGGCTAATATCCAGAATCTACAATGAACTCAAACAAATTTACAACAAAAAAACAAACAACCCCATCAACAAGTGGGCAAAGGATATGAACAGACACTTCTCAAAAGAAGACATTTATGCAGCCAAAAAACACATGAAAAAATGCTCACCATCACTGGCCATCAGAGAAATGCAAATCAAAACCACAATGAGATACCATCTCACACCAGTTAGAATGGCAATCATTAGAAAGTCAGGAAACAACAGGTGCTGGAGAGGATGTGGAGAAATAGGAACACTTTTACAGTGTTGGTGGGACTGTAAACTAGTTCAACCATTGTGGAAGTCGGTGTGGCGATTCCTCAGGGATCTAGAACGAGAAATACCATTTGACCCAGCCATCCCATTACTGGGTATATACCCAAAGGACTATAAATCATGCTGCTATAAAGACACATGCACACGTATGTTTATTGCGGCACTATTCACAATAGCAAAGACTTGGAACCAACCCAGATGTCCAAGAATGATAGACTGGATTAAGAAAATGTGTCACATATACACCATGGAATACTATGCAGCCATAAAAAATGATGAGTTCATGTCCTTTGTAGGGACATGGATGAAGCTGGAAACCATCATTCTCAGCAAACTATCGCAAGGACAAAAAACCAAACACTGCATGTTCTGACTCATTGGTGGGAATTGAACAATGAGAACCCATGGACACAGGAAGGGGAATATCACACACCAGGGACTGTTGTGGGGTGGGGGGAGCAGGGAGGGATAGCATTAGGAGATATACCTAATGGCAAATGACCAGTTAATGGGTGCAGCACACCAACATGGCACATGTATCCATATGTTAGAAACCTGCACGTTGTGCACATGTACCCTAAAACTTAAAGTATATATATTAAAAAAAGGAAAACAAATAGTAATACTGAAAGCTTAACATATAAATAATTACATTAAATGTAAATACTTTAAATGTCTCAAGTGAAAATCGAGGATTCAAAAAAACTTTTAGGTTCAGGGGTACATGTGCTGGTTTGTTACATAGATAAACTTGTGTCACAGGAGTTTGTTGTACAGATTATTTCACTACCCAGGTATTAAGCTCACTACCAAATAGTCATTTTTTCTGCTCCTCTGTCTCTTCCCACCCTCTGCCCTCAAGTAGATCCCACTGTCTGTTGTTTCCTTCTTTGTGTTCATAAGTTCTCAATATTTAGCTCTCACTTATAAGTGAGAACATGCAGTATTTGGTTTTCTGTTCCTGCATTAGTTTGCTAAGGATAATGGCCTCCATCTCCATTCCATGTACCTGCAAAGGATGTGATCTTGTTCTTTTTTACGGACAAGCAGGGATTCTTTGATTAAGCAGCAAGACAGTGTGTATGCTGTCTACAAGAAATGCACTTAGGCTGGGTGCAGTGGCTCATGCCTGTAATCCTAGCATTTTGGGAGGCCGAGGTGGGTGGATCCCCTGAGGTCACGAGTTCAAGACCAGCTTGGCCAACATGGTGAAACCCCATCTCTACTAAAAATACGAAAAATATTAGCCAGGCATGGTGGCATGCACCTACCAGCTTCTTGGGAGGCTGAGGCAGGAGAAACACTGGAATCTGGGGGACGGAATTTGCAGTGAGCTGAGATTGCATCACTGCAGCCTGGGCACAGAGTGAGATTCTGTCTCCAAAAAAAAAAAAAAAAACAAAAACCAAAAAACAAAAAAACAAAAAAACAGAAAAAGAAATGCATTTTAAATATAAAGAAGTGAATAGGTTAATAGTAAAAGAATGAAAAAATATATCTTGCTTATACTAACCATAAAAATCAGGAGTGATTATATATAATCAGACAAAGCAGCTTTCAGAGAAAAGATTCTTACTAGGGAAAAAGATCATTTCGTAATGATAAATGGATCAGTTTATCAAGAAGACAACAATTCTTAGTCTTCATGCACCTAATAATAGGTCTTCAACATGCATAGCACAAGAAATGGATAGTACTGCAAGTATAGACAGACAAATCCACAATTTTAGTCATAGATACTAATACCGCTCAAATAGTTGATAGGATAATAGACAGAAATTTGGTAAAGAAGACTAAAAAATATTAAGATAAAAATTTTACACAAATGTATTTATAGATTCAATGCATTCTCAATAGAAGTTCCAGCAGACTTTCTGTGTGTGTGTGTGTGCGTGTATATGTATAAATAGACAAATTGATTCTAAAATTCATGTGGAAATGTATAGGACCTGGAATAGCCCAGACTGCTTTGAAAAAAAAGTAAAGTTGGAGGACTTGCATGACCTGATTTAAGACAATGTAATGCTGTATCATCAAGATAGCGTAGAGATTGTGGTTATGGTTTCCTGGTTGTATACTTACGTCAAAACTAATCACATTGTATACTTTAAGTGTGTGCAGTCTATTGTATATCAATTATACCTCAATCAAACTGTTAAAAATGATTATTGCTAAGAAATAATGAATTTCAAGTAATATCAATAATTCAAGAAAAAAAACACGAGAAAGTGACAGAGCTACACTTCTACTCTTAGCACAAGCAAGGTTAAAAACAACAAGCCAATAAAGTCAAACACTAAGTAGGCTGAAAAAAAATAAATTGATATGTAGATTGAAGACACAGTTATTTTTTTGAAGACACAGTTATTAATATATCACATTCTACTTGTTTTGCCTTGATATATTGATTAAAGCTTGTATGAAATGACCACCTGTTTCAAGATATTTAAAAATTATACATCCAAAACACCAAGTGAATCCTACGCAATTGATAAATGAGTATCAAGACTTATTTTGCAAGATAATCAGGCTCTCCTCCCCTCGACACCCCATTTAAAGATTTTTGTGCTTTGAGGGATAGCTTGTTTAGCTATGTTGGCCACTAAAACCTAGTCTTGAAGTGAGCTGGACTAAGAATCAGACTTAGATTAAAATCACAGTGATATTATCTTTAGTGATAGTAACAAGGATACTTGTTCTATCAATTCATAAAATAATTGTTTTAAAAATATGGCTTATTTCATCCTTATTTTTGAAAATCTCTTAATGTATTTATCATGTATATTATGTGAGTAGAGTTGTATATACATAAAATTTATAAGTGAGTATGCATATTCTAAGGAAGAATCCAAAGTAAAAACAAGTATCTTGGGAAAATTCATGAAGCATGCAAACTGTCCAAGTGAATGCTGCTGAATTCAGAGAATTTATGAGTGTGTTTCTTGCAGTTCACCCTGCAGGGCTAGTTCAAGTTTGAGCTTAATAATATAGGAACTTAATAGCCCTGAAAAATACAGCATTTGGACATGTTCTATTTTGTGTTTTATAGAAATGTTGTTGAGATGCTTGACCTACAATACAACTATTTATACTAAATCCGAAAAGACTTCAAAGTGAGAAAAATACTGGAAATTTTATCTAGTCCTACTGAATGGTGAGGGACATGCAGAATGTGGAATTAAGATCATGCCTGTATCTTTCCAATCAGTATGATTTATTAGGAGAAGCAAAAGCTTGAAAAGAGTCAAAGAACAATAGCCACACACCCAGAGCTTACTAAAACCTCCCTAAATCAGTTAAATAGCAAATTTATTGCAGTTTTTGTTGTGATTGAGGAAATATTTTGATTCATTATTTAAAAAAATCAAAATACACAACTGTATGATAATTATGTTTTCAAGTGTGTGTGCTAAATATTTTGATATCTGCCTTTCTAGTTTTATTTTTAAACAAACAGCAGTTGCCTTTGACATATGGAATTATATATTATTATGATTATGCTTTTAAAATCTATATACTTTATGAAAATTTTATGTGATCGTGTGTTTTCTTAAATATCAGAAAAATGTTCACAGATAAACATATAAGGGAAACTATATATCATTTCATATTTTTCACTTTTTATAAAATAAATATATTTTATTCAATATGATTTTAATTTTATAACTTTTCTGAGTTTTTTAATATAAAAATTCAGAAATTAGAAAGTCTCTTGCTAACTTTGTATACTTGATCTTTGATTTCAAATATAGAAACTAACATTATAGGACATTGATAGTGAGATGTATAATATATTCTTTGCATCTCTACAGGTAAGTTGTTTCAATTGCCATATTTTCCTCATTATAAAACATTTTCATATGTAATATAGAAGGCATAACTTGTACTCTCTTGTCTGTCCTTTACTCTCTTTTAAAAATTGTTATATTAGTATGACCAGACATTTCTCAAAAGAAGACATACAAGCAGCCAACAAATATATGAAAAAATGATTAGTATCACTAATTGTCAGAGAGATGAAAATCAAACCCACAGTGAGATTCTATCTGACACCTCTCAGAATGACTATTACTAAAACTTCAGAAAATAACATGTGTTGGCGAGGTTGTGGATAAAAGAGAACACATACATTGTTGGTGGGAATATAAATTAGTTTTGCCCCTGTGGAAAATAACTTGGAGATTTCTAAAAAAACTAAAGATAGAATTACTATTCAACCCAGCAGTCCCCTTCCTGGGTATATACCCAAAGGAAAATAAATCATTCTACCAAAAAGATACCTCCACTCATATGTTTATTGCAGCACTATTCACATTAGCAAAGACATGGAATCAGCCCAGGTGTCCATCAACAGTGAACTGGTAAACTGGATAAAGAAAATGTGATACATATACACCATGAAATACTACACAGCCATAAAAAGAAAGAAATCATGTCCTTTGCAGTAACATGGATGGAGCTGAAGGCCATTATCCTAAGCAAATTAAAGCAGAGGCAGAAAACTAAATACCGCATGTTCTTAGTTATAAATGGGAGCTAAACGTTGGGTACACATGGACACAAAGATGAGAACAATGAACACTGTAGATTCCAAAAGGCAGGAGGGAGGAGGAAGCCAAGGGTTGCAAAAACTACCTATAGGGTACTATGTTCACTATTTGGGCGATGGCATTATGAGAAGCCCAAACCTCAGCATCATGCACTATATCCATGCAATAAATCTGCACATGTACATATCCCCTGAATCTAAAATTTAAAAATAGATAAAGTTGTCATATTAGGGATGCATGCTTTTTTTTGATAATAGCCTTATTGAGGAGAGATGACATATGACAAACTACACATTCCTAAAGCATACAAGTTTGGGTGTATGATGCACCCACGAAATCATGACCACAGTCAAGATAGGGTGCATATCTATTACCCCCAAAAGTCTTCTCATGCTTCTTTGTCATTCCTCCCTTTCAGGCTGCACAAGCCTCCTCCTCACCTCCACTATGTCCTTAGGCAACCACGGATCTACTTTCTATCACTATAGGTTAATTTACATTTTCTATAATTTGGCATACATGGAATTACACAGTAAGTACTACTTTTTGTCTGATTTCTTTCACCCAGCATAATGATTTTGAAATCCTTCCATGGTTTTAGTATATACTAATAATTCTCTTCTTTTTATTGCTCAGTAGTATTCCATTACAGGATATACCACAATTTGTTCATTCATTTACTTGTTGAGGGAGTTTTAAACTGTTTATAGTGTTTGGCTGTTACAAATATATTTCTTATAAATATTTATGTACAATACTTTGTGGTATGTTCATCTTTAACTTTTTTTTTTCTTTGAGATAGAGTCTTGCTCTGTCACCCAGGCTGGAGTGCAATGGCCTGATCTCGGCTCACTGCAACCTGCGCCTCCCAGGTTCAAGTGATTCTCCTGCCTCAGCCTCCTGAGTAGCTGGGATTACAGGCGTGTGCTACCACGCCAGGCTAATTTTTGTATTTTTAGTAGAGAGAGGGTTTCACCATGTTGGTCAGGGTGGTCTTGAACTCCTGACTTCGTAATCCACCAGCCTCGGCCTCCCAAAGTACTGGGGTTACAGGCATGAGCCACCACGCCCGGCCACATCTTCAACTTTTACAGAAGCTTCCAGACAGTTTCCAGAGCAGTTCTACCATTTTCCGTTATCGTTAGCAGGATACAGGAGTTGTAGTACTGCCATATTCTTGCCAATACTTCATATGCTTACTTACTTTTTTTTTTTTTTAGCTGCTTTAATGGGTGCATAGTGGTATATGGTTGTGGTTTAATTTGCATTTTCCTAATGACTAATACTGAATATTGTTTCATATGCTTTCTTGTCACTCATTTTTTTTTTGTTTAAGTATCTGTTTAAATCTTCTGTCCTCCACCTTTTTAAAAACTGAGTTTTTTCGTTTCTTATTGCTGAATTTTGAGGGTTCTTTACATATTCTGAAAACAAGTCCTTTTTCAAATATATGCTTTGCAAACGTTTTCTACATGTCTGTTGCTTGTCTTTTCATTGTCTTAAGGATGTCTGTCAAGGAGAAATTTTAAATTTTGATGAGGTCCAATTTATCAATTTGTTCTTTTGTAAATCATGATTTTGGTGACATATCTGAGAAGTATTTGCCTAACCGAAGTCAAAAAGGCTTTCTGCTGTGGTTTTCTTCTGAAAGTTTTTTTAGTTTTTACATTTAGGTCTGTGACCCATTTTGAGTTAACATATGTGGTGTGAGCTGTGGATCAAAGTTCTGTTCTGCATCGTTGCAGCAGCATTTGTTTAAAACATTTTCCTTGCTCCACTGAATTGTCTTTGTGTCTTTATTGAAAATCAAGTGTCCATATATGTTTGGGCCTCTTTCTAGACTCTCTGTATTCTATTACAGTGATCTTCTTGTTTATCTTTATGGCAATGTCTTACATTCTTGATTACCGAAGCTTTTAGTGAGTCTTTAAATCAGGTAGTATTCATCCTTCAATTTTGGTCTTCTTTTTCAAGTTCATTTGGGTATTCTAGGTACTCTGCCTTTCCATATGAGTTGTTAGAATCAGTTTGATTATTTCTACAAAAAAAAGCCTGCTTGGATTTTGATCATGATTTGATTGAATTTATAGATCAGTTTGGGAAAAATGGACAGTTTTACAATATTACGTCTTCTGATTCATAAGCATGGTACATCTTTTCATTTATTTAGGATTTTCTCAGTTTCTGTTAACATTATCTTTTAGTTTTATGTGTTCATGTCTTGCATATATTTTATCCTATTTATTCCTAGTAATTTCATACTTTTGGTGCTATTGTAAATGACATATTAAAAAATTTCAACTTCTAATTTTTCTTTTTCTGGAAAGTTGAAATATAATTTATTTTTGTGTGTTAATTTTGTATCCTGCAGCTTTTCTAAATTCATGTATTAGTTCTAGTTGCTTTATTGTACATTCCATTGTGTTTTGTGTTTTTTACATAGACAATCATGTCATCTGTGAAACCGACATCTTTACTCCTTTTTTTTCCAAACTGAATGCCCTTTAGTTATTTTTCTTACCTTATTGCCCTTGCCAGAATCTCCAGTATAATGTTGAATGTAACTGGTCAGAATTGACATCCTTGCTTTGTTTCTATTCTCAGGGAAAACATTCTGTCTTTTATCAATACTTTTGATGTTAGCTGTTTGTTTTATGTAGCTGCCTTTTATTGAGTTGAGGAAGTTTTCTTCTACCTGTATTTGGCTAAGTTTTTATCAGGAATAATGTTGGATTTTGTCAAATGTACTTTCTGTATCTACTGAGATGATAATATAGTTTGTTTTCAATGTTAGAACATGAAGGTGAATTACATTAATGTTTGAGTGCTGAACCAACTGTGCATTCCTGAGATACACTCAAGTTGATCATGATGTATTATCATTATTGTAAAACGTTGAAATCATTTTGCTAAAAATTTTCTTAGAATTTTTATATCCGTGATCATAAGAGTTATTCATCTGTAGTTTTCTTTTCTTACAACATCTTTGATTTTTTGTACCAGAATAATTCTTGTGTCGTGAATGGGTTGTAAACTATTTCTTCAGGTTTCACATTTCTCCAAGAGTTTGTGTAGAATACTATTTATTTGTTAAGTGTTTGGCAGACTTCAACAGTGAAGTTATCTGGGCTTGGAATTTTGTTTTTGGAAAAGCTTTTAACTCTAAAAACTATCTAATTGATATGGGTCTATATAGGTTGTCGATTTCTTCTTGAGTGAGCTTTGGTAGTTTGTGTCTTTCAAAGAATTTGTCCATTTCATCTAAGTTATTGCATTTATTAGCATAAAGTTGTTTATGATATTTCCTTATCTATAGAATCTGTAGTGATTTCACTTCTCTCATTCCTGAGACTGATAATATTAATAATTTGTTCTCTGTCTCGCTCTCTTTCTTGCACGTGTGCGTGTGTGTATGTGTGTGTGTGTGTGTGTGTGTGTGTGTGTGTGTAAAATGTCTGGCTAGAAGTTTATCAATATTTTTGGAAAATATAAAGAACCAGATTTTGGTCTCATTGTTTTTCTCTTATTTTTCTGTTTCTATTTCATTTACTTCCACTTTCATCTTCATTATTTCTTCTTCTACGTTTCAGTTTAATTTGCTGTTCTAATTTTTCAAAATAGATGCTAAGATAATTCATTTGAGGCTTCCTTCTTCTGCTCCTCCTGCTCTTTATTTTTGAAATAGGTCTTCAGTGCTATAAATTTTGTCCCAATTACTGCTTTAGAAGCATTCCTCAAAGTTTGATATGTTGTGATTTTATTTTCATTGAATTAAAACAATTTATAATTTTTATTAGTTTCTTCTTTGACATGGGTTATTTATGAGGATGTTATTTTATTTCTACATATTTTTAGATTTTTCCAGAGATATTTCTGTTGTTGATTTTATTTTAATTTCATTGTGTTCAGAGAACATACTTTATCTGACCTGAATTCTTTCACATTTATTGAGACTTATGTTATGACCCAGAGTATAATCTGTCTTTGTAAATGTTTCATATGCACTTGAAAAAAACGTGTATTTTGCTGTTGTTGGGAGGAGCGTCCTAAAAATGTCAATTAGGTCAAGACATTTGTTTATAATTTTCAAGTCTTCCATCCTTAATGATATTCTGTCTACTTTTTCTATCAATTATAGCTGGCTATAATTGTGGTTGTCTACTTCTACTTGCAGTCCTGTCTCTTTTTTTTGCTTCATATATTGTTAACCTCTATTATCAGGTACTTAAATGTTTAGGATTTTAAAAATCTTTTGCTTGGCACATAATGGACAAAGCTTTTCCATGTATCTTAGCAAGATACATGGAAGGATACGTGCAAAATGTAACAAAATGTAACACAGCATAATCTACTTGGATATGTCTTCATTTCATATGCTCCATCCTGCACTTCTTTTTGTTTTACAAGGCAATATTGGAGATATGATCGTTCCTCTTCCTACAAGTATTAGCCTGACTAATGTTAAACTTACGTTCTGTTTCTGGTGTTATGTGTCTATTACTTTCTAGGTGTCCAACATTTAAATTCAAAGCTCAATCATCAAAATCAAAGATATTTTATGTAATCAATTTCAAGGGTATTTTATATGGCAATTAAACTCTACACATGTAGTTTCAACACTATACAGACTCCATTGAAGAGATGACAATGTCGGTAATGATGACCAAGTTTGTGCATGTGTAGGCAATGTCAATTATGCATTGATTGCTATCTAAATGATACTAAGCATAAGACATATACCTTGATGTTTAAATGTGAAAAAATTTATTTTAAGTCTATGAAATATGGTTCATGCCAGATAGGAGTATTGTATTCTATATAGTGATGGATGAATCAGCCAAGTTACTGTCCCCATAGAGCTTATGTTCTAGTGTGTATAGGCCAATATGAAATAAGCACAAAATAAATGAGACAATTCTTACCCATGGTATATACTAAGAAGAAAAGAAAGAGCAATGCAGTAGTAGGTTAAAGGGGTAGGGTGAAGGTGCTATTAATTGGGTTGTCAGTGAAGGCCTTTCTGAGGATGTCATGAGTGAGATGAATGACACTGAGACCTGAATAGGGAGAGGAAGCCATTGGGGATGACATTGGGGAAGAGCATTTGAAGCAGAGGGAGCAACAAGTAGAAGGGCTCTTGATCAGGCATGAGCTTGGTGCTGGAGAAACATAAAGAAAATTAGCATGGCTGGAGTTTAGTGAGTAAGAATGGTAGCAGGTGAAGGTAGAGAAGTGGGTTGTGAGGCTGTTTTTGCTTTAGTTTCTCTAAAGTTGAACCAGAAGATTAAGTATTCTTTTAGAAAAACACATTAGACACATTACTGCACGTGGATGTGTTTCATTTCAACCCTGTGTGGGGACTAAAAAAAGAAGGAAATAAGCCGAGCCTCCCAGGGTGCTTAGCATCTGTACTACATGCAATTTAGCACTTGGATATATGTTTCCATGTGCTACTTGCAAATTGTGTAATCTGTTTTAGCCTTGTCACTCTGAGGGGAAAGGGCCATGTTATATTGGTTCAATTAGTATGATATGGCTTCTCAAGGGATAGTTATGGCTTGGGTGAGGCAGGGGGTAGAAGAGGTTTGATGCAAAATCAGCATGTTTCCTGGCAATTACATTAACCAGTTAGCACTTAAAAGGAGCATCATTGGAACATCTTTCTGGAGGGCAATCTTGAAATACGTATCAACCAATCCAAGTTTTTTTTTAATGCTTTTATTTTGAAAAGTACATGAAAGAAATGATCAGGGCAAAGATGCTTCAACAGGGATGTTCATTGAACTGCTTTTTTTGTAATAGCAAAAAAGTTGTCAACAAGTTAACGTTGGAAAACAGAGTTACTACAAAATATTATTTAGTACTAAATTTGTGAGGTAGATTTATGCTTTTTGACATAAATGGTGTCTAAAGTATTTTAAATGTAAAATATGGGCAGAAGCAGAGTATAATTCCACCTTTGAGAAACAATAAGTTTGTTTATGTGAGAAAAGAAGAAGAAAAAATACCTGGCCATCTACAAATATCAAAACTGCGGTTGTTTCTTTGTAGTGGGGCTATACATAGGCTTCTTTTTATCTTTACAGATGTTTATATTGTCTGAGCATTTTACAATGATATACATTTTGTACATAAGATTATTAGAAAAAACTTCTATTTCTATGTTGAAAAATAACACAAGGCAAGCTGCTTGTTGAGCAGGAGTTGAGTTAAAGGGTAAAACAGTTTATGAGGTAATGCCAAGAACACACTTGGGGCACATCCAGAAGAAAGTGGTTCTGGCATTACACTTGACACATAATAGAAAACAAATGGTGAGTAGTTGTTATGGGTTGAACTGTGTCCCCTACAAAATCCGTATGTTGAAGTCCCAACCCATAGTATCTCAGAATGTAACCATAGTTGGAAATATCGGATGCCGAGCGCAGATCGCGTGCAGCTCGCTAGCGGTGTTGGCTGAGAGGTCTAGAAGGGCTAGACTTGCTAGAGGATGACTTTGGCTAGAGATTTACTACCTCCGTCCTTGGAAGAGGAAAAGAAAAAACATAAAAAGAAACGGCTAGTGCAAAGTCCACATTCTTACTATATGCATGTAAAATGTCCAGGTTGCTACAAGATTACCACGGTTTTCAGCCATGCTCAGAGAGTGGTTCTTTGTGTAGGTTGTTTAACAGTGTTGTGCCAGCCTACAGGAGGAAAGGCCAGCCTCACAGAAGGGTATTCATTTAGAGGAAAGCAACACTAATGATCCACACAGCTTCCTGAATTCGTGTTATCTTTCAGAAAGCCTTATCGTAAGTTCCATAATTTGAATTAATCTACCAAGATAATGTAATTACATTTGGTTTTGTAAGGTATACAACAGTGATCTCCCATTTTGATGTCAGGCTTTCAATAAAGTTTTGGTTATGGGGAAAAAAAAGAAATGTCACCTTTACAGAGGCAATTAAGTTAAAACGAGGCAGGTAGGGTGGGTCCTGCTTCTAGTATGGATGTGCACAAAAGGAGGAAAGTCCATGTGAGGACGCAGTGAGAAGGCAGCCATCTGCAAGCCAAGGAGAGAGGCTTCAGGAGAATCCAAACCTACTGACACCTGGATCTTGGACTCGTAGCCTTCAGAACTGTGAGACAGTGAATTTCTGTTGTTTAAGCCGCCCAGTTCATGGTATTCTGTATGGCAGCCTTAACAGACTCATACAGTGGTCAAAAAATGATGGCTGCTATTATTAAGAAGAGTTATTCAACACTAGGCACTGCACTAAGGACTTTACATGCATTATCTTATTTCTTCATCACATAATCTTATGAATTAGATTCTATGATTCATACATATTTTGCAAAAAAAGTAACTGAGGCTTAAGGGTCTTAACTAATTCATTGCATAGCTAGCAATGTGGCAGAGCTAGGTTTTGAATGTTGGTTGTCTGATGCTGTAACTTCTGCCCTTAGGCGCTGCACTAATATTAGTATGACTTTGTGACAGTACACAAAGTTAGGATCCAAGAAAGTTAACATGGCAACACCAATAAAATGGCACATGATTTCACTCTAGGTAATAAATGTATACAATATTTATATCTTTTTTTGTTGAATTGAAAAACTCTTCCTCTTTATTACAAGGTAAAGAGATTTCATGATATTTTATTTGTTTGGTTGTGAACTACTAGGGGTATAATCCCATATAACTCAGTGGGAAGAGTAGTTGAGTACTAGAACTGGGACCAGGTCTCTTGGAAACTAAATAGAGACAAAGAACAAATAAAGGAAGCTGCCATTTGGAATTTGAAACCCTTAAATATTCAGTGCCCCATTACAGTTTGCTTGGCTCTTAACTTCGGGATGCTCTGTCATAAACACTTCAAGTCAATCTTCCGAGGAAGGTCTTACCGTCAGTGAAGAAACTTAGGTTCTGAGAGATGAAGCAACTTTTCTGAACTCACAGGTCTGGTCAGTGTTTTTTATCTCCAAAGTCAGACTGGGAGTGTGGACATACATCTTCTTGCTCCCCAGCCATGCGTGAAGAGGACGGCCGTGTTTATCCAGGGAATTAACCCTTTCTCTGTTACCATTAATTTCTACTTATTTTATGTTCACTCTTTAGAAGATATTCTGCATTTGACTGTATAGAGGAAAGTCTGAGTTCCTGGCCCCTCAAAACTTTGAACTTCAGATAACTGAAACTTGGAAAGTTTACTTTCCAGAAATAACTTATTGGAGACTAATTTGGAGAAAATAGGGAATCCCTCTTGTAATTCAAGAGCTTAATAACACCAAGATTGAATCATTTAGTGAATGCTTGCAATGTGCCAGGAACCATGAAATGCACTTTCCCGTTAAACATGAGGCATGTATTTCTCCAGCTTCTGGGAGGGTTGGCTGCTAACAGCTCAGAGCTGAGCCTCTCTCTAGGAATTTCCTTTAACCAAGTGGGTGGCCCTTATCCAGTGACTAGTTGATTAGGGTATGAAAGAAACAGTATAGCTCTAGAGAGCCATGCAGAGATCCCCCTAGAGTTGGCTGGGGCTTCTCTATGGGTTATCTTCTCCCTCTGTCCAGTCCTTGTTCCTCTAACTGCTTTCTAATACACCTCCTGCACTTGAATCTCCACCTTAAAGTCTAGTTCCTAGCAAACCTGATGTAAGTCAGAAGCCAAATAAAATTTCATCCATCCATCCATCCATCCATCCATCCATCCATCCATCCATCTGTCCATCACTCCCTTGACTTATTTACCAGATACTATTAAACACCTGTGATTTGCCAGGCAATATTCAAGGTCTTAAGGGTATAGTGGAATTCCTGCAATTCCTGAAAGCAAGATCTCTGTTCTTATAGAGTTTCTTACTGTTTCTATGTTTAAAAAGTGCTTTAAGCTAGGAGAAAGGCTTAGCACCATATCATTATTAAATGCTCTATAGTTGTTATCTTCTGATTAAATGATAAAAAAATTACCCCAGTCAGTATAAATCCTGATTTGGGTTACATCATCTCCCACCCTGAATTACTAAATAGGATCTTCCTAGGTGTTTCCTAACTAAAATCCCTTCATCTCAGTCTGCCCTGACTTTTCTCTTCTTCAAAAGCACGTCTGATAATTTAAAGCATTCTCCTTAGCTACCTAATACAATGCAGTTTTCACAGGGTGGCAAGCAGGCTCTTTATAAACTGGTTCCATTCAATTTTTTCAGCTTAAACTCTGATTACTGGTCTACTATAACCCAACTTCTTTCCATTAGACCCCACTGATACCTCTTTTCCTTCTCTGTATAGAATAATTGCTATGATCATATTATTTCCTGTTCCTGAGACTTTCTACATTATTTTCTCTTTCTGAGAGGCCACTCTGTCTCCCAGGTCATCTGCAGTGTCCCCATTAACATTTCTATTTACTAATCTTCTGGCTTGAATATCACCTTTTAAGTTTTTATTGTTAACTGTCCCCCAAATATCAACTGAACATGGTAGGACCATTTCTTTCTCTTCCATTCTCCCATGATATTTTGTGTAGCCATCCTTTGTACATGTTACCACTTTGCATTGCAGCTACTTATTTGTGTCCTTCTCCCTTAATGAACTGTTACATCCTTGAGTGCAATGACTATGCCTTGTTAATTTTTTTTTTTTCCAGATGGAGTCTTGCTCTGTCGCCCAGGCTGGAGTGCAGTGGTGCCATTTCAGCTCGCTGCAACCTCCGCCTCCCAGGTTCAAGCGATTCTCCTGCCTCAACCTGCTGAGTAGCTGGGATTACAGGCACGTGCCACCATGCCTAGCTAATTTTTGTATTCTTAGTAGAGATGGGGTTTCACCATGTTGGCCAGACTGGTCTCGAATTCTTGACCTCATGATCCACCTGTCTTGACCTCCCAAAGTGCTGAGATTACAGGCGTGAGCCACCGCGCCCAGCGTTAATTTTTATATCTGTAGAACTTTACAATATGTATACAGCAAAAACTGGATATATTGCAGTTGAATGCATTTCTCATTCATCCAATTCACTATTGGAGATACAACATTAGCATTTCATTCCAATGAATTTCTTTTAAACAATGAAAGTAATATTTTCATATTAGTTCCGCTAGGGTAAATTTCAACTGAGGAGAAATGGATACACGTTGGTGTTAGCTCTTTTCCTTTATTTAAATGATCTATTTCTTTGTTTTGGCTGCTATTTACCATTGTCTTGTTGCAATGACTTAGTTCATAATGCAAATCTCTTCAGTCAATAGATACGCTTGAAATAGTTAGCTTGTGGTATGCTGTTTGAATAATTTTTCATCACATTCAGCCGTCCATCTGCATACCAAGCACTGTGGAAGGGATGTGGGGGCTTCTGTTGGGAGAGGGGAACGACAGGAGAAGAAAAATTATAATGAAGACAAGGAGAAGGAAAATCTGGAAATCTTTTCCAGTTTGGCAGTGGCAATCATGGGTACCATAAGTAGTAACAGTTTAATTTTAATTTTTAAGACTGGTTGTTTTCCCTGAAGACCTGCAGATATGCAATAGGTACTGACTGGTATGTAAAAGTAGAAATGGCATTAGCTTTATCCCTTGACTCCTTCCCTTCTACTTCCCCTTTCACTCATAATTAGGCACCTTGTGGATCATTAAATCTACTGTGATCCCCCTGTCTCCCCACATTGCACCTGCCTCTCCATGTCCTCCCCTACATCATGCCCCTGAAATGCTCCTATTTAGTGTCCAAATGTCACCTCTTCCATCAGCCTTCTCAGACTCCCCACAAAGCAGAACCATTTGTTTTTTTATTTTGTAATCTTATGTTAGTTTGTCTGTCCCAATATTTTTATTCAGGTAACAACATCTAATTATTTGTTTGTATGCCTGTCTCTCCTTTACAATCATTGGCTCCAAAGAGAGGATGTCTTACCTTGGCATTCTTAGCAGTTCCATAGGAATGGAATAAAACGGTTGCTAGGTATATATGCACAGAATAAATGATTAAATGATTCAGAAGAAATACTGAGGGTTTCTTTTTTGCATATTACCTAACACAAGTCTTCTAAAATGTCCAACCATTTCAACAATAATTAGTCTCATTGAAGAATGTTATGAAATGGTTAGTACATGGAAAAAGCACATTATAATTAGAAATACCATATATGTTTTTCTGTTTGTTTCTCTTCTGCCAAGAAATAAAAGCATTTTTATAATTTAAGCCAGAAAACTTTGTTTTTGGATGTAAGTGGATATCATTAGATGTGGCATAAACCTTTTCATATGTTGAGCATTTCAGAAACTAGAGCTTATATGTAACTTAAAATGTGAATGATGAAAACTTCATGGAATCTAATTCTTCATGGAAATAAATGGTCCAAGTGTGCACAGTAGTCAGAATGTGAGGATTGCATCAGATAGTATGTGTTATGTGATATATATTATATTTTGTGTATATTTAATGAGTTTTGTGATTGATCATTATTGTCCCACCATGTCCATTACTTCTTTAAAAATATTGGCCAATGGCTAGTTTAACCTTGTGTATACCTGCTCATTCTAAAATCTTTCTCTTGTTACTTTTCAGTATTATGAGTTTTTTATTTTGAGGAGGAAAGAACATGTTGATCAAACTTCTACATAATCTCCTCCCCTGAACCATTTGCAAAATATAAAATGTATGTCAGTGGCCCATATCAGCTATAAATGTTGAATGATACGGGTGAATTAGCTTTCCCTTAAACAAAAGTTCTGTACTCACCAATTGTACTATTTAAAATTCAGTTTCCAGACTAGCTTACAAAAGTTCTGTACTCACCAATTGTACTATTTACAATTCAGTTTCCAGACTAGCTTCTGCTAAAGTGGAAAACCATTTCTGTCTAATCTCTTTCACTGAGTTAAAAAACAAACAGAACTTTCTGAATATTTTAAATGGTGGCTTTGAAGAATAAGGTCTGGTTATTGAAACAGAAATCCCCTAGAACTCACCAGAACATAGGGCACTGAAACTGGAAGAAATGTAATTCTGATGTATGGTTGTACTTTGAGGCAAGCTGAACTCAAGAGGTGTTCGGGGAATTGTAAACCAAAACGTTCCGTCTTGAGTATTCAGTCAGGGTTAATGGAAGGAAAAGTGTCAGAGTCCCAGCTAAGGCAGCTGGTCCCTAAGGTCTGCTGTAGGTTACAGTGTCATCTGCTTGGGTCTCTTAGGAGGTATGCAATTGACAGGGTGATAAGAAGCAAACTGGAGAGAGAAACAAGCTGTAGACTAAGAAACAGCACCAACAAGCTGATTTGGCTCAAATGCAATACTCTATCTTGAAAATATCACGATACTATCACTGGTGTGTGTGTGTATGTGTGTGAGTGAGAGAGTAAGATTATGTATTTACAATTTTGTTTTCCCAATAGACAGTGAATTCTTGGAGGGCCAACTTTTGTATCTTTAGTGACAAGGACAATGGGACACACATGTCCCTACTCTCTGACACCTCCCAAACATGCAGATATGTAGGAAAAGAATTAGTTTCTTGCCTTTAATCCTACATTGATTTGACAGGCACTCAACTAATTATTGCAGAAGAAACACAAGGAGGGAGGAAGGAAGGAAACTTTATTCTGAATCTTGACTTTTCCAATAATCTTGACTTAATCTTGCCTTTTTGTTGGGCAAGTCAATTCTTGTATCTCAGATTCTTCATCTGCAAAATGGTTAGGCAAGGCTAGATCCATTTCATAAGCATTTTCCAGAATTAATATTTTATGGTTCCATTGAAATCTATAAGTATGAAAAGAAATAAAATTATAAAATGAATTTGCTGGGGAAGTACTTTATCCAATCCAATGTTGAGGAAGTAAGTGGTACTAATATCTGCTGCCATTTTCAAGCTTACTTATTATCAGTCTTTAGTGAAACACATGGGCTGCCCTGAAGCTCATGTCACTGGGCTGTCAGAGGGGAGTGAAACTGAGGGGGACAATTCAGAGAAAGTTACTTCTTCGGTTTCACAGAAAACTCAAATGATGTCCAGCCTAGGTACCTTCCTTTTCAACAATGCCAGCACTTTTTAGGGGATAAAGAACTGCTTATGGAGGGCTTTCAGAATCACAGAGAATAGTCATGTGACACAGGGCAAATTTTTAAGAACAGGTCCTGGTTTTAATATTTCTGAAAAAATGTCTAAAGTTTGTATAAGCTGTAGGAACTATACAGAAGCTGAGAATATTGATGATGATGATTATTATTATTATTATAGATGTTCTTTATTATTATAATTACTTCATCTTTTAAGTGGAGATGCCCAACCCATTATCATTATTCTCTGACAGAAGCTCATAAAAAATTTTACTAATGCATTATTAATACATTTTAAAATCTTGTGATAAACTCAATTTCATGTAGGAAGAGATGATGCTAAAGTAGATAGCACAGGAATTTTGGGACCATATATACATATGAAATAAACACCAACTCAATCTTTTATTGTATATGACATGTTGGCAAATCAATAAATATCTCTGTCCCTATGTGTTTGTTAATACAAATAAAAGAAAAAATACACACACAGAAAATAAATATCTATGAACCTCAGTTTACTCTGTGTAAGTTTGTCTTCGTATTTCAATATCAGTGCATCTTGGAGGATTAACCAAGAAAACACATGGTCACCTTCTAGTAGAGTGTTGAGAACAAAGCAGACATTAGGTTTTGCACCCCAAATTTATTGAAATACCCATTATTTCCCAACAATAAAATAAGAAAACACAATCTCTGTCTTTATGAATATTACTGTTTAGTTAATTCCTTTAAACTTCCCATGTTTCTGAATTAACAGAGAACATATACTCAAGGGAATATGTATTAGGATGATGAATATTGACAAGGGTAGCATGGACTTGCCAGTCAAGAACAATGGTCTCTGTTCTAGGGTACAGGCAAAAAAAAAAAAAAAAAAATCCAATGGCAAAAAGAACCCAATGCCAAAAGGGGCTAACATGATTGAAGAGCAGCCTAAGTCAATCTTCATACTTTGGTGGCAAAAATTATATTTGAAAATAACAAAGTTAATTATTTGAATATAGCCTGTTACTAGACTCAGTTATTTAAAGATCACAGGGGGTGGAGCCAAGATGGCCAAATAGGAACAGCTCCAGTCTACAGCTCCCAGCATGAGCGACGCAGAAGACGGGTGATTTCTGCATTTTCAACTGAGGTACTGGGTTCATCTCACTGGGGAGTGTCGGACAGGGGGTGCAGGGCAGTGGGCACAGTGCACCGAGCATGAGCCAAAGCAGGGCGAGGCATTGCCTCACCTGGGAAGCACAAGGGATCAGGGAATTCCCTTTCCTAGTCAAAGAAAGGGGTGACAGACGGCACCTGGAAAATTGGGTCACTCCCACCCTAATACTGCGCTTTTCCAATGGTCTTAGCAAACGGCACACCAGGAGATTATATCTCGCGCCTGGCTCAGAAGGTCCTACGCCCATAGAGCCTTGCTCATTGCTAGCACAGCAGTCTGAGATCAAACTGCAAGGAGGCAGTGAGGCTGGAGGAGGGGCGCCCGCCATTGCCGAGGCTTGAGTAGGTAAACAAAGCAGCTGGAAGCTCGAACTGGGTGGAGCCCACTGCAGCTCAAGGAGGCCTGCCTGCCTCTGTGGACTCCACCTCTTGGGGCAGGGCATAGCTAAACAGAAGGCAGCAGAAACCTCTGCAGACTTAAATGTCCCTGTCTGACAGCTTTGAAGAGAGTACTGGTTCTCCCAGCATGCAGCTTGAGATCTGAGAATGGACAGACTCCCTCCTCAAGTGGGTCCCTGACCCCCGAGTAGCCTAACTGGGAGGCATCCCCCAGTAGGGGCAATCTGACACCTCACACAGCTGGGTACTCCTCTGAGACAATACTTCCAGAGGAACGATTAGGCAGCAACATTTGCTGTTCACCACTATCTGCTGTTCTGCAGCCTCTGCTGCTGACACCCAAGCAAACGGTCTGGAGTGGACCTCCAGCAAACTCCAACAGACCTGCAGCTGAGGGTCCTGTCTGTTAGCAGGAAAACTAACAAACAGAAAGGACATCCACACCAAAACCCCATCGGTACGTCACCATCATCAAAGACCAAAGGTAGTTAAAACCACAAAGATAGGAAAAAAACAGAGCAGAAAAACTGAAAACTCTAAAAATCAGAGCGCCTCTCCTCCTCCAAAGGAATGCAGCTCCTCACCAGCAATGTAACAAAGCTGGACGGAGAATGACTTTGACGAATGGAGAGAAGAAGGCTTCAGACGATTAAACTACTCCAAGCTAAAGGAGGAAGTTTGAACCCATGGCAAAGAAGTTAAAAACCTTGAAAAAAAATTAGATGAATGGCTAACTAGAATAACCAATGCAGGGAAGTCCTTAAAGGACCTGATGGAGCTGAAAACCATGGCATGAGAACTACGTGACAAATGCCAAGCCTCAGTAGCCAATTCGATCAACTGGAAGAAAGGGTATCAGTGATGGAAGATCAAATGAATAAAATGAAACGAGAAGAGTTTAGAGAAAAAAGAATAAAAAGAAATGAACGAAGCCGCCAAGAAATATGGGACTATGTGAAAAGACCAAATCTACATCTGATTGGTGTACCTGAAAGTGACGGGGAGAATGGAACCAAGTTGGAAATCACTCTGCAGGATATTATCCAGGAGAACTTCCCCAATCTAGCAAGGCAGGCCAACATTCAAATTCAGGAAATACAGAGAACGCCACAAAGATACTCCTCGAGAAGAGCAACTCCAAGACACATAATTGTCAGATTCACCAAAGTTGAAATGAAGGAAAAAATGTTAAGGGCAGCCAGAGAGAAAGGTCGGGTTACCCACAAGGGGAAGCCCATCAGAATAACAGCTGATCTCTCGGCAGAAACTCTACAAGCCAGAAGAGAGTGGGGGCCAATATTCAACATTCTTAAAGAATTTTCAACCCAGAATTTCATATCCAGCCAAACTAAGCTTCATAAGTGAAGGAGAAATAAAATCCTTTACAGACAAGCAAATGCTGAGAGATTTTGTCACCACCAGGCCTGCCCTAGAAGAGCTCCTAAAGGAAGCACTAAACATGGAAAGGAACAACCTGTACCAGCCACTGCAAAAACATGCCAAATTGTAAAGACCATCAAGGCTAGGAAAAAACTGTATCAACTAACGAGCAAAATAACCAGCTAACATCCTAATGACAGGTTCAAATTCACACATAAGAATATTAACCTTAAATGTAAATGGGCTAAATGCTCCAATTAAAAGGCACAGACTGGCAAATTGGATAAAGAGTCAAGACCCATCAGTGTGCTGTATTCAGGAAACCCATCTCATGTGCAGAGACACACATAGGCTCAAAATAAAGGGATGGAGGAAGATCTACCAAGCAAATGGAAAACAAAAAAAGGCAGGGGTTGCAGTCCTAGTCTCTGATAAAACAGACTTTAAACCAACGAAGATCAAAAGAGACAAAGAAGGCCATTACATAATGGTAAAGGGATCAATTCAACAAGAAGAGCTAACTATCCTAAATGTATATGCACCCAATACAGGAGCACCCGGATTCGTAAAGCAAGTCCTTAGAGACCTACGAAGAGACTTAGACTCCCACACAATAATAATGGGAGACTTTAACACCCCACTGTCAACATTAGACAGATCAACGAGACAGAAAGTTAACAAGCATATCCAGGAATTGAACTCAGCTCTGCACCAAGCGGACCTAATAGACATCTACAGAACTCTCCACCCCAAATCAACAGAATATACATTCTTTTCAGCACCACACCACACCTATTCCAAAATTGACCACATAGTTGGAAGTAAAGCGCTCCTCAGCAAATGTAAAAGAACAGAAATTATAACAAACTGTCTCTCAGACCACAGTGCAATCAAACTAGAACTCAGGATTAAGAAACTCACTCAAAACCACTCAACTACATGGAAACTGAACAACCTGCTCCTGAATGACTATTGGGTACATAACGACATGAAGGCAGAAATAAAGATGTTCTTTGAAACCAATGAGAACAAAGACACAACATACCAGAATCTCTGGGACACATTCAAAGCAGTGTGTAGAGGGAAATTTATAGCACTAAATGCCCACAAGAGAAAGCAGGAAAGGTCTAAAATTGACACCCTAACATCACAATTAAAAGAACTAGAGAAGCAAGAGCAAACACATTCAAAAGCTAGCAGAAGGCAAGAAATAACTAAGAGCAGAACTGAAGGAAATAGAGACACAAAAAACCCTTCAAAAAATCAATGAATCCAGGAGCTGGATTTTTGAAAAGATCAACAAAATTGATAGACAGCTAGCAAGACTAATAAGAAAAGAGAGAAGAATCAAATAGACACAATAAAAAATGATAAAGGCGATATCACCACCGATCCTACAGAAATACAAACTACCATCAGAGAATACTATAAACACCTCTATGAAAATAAACTAGAAAATCTAGAAGAAATGGATAAATTCCTCGACACATACACTCTCCCAAGACTAACCCAGGGAGAAGTTGAATCTCTGAATAGATGAATAACAGGCTCTGAAATTGAGGCAATAATTAATAGCTTACCAACCAAAAAAAGTCCAGGACCAGATGGATTCACAGCCGAATTCTACCAGAGGTACAAGGAGGAGCTGGTACCATTACTTCTGAAACTATTCCAATTAATAGAAAAAGAGGGAATCAGCCTTAACTCATTTTATGAGGCCAACATCATCCTGATACGAAAGCCTGCAGAGCCACAACAAAAAAAGAGAATTTTAGACCAATATCCGTGATGAACATCGATGCAAAAATCCTCAATAAAATACTGGCAAACCGAATCCAGCAGCACTTCAAAAAGCTTATCCGCCATGATCAAGTGGGCTTCATCCCTGGGATGCAAGGCTGGTTCAACATATGAATATCAATAAACGTAATCCAGCATATAAACAGAACCAAAGACAAAAACCACATGATTATCTCAATAGATGCAGAAAAGGCCTTTGACAAAATTCTACAACCTTCGTGCTAAAAATTCTCAATAAATTAGGTATTGATGGGACTTATCTCAAAATAATAAGAGCTATCGATGACATACCCACAGCCAATATCATACTGAATGGGCAAAAACTGGAAGCATTCCCTTTGAAAACTGGCACAAGACCAGGATGCCCTCTCTCACCACTCCTATTCAACATAGTGTTGGAAGTTCTGGCCAGGGCAGTCATGCAGGAGAAAGAAATAAAGGGTATTCAATTAGCAAAAGAGGAAGTCGAATTGTCCCTATCTGCAGATGACATGATTGTATATCTAGAAAATGCCATCGTCTCAGCCCAAAATCTCCTTAAACTGATAAGCAACTTCAGCAAAGCCTCAGGATACAAAATCAATGTGCAAAAATCACAAGCATTCTTATACACCAATAACAAACAGAGAGCCAAATCATGAGTGAACTCCCATTCACAATTGCTTCAAAGAGAATAAAATACCTAGGAATCCAACTTACAAGGGATGTGAAGGACCTCTTCAAGGAGAACTACAAACCACTGCTCAAGGAAATAAAAGAGGACACAAACAAATGGAAGAACATTCCATGCTCATGGGTAGGAAGAATCAGTATCGTGAAAATGACCATACTGCCCAAGGTAATTTACAGATTCAGTGCCATCCCCATCAAGCTACCAATGACTTTCTTCACAGAATTGGAAAAAACTACTTTAAAGTTCATATGGAACCAAAAAAGAGCCCGCATCGCCAAGTCAATCCTAAGCCAAAAGAACAAAGCTGGAGGCATCACACTACCTGACTTCAAACTATACTACAAGGCTACAGTAACCAAAACAGCATGGTACTGGTACCAAAACAGAGATATAGATCAATGGAACAGAACAGAGCCCTCAGAAATAATGCCGCATATCTACAACTATCTGATCTTTGACCAACCTGACAAAAAGAAGAAATGGGGAAAGGAGTCCCTATTTAATAAATGGTGCTGGGAAAACTGGCTAGCCATATGTAGAAAGCTGAAACTGGATCCCTTCTTTACACCTTATACAAAAATTAATTCAAGATGGATTGAAGACTTAAATGTTAGACCTAAAACCATAAAAACCCTAGAAGAAAACCTAGGCAATATCATTCAGGACATAGGCATGGGCAAGGACTTCATGTCTAAAACACCAAAAGCAATGGCAACAAAAGCCAAAATTGACAAATGGGATCTAATTAAACTAAAGAGCTTCTACACAGCAAAAGAAACTACCATCAGAGTGAACAGGCAACCTACAGAATGGGAGAAAATTTTTGCAATCTACTACTCATCTGACAAAGGGCTAATATCCAGAATCTACAATGAACTCAAACAAATTTACAACAAAAAAACAACCTCATCAACAAGTGGATGAAGGATATGAACAGACACTTCTCAAAAGAAGACATTTATACAACCAAAAGACACATGAAAAAATGCTCATCATCACTGGCCATCAGAGAAATGCAAATCAAAACCACAATGAGATACCATCTCACACCAGTTAGAATGGTGATCATTAAAAGTCAGGAAACAACAGGTGCTGGAGAGGATGTGGAGGAACAGGAACACTTTTACCCTGTTGGTGGGACTGTAAACTAGTTCAACCATTGGGGAAGTCAGTGTGGCAATTCCTCAGGGATCTAGAGCTAGAATGACCATTTGACCCAGCCATCCCATTACTGGATATATACCCAAAGTATTATAAATCATGCTGTTATAAAGACACATGCCCATGTATGTTTATTGCAGCACTAGTCACAATCGCAAAGACTTGGAACCAACCCAGATGTCCAACAGTGATAGACTGGATTAAGAAAATGTGGCACATGTACACCATGGAATACTATGCAGCCATAAAAAGTGATGAGTTCATGTCCTTTGTAGGAACATGGATGAAACTGGAAACCATCATTCTCAGCAAACCATGGCAAGGACAAAAAAACCAAACACTGCATGTTCTCACTCATAGGTGGGAATTGAACAATGAGAACACATGGACACAGGAAGGGGAGCATCACACACCGGAGACTGTTGTGGGGTGAGGGGAGGGGGGAGGGATAGCATTAGGAGATATATCTAATGTAAATGACGAGTTAATGGGTGCAGCACACCAACATGGCACATGTATACATATGTAACAAACCTGCACATTGTGCACATGTACCCTAAAACTTAAAGTATAATTTAAAAAAAAGAAAAAAAAAGAAAAAAAGATCGCAAGCATTCCCAAAAAATCTCTGTAACTTTTTCATGCCTTGTTTGAAGCCTTAATTCCAGGAGGAACCCAGCACTTGTTGAGCATCTTAAGGTTGTGTTTGTTCATTTAACTGTCTCAGCATATTTATTTGAAAGTAGCATTTGTAAGCATCCCCATTGTATAGATGAGGAAATTTGAGAAATTAAAACATTTTCTCAGGGTCAAACATTTAATACATGTCTCACATGGAATTGAACTCAGATCTATTAGGTTGATGCAATTACTTTTGCACCAACCAACCTAATAGTTGGCCTAAAAAAGTTATCCCACTGCCCTTTGTTAAAAAATATCGAGGAAGAAAGGAAAAAAATAAGTGGAATGAAATATTTGAGGGATGGAGTAAAGAGCAGAGAAATTCCTTGTACCTTTAGGATGACAATATGCACAATTTATCTTCTCAAATATGGTATGTAAGTAATGGGGAACAAGTTGTCTGTCCAATAATAATGAACTCCTCACAAATCCAAAATTTTTCACCAGCTGCTGAGTAAAATAATCAATTGGTCACTGCTCATTTAAGTTGTTATATGTTTTTTTTACTTGAATTCATTTTTTCTCTAAATTATTTTCGGAGTTGACATTCTGTTATTTGCACAAAATATCTCAGTAGAAGATCTTTGGCATTTTCCTTAGTATTGACAATAGTTTGTGTAATTATGTGTAGGTGTTTCTGAATGCTTTGAAAACTGATTTGAATGGCTAATTTAGCCACATAAAGGATGAGAAAGTTTCTGTGTCATGATTGTGTAAGTGTGAGTGTGTGTTTTCTCAACTGTTTAAATAATTCTATCATGAATAATATGGCGGGGGCCTCTCTTAAGGCCTATATATCATCTATCAAAACAAGAGATGAGTCAAATGTAAAGAAGGTAAAGAATATAACTCAAGCAGGGAGGAGAGGGTGAGAAGCAGGCAGGACAAATAGCTAATGCATGCGGGGCTTAATACCTAGGTGACAGGTTGATAGGTACAGCAAACCACCATGGCCCATGTTTACCTAGGTAACAAACCTGCACGTTCTGCACATGTAGCCTGGAACTTAAAGTAAAATAAAATTAAAAAATATGTATATAACTCAAGCCTGCTGTCTTCATTCAGGAAAGGAAGGAAGGGAAAATATCCTAGGAATTCTGTCTTCTTGGAGATAGGAAATTGTCTGGAGATATACTGGTAGAAATCTCTAGAAATACAGCTTCCTAGAAATTCTTCCTTCTTTGCAGATTTCTGGCACAAGTAAGGCATACAAATATACTATTACTGGTTGGAGATTTAGTCCCAATCACACATTTCAACTTCCTTTGGGGGACTCTTTTTTACCTGGACAAGTTATACCTCCATATCGCACCATAGCTAAAACACATACCACAGCTCTTATCACTCAAGTATGAGCAGACCCAAGAGAGGAAAGGGGAAAAACAGTTCAAAATGTGGCGGTTTAAATATGACTTAGGTGGCTCTCATTATCCCCACTGTAATTAGCAACATGTGTTAAAAGAGAGTACTCAGTGGGTATGCTTGATATTTTCACTGCTGTGAAATCTCCAGCCTCTTAATCTGTGACATGTTAAATTGTTCTAGAGTTTGACCAGTTCAGATCAGCATCCTTCTTTAAAATGTAGGAAAGAGGAATGGGATCAAGAAGAGCCTAGAGCTTCTTTTAAAGCTTTTATATCTTATAGGATTTTTGTTAGGAGAAAATATGGTAGGTGAATGAATGCATATTAAACAGCCCACTGTATGGCATTTGTGACACCTTGTAAATAAATTGTTATTAAAACTCCTAGCCTATTATTAGCCTAATTATAATTATTCCTTAAATATAAAGTACATAATACAGGACTAACAGAATAAATAAGCCAGCCAGAATTTTAATTAGTTTCATGATGTTGCTACACTATAGGAGAAATTATAGCATATAAAATTTAAAAAATAAGATGTTAAAATATATAAATAAGAATATATGGTATTAATGTTGTTCTTAATATTAAGTATTCAGCAAATATCCTAAAACTCAATGCTATTGTTCTTTTTTTTTTATTATTATACTTTAAGTTTTAGGGTACATGTGCACAACATGCAGGTTTGTTACATAAATGCTATTGATTAGATACATCTGTTCACTTAGAAATCCATGGGAACTGATATAGTTTGGATATTTGCTCCACCCAAATCTTATGTTGAAATGTAATCCCTGATGTTGGAGGTGGGGTCTGGTAGGAGGTGATTGGCTCATGGGGGTGGGTTTCTCATAAATGGTTTAACACCATCCCTTTGATGCTTTCCTCCTAGTAGTGATTGAGTTCTCGTGAGATTTGGCTGTTTAAAAGTGTGTGGCATCTCCCATCTCCTCTTGCTCCTGTTTCCATGTGACCTGCCTGCTCTCACTTTGCCTTCTGCCCTAATTGTAAGCTTCCTGAAGCCTCCCCAGAAGCCAAGCAGACATTGCCACTATGCTTCCTGCAAAGCTTGCGGAACTGTAAGCCAATTAAATATATTTTCTTTATAAATTACCCAGCCTCAGGTATTTCTTTATAGCAATGCGTGAACAGCCGAACACAGGAACCAACTCTCCCATAACATTGCCTCAGTTAGAACATAGGTGCCTCACTTCTGTTCTCCATCAAGGCTAGACCAGGTTAGATGTAATGTTTCAGGCATTGGCTCCTGTATACAAAACTGCATACAGTTGTTCCTCCATAGCCATGGGTTCCATATACATGCATTCAACAAACAATGGATCTAAAATATTTGAGGGAAAAAACTGTATCTGTGCTAAATGTGTACAGACATTTTCTCTTGTCATTATTCCCTAAACAGTACAATATAAGGCAATTTTCGTAGCATTTCCATTATATTAGGTATTATAAGTAATCTACAGGTGGTTAAAAGTATATAGGGGGATGTGCATAGGTTATATGCAAATACTATGTCATTTTATAGCAGAGACTTGAGCATCTGCAGATTTTGGTGTCTGCAAGGATCTTGGAACCAATCCTTCGTGGACACTGTGGGATGATTGCATCTGTCTTTCTCTCTCTATATTCTGTTTCCCATGAAACTGTGTTGAGAACAAAACCAATGATCAAAATCACTTTTAAATAACATTTCCTCAATTATTCAGAGATTTTTGGTAAAAACTGAGTTTTTGTCAGTCATTTAAAAAATGCTCTAAAACTACCCAAATTGTATTTTTTATAACTTTTTTAAAATGGGTGCATTTAAGTCTGGTAGCTAAGGTATAATCTCTTCATTTTCTCATTATAATCAATTTAGGCGATCTATCTGCTTAAATAAATAAAAACATAAACTTACTCAGAAATTAAAGACAGGCTTGTGTTGCTCATGCTCCATGGGCCCTGTCTTTAAATATATTAAAGTTGTGCAAATAATCATTTTTGTCTTCATAGTCAAGTGATCCATATTTGATTAAGCATTAAATCACAATTGAATTTATTTTTTTCCTGTGCTATCCCACTCTTGCTTCGAATTTCTGTGATTTGTATTGAACTTGTATCATGTATTTTACTTGTACAATCCTATAATTTTCCTTTTTATTTGTTCACACTTCATTGTTGGCATAAGAGAAAATTTGACCCCATCAATTTTCTTTCTATGCCTCAATTTTAATGACTATATGCTTTAAAGAGTAAATTCTAAAATTTTAATGTTTTTCTCTTCTATTGCCTGAAAGCTGTCATTCAGATAGGAGCAAAACATTGTATTTTAAACAAATAAGGATGTTCCAATGTGTATATGATAGTGTAATGTGATGTGGTGTGACAACTATACCTTAATGCAGAAAATACTGTCTATTATAACTCTAAATGGGAAAATTAGTCTTCATTCTGAGAGTAACCATATGCAAAATGCTCAATGGGATATTCCAGAATCTTTGTGATTTGGGTAAAAACTTTGACTCTTGATCTGACACATCTTTATGTATCAGCTTTGATAGCAAGTGCATTAACAAATTCTAATTTGACAACTTCTTCCTCAGTATATTTTTGGAAAACCTTAAGATGGCTTACTCTTTTAGAGACTGCAAGGTCAAAACCATGGGAGACATCTGTTCTGTACTTGTTGAGGAGATATCCATTGAATTCTGATGCTTCTCTCCATCAGAACAAAGAAAACAGTGCTTTTAGGGCCTCACAAATGGTGACTTATTAGGGGCTTTCTAAAAATGAACAGCTGCTAATTTTCTAATAACTGGAAATGAGGATATAAAGGTATTTTTCAGGGGTGAGATTCAAGGCCTTCAGGAGCATCACTCCAAGAACTCACACACATGCATGTGATTGTCCTCTGTCTTTACTTCTTGTTTCTCTTGCTTGGTTCTGTGGAGAACTTGCTGCCAGCCTTTGGATGCAGACCTTATTCAATTGGGGCAAATCCCATTATGACACTTAAACTTGGTGTTTCTTTTGATAAATGCTTAGTTTTGGCATCCGCCAATATTCCTCAGAGGTCCAATCACTGGTGTACTTTTTATCCTATTACTTAAGTGTTGGTGATGACCACTTGTAACTGGAAGGGGTAAATGTGTTTCTCACATATTACAGAGTTTCATGCACATGGAATTTTGAAGCAAAAAAAAAAAAAAAGTGCATTAATCAAGATTCTCCAGAGAAACAGGAGCAATAAGAGATATATAGAAATACAGAGATATAGAGAGATAGAGAATATCTGTCTATTCATCCATCTATTCATCCATCTATTATCCATCCATCCATCTATTATCTATCTATCTATCTATCTATCTCTATCCATCCATCCATCTATCATCTGTCTATCTAATCTATTTAACTATCTTTATTATACAGAATTGCTTCACATGATTATGGAGGCTGACAAGTCCCAAGACTCACAGTCGGCAAGCTGGACACCCAAGACAGCTGGTGCTGCACATATTACCAGTGATGTAGTTTCAGTCTGAATCTGAAGGCCTGAGAACCAGGACAGTTGATGGTGTAAATTCCAGTCCGAGGTCAGGAGAAGCCTAATGTTCTAGCCTAACATCTTGCAGCTTTTTTGTTCTATGCAAGTTTTAAAGTAATTGGATGGGACCCAGCCACATTAGGGAGGCCAATCTGCTTTACTCAGTCTACCAATTCAAATCTAATCTTATCCAGAAACACCCTCGTAGACACATCCACAGTAATATTTGACCAAATATCTCAGCACTCAAAGGCTTAGGCAAGTCGATATGTAAAATTAATGATCACAAGGAGGGAGAATGGGTTCAACAGGTATTTAAAAGTATTCATAATAGAAAAGTATTTATTGTGTTTATGTGGCAGGCAGTATTCTGAGTGCTGTTATTGTATCTCAGTTAAAACACTAGTTAGGT